>NC_000023.11:116198364-116557779 GCF_000001405.40 Homo sapiens
ATTTGATTTGCAGGGATCTAATCACCTTTTCCTTCCACAAAATATCACACTGTTCTATCGTATTGATGACATCATGCTGATTGGACCTAGTGAGCAAGAAGTAGCAACCACTCTAGACTTATTGGTAAGATATTTGTGTGTCAGAAGATAAAAAATAAAACCGCTACCTTGAAATAGTAACTGTGGGGAAGCTAGTCACCTTGTGAGAAGTCAGTTTACCCTGAGTCTGCCATTGTATAAAAAGTACAAGCTAGCCAGATAAAGAGACTATGTGTGGAGAAAAAGATATTTGACTAGTTCCCAGTTGTTACAGTCATCTCAGCTCTGGTGCCAGACATTGAGTAAAGACATCTTCGGATAACTTCACTCTCAGCAGCCATCTGATTACAACTATATGAGGTAGCTCAAGTGAGAACCACCCAGCTGAGCTCGTTAACCCCCAGAACCATGAAATAAAAATTGCTGAACTATTTAAAAATAAATAAATAAAAATAAATCCGATGAACATTTAGGGGACTTGTCCTTAAGTGAAATTTCTAAGGGTCTAATGGTGTGGGGCATGTCAAGATATTCTATTTAAGATGAAGAATGAATTGTTGCATCTGGTCCCTCTAAAAACCAAAAAAGAGGCCACCTAGCGGATGGTCTGGATTCTGGAGGCAACATATACCTCATTTGAGTGTGTTATTTCCTGGATTCTGGTAACCATACTGCTATTCTCTATCTCCGTCAGTTCAATTGTTTTGATTTTTAGATTGTTTTGATTTTTTTAAGATTTTTTAGATTTTTTTAGATTGTTTTTGATTTTAGATTGTTTTGATGTTTTGATTTTTAGATTGTGCAAATAAAGTAGAAGATGTGATGTTATTCTTCCAGAACTGGTTACTTCATTTAACATAATGACCGTCAGTTCCATCTATCTTGTTGCAAAAGAATCTCGTGGTTGAATAGTACTTCATTGCGTATAAGTATTACATTTTCCTTATCTCTTCATCTGTTGATGAACACTTAGGTTGCTTTCAAATATTGACTATTGTGAACAGCGTTGCAAACACACATGGGAGTGCAGATATCCCTTTGATATAATGATTTCCTTTCTTTTGGGTATATGCCAGCAGTAGGATTGCAGGGTCATATGGTAGCTCTATTTTTATATTTCAAGGAACCTCCAAACTGTTTTCCATAGTGGTTGTACTAATTTACATTCCCATCAATAGTGTATAAGAATTCCCTTTTTTCCATATCTTCATCAGCATTTGTTATTACCTGTCTTTTGGATATAAGTGATTTTAACAGAGGTGAGATGATAATCTAGTTTTAGTTTTTATTCACATTTCTCTGATGATCAATGATGTTGAGCACCCCTTCATATACCTGTTTGCCATTTGTATGTCTTCTTTTGAGAAATGTCTATTTAAATCTTTTCTCCATTTTTAAAGCCGGTTAGATTTTTTTTATAGATTGGTTTGAACTACTCATATATTCTAGTTATTAATACCTTTCCTGATGAGTGGTTTGCAAATTTTTATTCTCATTCTGTGAGTTGTCTTTACTCTGTGTTGCTTGTTTCCTCTGTCGTGCAGAAGCTTTTTAACTTGGTATGATACCATTTGTCCATTGTTGTCTTGATTACCTGTGCTTGCAGGGAACTACTCAAGAAATCTTGACTCACGCTGATGTCCTGGAGAGTTTCTCCAATGTTTTCTTGTAGCAGTTTCATAGTTTGAGGCTTTAAATTTCATTTTATGTCCATTTTTATTTGATTTTTGTATAAGAAAAGACATAAGGGTCAAGTATCATTCTTCTCCATATAGATATCCAGCTTTCCTAGCACCATTTATTGAAGAGACTGCCTTTTCCCAATGTATGTTCTTGGCATCTTTGTCAAAAAGGTGTATGTTCACTGTGGATGTGTGTATTTATTTCTGGGTTCTCTATTCTGTTCCATTTGTCTGTGTATCTGTTTCTATGCCAGCACCATGCTGTTTTTGTTGCTGTAGCTATGTGGTATAATTTGAGGTCAGGTAATGTGATTTCTCCAGTTTTGTTCTTTTTGCTCAAGATAACTTTGGCTATTCTGGGTTTTTTGTGATTATAAATACATTTAGGATTTTTAAAATATTTCTGTATAAAATGTCATTGGTTTCTTGATAGAGATTGCACTGAATCTGTAGACTGATTTGAGTAGACATTTTAAGAATATTGACCCTTGTAATTCAGAAACATGGACTATCTTTCCACTTTTTTGTTGCTCTCTTCAATTTCTTTCATCAGTGTTGTATACTTTTCATTATAAAAATCTTCCACATCTTTGGTTAAGTCAGTTCCTATATGTTGATGTTTCTTTGTTGATTTTTGTGTGGAACATCTGTCCAATGCTGAAAGTGGGGTGTTAAAGTCTCCAGCTATTATTGTATCAGGGCCTATCTCTCTCTATCTCTGATAATATTTCATTTGTATAATCTAGGAGCTCCAGTGTTGGGTGCACACATATTTAAAATTGTTATGTCCATTTGCTGGATTGACCTCTTTATCATTATATAGTGATCTTCTTTTTCTCTTCTTATGGTTTTTGTCTTGAAGTCTATTTTGTATGATCTAAGTGTGGCTACTCCTGGTCTTTTTTGGTTTCCATTGCACGGAATATCTTTGTCCATCCATTTATTTTTAGTCTATATATATCTTTGTAGGTGAAGTATGATTCTTGTATGCAACAGATCATTTGTGAATCCATTCATCCACTGTCTTCTGATTGGAGAGTTTAATCTATTTACATTAATGTTACTATTAAAAAGAAAAGGCTTACTCCTGCCATCTTCTTATTATTTTGATTGTCTTGCAGCCTTCTCTTCCTTGTTTACTTCCTGTCTTCCTTTTAGTGAAGGTGATATTCTCTGGTGGTATGCTTTCATTTTTTGCTTTTTATTTTTTGTGTATCCATTGTATGTTTTTCAATTTGAGTTTATCATGAGGCTTGCAAATACTATCTTAAAACCCATTATCAGCTGATAACAACTTAACACTGATTGCATAAACAAAGAAACAAACACACAAAAGGTAAACTGATGAAAATGCAAGAGATAAACTTTGTCCCTCCACTTTAAAACTTATGGTTGTTTCTCTTTTTGTGCTGCCTATTTCTTGAAAAATCATAGTTATTATTTTTGATTGGTTTATCATTTAGTCTTTCTACTTAAGAGTAGTTTAAACACCATAATTACAGTGTTATAATACTCTGTGTTTTTCTATCTGCTTACAATTCCCTGTGAGTTTTGTACTCTCAGATGATTTCTTATTACCCATTAACCACTTTTTTTTTTTTTTTTTTTTTTTTTAGGTTGCAGAACTCTCTTTAGCATTTCTTGTAAGACTGGTTTTATGTTTTATGTTCATAAATTTCCTCAGGTTTTGTTTGCCTGGGAAGGTCTTTATTTCTCCTTTATGCTGAAAAACTATTTTCACCAAGTATACTATTCTCGGATAAAAGGTTTTTTTCCTTCAGTGCTTCAAATATGTCAGCCACTTTCTCCTGGCCCATAAATTTTCCACTGAAAAGTCTGCTGCCAGACATTGGAGCTCCAATTTGTGTTATTTTTTCCTTTTCTCTTGCTGAAGATCCTTTTTTAATCCTTGACCTTTGTGAATTTTATTATTAAATGCCTTAAGGTACTCTTCTTTGGGTTAAAACTGCTCAGTGTTCCATAACTTTCTTATACTTGGATATTGATATTTTCCTCTAAGTTTGCAAAATTCTCCGATATTATTCCTCTGTGTATACTTTCTACTCCTCTCTTTCTCTGCCTCCTCTTTAAGGCCAATAACTCTTAGATTTGCCATATTGAGGGTATTTTCTTGACTTTGTAGGCATGCTTCATTCTTTGTATTCTTTTTCACCTCCTCTTACTATGTGTTTTCAAATAGCCTTCTTCAATGTGTCAATTCCATTTTTAACTCTATATTTTCTACCTGATTATTTTTAATTATTTTGATCTCTTTGTAAATTTAACTGGTAGAATTCTGAATTGCCTCTCTGTGTTATCTTGAATTTCTCTGAGTTTCCTCAAAATAGCTATTTTGTATTCTTTTACTGATAGGTCATACATTTCTATTTCTCCAGAATTGGTCCTCGGTGCCTTATTTGTTCATTTGGTGAGGTCATGTTTTCTTGGATGGTGTTGATGCTTGTAGATGTTCATCAGTGTCTGGGTATTGAAGAGTTAGGTATTTATTGTAGTCTTCAACATTTGGGCTAGTTTGTGCCTGTTCTTCTTGTGAAGACTTTCCAGGCAATCAAAGACACTAGGGATCCGTGTCCAATAACACTGTGGTTTTTGCAGACTCGTAGAGGTACCACTTTGGTGGTCTTGTATAAGATTCAGAAGAATTCTCTGGATTACCAGGCAGTGATTCTTATTCTTTTTTCTTACTTTCTCCCAAGGAAACAGTCTTCCCCTCTGTGCTGAACCATCTGGAACTGGAGGTATAGTGATGCAAGATACCTGTGGCCATCAGCTGGGACTTTGCTGGGCCAGACCTGAAGCTAGAACAACACTGTTTCTTGCACAAGGCCCTTCCTTTCATGGTGGTGAGTTTCCCCAGCCCACAGTCATGGCCAGAGATGCTGTCTGGGAGCCAGAAATTGTAGTAGAAAAACCTTAGAAATTTACTCTATGTTCTATTCTACTACAGTTAAGCTGGCACTGAAACCACAATACAAAGTCCTTCCTACTCTTTTCTCCCCTTTCCAAAGGCATAGTAGCCTCTTTCTGTGGCCACCACCATCACTCATCCACAGATTGTTGTGCCAGGCCTCCACTGGTATTCACTAAAATCCCCAAAGCCCTTCTGTCAGCTTGTGGTGAGTGCTGCCAGTCCTTGGACTCAACCTGTAAGCAAATGAGCTCCTGCATAGCCCAGGTCATGTCCAGAAATGCTGCCCAAGTGCCTATCCCTGGACTTGAGTACCCCAGGATCCTGCTTGCTGTTCTTCCCCACTGTGGCTCAGCTGGTACCTAAGGTATAAGACAAAGTCCCCTTTACTTTTCCTTATTTTTCTCAAACAGAAGTCTTTCACTGTCACCACCAGATTTGGGAATGTGGATGGTAACACCTGAAGCCAGCACATCTAAAGCCCAAGGCCCATGTCATATACCCTGGGTTTTGCTACTGGTTGTACAAGTCCCAAGGGCTCCTTGGTCATCAGGTAATAAATCCTGCCAGGACTGTGTCCTTTTCTTTAGGGGAGTAAGTTCCCTTTTGGCCCAGGATTTGTCTAGAAATGTCTGTGATCTAGGGCCTGGAATGTGTCCTCAAAACTCTGCTTGGTGACTTATCCTATTGTGGCTGAGCTGGTATTTAACATGCAAGACAAAGTCCTCTTTACTCTTCACTCCCCTCTCCCTAATCAGAAGGATGGAGTCACTTTCATTGCTGTGTGCTTTACTGCCTGGTTTGGGGGGAAGAATGGCTCAAACAATCCCTTATCCATACCAGCTGGTATGTCCCTAGATCATGGGCCACTCTAGTTCATTGGCTCTAGGCCTAGCTTAGCACTAGGAGTTGCTTACATATTGCAGTCCTTGTGTCCTAGACTATCTTTCAAGTTTAACTAGGGCCACAGAGCACTTCAGCCTGTAGTGGCAAGGCTTGCCAAGAAACTTAAGTTCTGGCCACAAGCATGGGCTATTCCCCACTGGCTAGGTCTGGTCCAAATGTTCCCTTCATGCATGGGCCCTGGCTGAGTCTGGCATGGCTTTATTCTTCACTGTGACTGGGCAGCACTGAGTCCTATGTAAAATCCCCCAGTTGCTGCACTCTCCCTCCCCAAAGCGCATAGATTCTCTCTTCCTGCCACATGGCCACTTCTAAGGGATTGCAATGCCATTGGC
Source organism: Homo sapiens (assembly GCF_000001405.40). Taxonomy (NCBI): domain Eukaryota; kingdom Metazoa; phylum Chordata; class Mammalia; order Primates; family Hominidae; genus Homo; species Homo sapiens. The sequence continues at coordinate 116,204,253 of NC_000023.11, forward strand.
AATTCAACCATCTCTCCTGCCCTCCTCAATGTCTCTTTTAGTAATATAAAGTTAAAACCAGGTACTGTGATTGCTCACTTAATTTTTGATTCCTGTGACAGTGCTTTCTTGTGTGTTGATAGTTGTAAAAATTTAGTTTTACAGTGGAAGGTACGAATGATATAGGCTTCTATTCTGCCATCTTGCTTTACTCTCATAATTATACTTTTAATATAGTCTAACAGTAGATGCTAACATGATGATGGAGACATCAGCTAGATGCCAGAATGGAAAGTCCCAGTCATCATTCCTTTAGAGATACTGACTTAACAACAATATATACAATAACTGTATCCCAGGTTAACACAAAGCCTAGAAATGTTGAGACAGGTAACAAGAATCATTTTGCTTTACCATAATTGTTTCTCCCCAAGGTGACATACCTCAACTTAACTCCTGACTTTCTTTTCCTCTGGAGGCAGACGTCGTGAGAAAAGTGGAACATGCATTCAATATTCTGACTTTTGTGGGACTACCCAATATACTTTTTTTTCTTGCATGACTTGGAGTGCTAATGGAAATGTCATGATTTGGATGGCTAGGAGTCATTAACAGAAAGGGAGCATGGAAGTAATTCTCTCTAGCACCAGAGGTTCTGCAATACTGTAGACAGAGGCTGTCAGAGCTTGGCACAATTATAAAAATGTTTCTTAGCCATGGCATTCCCCACAAGGAGAGAGAAGAGTGAAGCATGCATCCCGAGTTCCAGCTTTTTTGAGAGAAGCCTAAAGGACTGGTATCTGTCTCACTATATTTGGGGCACAGATGTGGAACTTGCATACCTTGGATGTCTGGGTTCCACTTAGAACAAAGGAAAGTAGTGTCGCAGTAACTGTAGTGTTAGATACAGACACCAGAGGGAGCTAGAGATTTATAAACAGTGAAAAAAGAAATCAGGAAGCCTCTCTAATTGGGAAATTACACGCAAAAACCCAGAAAAATTGTATCCCTCCAAAAGGTTTCATAGGCACTCAGAATCTCTAGCCAGGTGATTGGTGAAGATATTCTCCTGTATTAAGCCAGTCTGTAGATACCAAAAGATGATTTTTTAACAAATGCACAAAATTCAGGAAAAAATTATAAGGCACATTAAAAATGGAAGTATGCCTCAGGGAAAGGAAACAATAAATCACTAGATATCCCCCCCCAATGGAGAACTATGGATTACCTGAAAATATTCAAAATAATTGTCTTAAAGTAGTTCAATGATCTATATGATAACACAGGTAGACAATAAAAGAAAATTGGGAAAACAATGAATGTACAAAATGAGAATATCAAAAGACGTAAACTATAAAAAAGAATCATAGAAATTCTGAAGCTGAAGAATGCAATAACTGGATTAAAAAATTTACTATAAAGGCTCAACATCAGACTTGATCAAGCATAAGAAAGAATCAGTAAACTTGAGGATCAGTCAATTTTGATTATCTAGTCAGAACAGAAAAAAAAAGAATGAATACAAATAGAAAAAGCCTAAGGGTCTTACAGGTCACACCATCAAGCATACCAATATATGCATGAATGAATTCAGTAAGTCTTAGGTTACAAAGTCAATGTAAACAAATCAGTAACACTGCTACATACAACCACCAACAAAACTGCAAATCAAATCAACAACTCAGCCAGGTGCGTTGGCTCACACCTATAATCTCAGTACTTTGGGAGGCCAAGGCGGATGGATCAAGAGGTCAGGAGATCAAGACCATCCTGGCTAACACGGTGAAAGCCTGTCTCTACTAAAAATACAAAAAATTAGCCAGGCGTGGTGGTGGGTGCCTGTAGTCCCAGCTACTCAGGAGGCTGAGGCAGGAGAATTGCTTGAACCCGGGAGGCAGAGGTTGCAGTGAGTCAAGATCACGCCATTGCACTCCAGCCTGTGCGGCAGAGGGAGACTCCGTCTCAAAAAAAAAAAAAAAAACCACTCAATCCTTTTCTCAATAGCTACAAAAAAATAAAATACCTAGGAATACACTTGACCATGGTGGTGAAAGATCTCCACAAGGACAACTACAAAACAATGTTGAAAAAAATAATAGATTACACAAACAGTTGGAAATACATCCCATGCTCATGAATTGGAAGAATCAATATGATGAAAATGACCATATTGCACCAAGCAATCTACAGATTCAATGCAATTCCCATCAAAATACCAACATCATTTTACTCATTTTACACAGAATTAGAAAAAAAAATCTAAAATTTATATGTAAGCAAAAAAGAGCCTGAATAGCCAAAGCGATCTTAAGCAAAAAGAATCAATCTGGAGGCATCATATTACCCAAGTTCAAATTATACTACAAGAGTATAGTAACCAAAACAGCATGGTTCTGCTGTAAAAGTAAATCCATAGACCCATGGAAAAGGACAGAGAACCCAGGAATAAAGCCAAATACTTACAACCAAATGATATTTCACAAAGCATACAAAAATATAAATTAGGGAAAGGACACCCTACTCAATAAACGGTGCTAGGAAAATTGGATAACCACATGTAGAAGAATGAAACTGAATCCCTCAACTCACCATATATGAAAATTAACTCAAGATGGATCAAAGAGTTAAATGTAAGACCTGAAACAAAAAAAAAAATCCAGAAGAAAACCTAGGAAACACTCTTCTGAACATTGCCCTATGCAAAGAATTTATGATGAAGACCCCAAAAGCAAATGCAACAAAAACAAATACAAGTAAATTGGACCTAATTAAACTAAAAAGCTTCTGCACATCAATATAAAAGATCATTAGAGTAAACAGACAACCCACAGAGTGGGACAAAATATTTGCAAATTATACATCTGACAGAATACTAGTATCCTGAACCTGCAAGGAGCTCAAACAAATCAGCAAGGAAAAAAAAAACAAAACAAAATAATGTCATTAAAAAGTGGGCAAAAAGCATGAGTAGACTTTTCTCAAAAGAAGATGTACAAATGGCCAAATGACATATGAAAAAAATGATTAACATCACTAATCATCAGAGAAATGCAAATTGAAACTACAATGAGATACCACCTTACCCCAACCAGAATGGCCATTATTAAAAAGTCAAAAAACAATAGATGTTGGCATGAATGTAGCGAAAACAAAATACTTATACACTGTTCGTGGGAATGTAAATTAGTACCACCTCTAGGGAAAACAATATGGAGACTTCTCAAAGAACAAAAAGTAGATCTACATTCAAACAAGCAATCCCACTACTTCATATATGCCCAAAGAAAAAGAAGTCATATCACAAAGACACCAGCATTTATATGTTTATCACAGTACAATTTACAATTGCAAAGATATAGAATCAACCTCAGTGCCCATCAACTGATAAGTGAATAAAGAAAATGTATATACACCATGAAGTATTACTCAGCCAGAAAAAAAGAGTGAAACAGTGTCTTTTGCAGCAATTTGGATAGAACTGGAGGCCTTTATTCTAAGTGAAGTAACTCAGAAATGGAAAATCAAATTCTGCATGTTCTCACTTGAAAATGGGAGCTAAGTTATGGGTATGGAAAATCATACAGAGTGATATAATGGAGACTGGATAATCAGAAGTTGGGAGGATGGGAGGAGGGTGAGGGATGAAAAACTACTTATTGGGTACAATGTATAATACTAAGGTAATGACAGGTGCACTAAAATCTGACTTCACCACTCTATAATTCATCAGTCTAACCAAAAACCCCTCATAATCCTAAATCTATAAAATGTCTAGAATAGAATTTTAATGTTCTTGCCACAAAAAAGTGAAAAATTAGTGAGATGGAAAGATTACTTTGAATCGTTCTATAATGTGTACACAGATCAAAACGTCATATTGTACTACATAAATATACATAATTATTATTTGCCAATTATAAATAAATGAATACAATTGAAAAATGCTAAAAAAAAAGAAAATTTCTGACCAATATTTCTGATACCAAAAATCTCCTCAAAATGTTAGCAAATTGAATTCAACAGAAATTTTAAAGATTACATACTGCGATTGAATGGGATTTACCTCTGGAATACATGGATTTATTATTATGATTATTATACTTTAAGTTCTAGGATACATGTGCAACACAACGTGGAGGTTTGTTACATAGGTATACATGTGCCATGTTTGTTTGCTGCACCCATCAACTCGTCATTTACATTATGCATTTCTCCTAATGCTATGCCTCTCCTAGCCCCCCACCCCCCTACAGGCCTCGGTGTGTGATATTCTCCACCCTGTGTCCATGTGTTCTCATTGTTCTGCTCCCAGCTATGAGTGAGAACATGTGGTGTTTGGTTTTTGGTCCTTGTGATAGTTTGCTGAGAATGATGGTTACTGGTTAGTACTTGGATGGGAGGCATGGATGTTTTAACATAAGAAAATCAATCAAAGTACTGACCACATTCATGAGATTAAAAAAAAATGATCATCTTAATTGATGCCGAGAAAGCATTCAACAAAATTCAACACTCTTTCATGATTTTAAAAAACAGAACCAGCTAGGAATAGAAGAAAATTACCTAAACATAATAATGATCATATGCAAAAAGTCCACAGTTAACATCATACTCAGTGGTGAAAAACTGAAAGCTTTTTCTCCAAGTTGAGGAAAAAGGCAATGATGCCTTCTCTTACCATTCCATTCATCATCATACTAGAAGCCATAGCCAGAGTAATTACGCAGCAAATAGACATAAAAGGCATAAAAATTTAAATGACAGAAATAAGATTATCTGTTTTGCATATGATACACTCTTATATGTAGAAACCTTAAATATTCCACAAAATACTCTGTTAGAACTAATAAACAAATTCAGCAAAGTTGCAGGAACAAAATCAACATTGAAAAATTAATTATGTTTCTCTATAGTAACAATAAGCAATCCAAATAGAAAATTCAGAAAATAATTTCACCTACAATAGCATCAAAAAAACACCTGTATGTAGAAATAAACTTAACTAAGAAGCAAAAGACTTATACACCAAAAACTACAAAACATTGCTGAAAGAATTTACAGAAGGCACAAATAAATAAAAATACATCCTGTATTCATGGATTAGATAACTTAATATTGTTAAAATGTCCATCTTACCTATAGCAATCTACAGATTCAATGCAATACTTGTAAAATCACGATGGCATTTCCTTTTGCAGAAATAGATAAAAAGTCATCCTAAAATTCGTATGCATTCTCAGATGACTTAAAATAACCAAAGCAATCTTGGGAAAAAAGAACAAAGCCAGAGCTGAGATTACACACTTCCTTATTTCAAAACATATTACAAAGTTACACTAATCAAGAGTGTGTTACTGGCCTAAAGACAGACATAAAAATTCATGCTACAGCATAGAAAGACCAGAAATAAACTCACACATATATGGGCAACTGATCTTCAACAGGAATGCCAATACCCAATGGGGAAAGGATAGTCTCTTCAACAAATAGCATTGGGAAAGCTATATCCACATTCAAAAGAATAAAATTTGACCCTCTTCTTACATTATATAAAAAATGAACTCAAAATCGATTAAAGACCTAAGTATAAGACCTGAAACTGTAAGACTAGAAAAAAAAAATTTAGGAAAAGATTTAAGACATTGGAATGGGCAATGACTTCAATGTGACAACAAAAGCAGAATAACAAAAACAAAAATAGACAAATAGAAATAACTCTCACTTAAAAACTTCTATGCAGAAAAAGAAACAAGTAAAAAGACAACCTACAGAATGGAAGTAAATGTTTGCCAACTGTGTATTGTATTAGGCGTTAATAATGAAAGTATAAAAAGAATTCTCATAGCTCAACAACAGCAACAAAATAACCTTATTAAAAATGGGCAAAGAACTTGAGTAGATATTTTTCCAAAGATGAGATATAAATGGTCAACAAGTACATGAAAAGATACTCAACATCATTAATTATCAGTGAAATGTAAATCAAAGCTACAATGAGATATTATCTCACATCTGTTAAGGTAGTTAGTATTAAAAAAAAAAACCAGAAAGCAGCAAGTGTTGGTAAGGTTGTGAAGAAATTAGAAACCTTGTGCACTCTTGGTAGCATTGTAAAATCATGGAGTACACTACGAAGGTTCCTCAAAAAATTAAAATAGAACTAACATATGATCCAGAAATTCTACTTCTTATAATCTTTCCAAAAAAATTGAAAACAGAATCTTGAAGACACTTTGCACACCCGTGTTCATTACAGCATTACTCATAGTAGCTGAGATGTTGAAGCAACCTAAATGTCCATTGATGAGCCTAAATGTCTATTCATAGATGAATGGATAAAAAATGTGGTATATACAATATACATACAATGGAATACTATTCAGCCTTAAAAAGAAGGACTTTCTATCATATTTTACAATACAGATGAAGCTTGAGGACAACATTATGTTATATGAAATAAGCCAATCACAAAAGACAAATACCACATGCTTCCACTTTATGAAGTATCTAAATTTATCAAAGTCATAGAAACAGAGAGTAGTTTCCAGGATGATTGCCATGGGCCAGAGGGAGAGAGAAATGGGGGCTGTTCAGTCAGTATAGAGTTTTCATCATGCGAGATGAAAAAGTTTTAGAAACTTGTTGTACAACAATTTGTATATAGTTAAAAGTCCTGTAATTTACACCTAAAAGTTGTTAAGAGGGTAAAATTATAGTATATGGTTTCTACCACAAAAACTTGAGAGACAATTTTTCATTGTCTCTCAAGCAAAACTGTTAGTACATGGCACATAGTAAATACTCAATAAAACAAATAAAAACACAACATGATTTTTATTCACTCAAAACAAACTGATTATAAAATCTTTAGAAAATGCATGTGCAAAAATATTCATAAATACACAGGAAAAGCATAGTAATAAGGGGAAAATAAACACAAATCTAAGACAATGTGGTATTGGCCAATGAAATGGTAGGCTTGACACTGGCACAAAATAGAATATGGAAGCAGTCAAATACATACAGAAATATAATATTTTAAAATCTGTCATTCATAGAAACAGAGAAAATTGAATTATTTACAAGTAGTTTGGAACAAATGGATAGTCATCATAAAGAAAATAAAGTTAGATTCTGACAATTTGCTCCTTTGAATAAAATATATTCCAAAAATAATAAAGGATTTAAACATAAAAATAAAAACCCAAAGGCATTAGAACACATGAAAGAATAGTCTCATAATCTTAGTGTGGGGATGATATTTCTAAGCATGTCACAAATTCTAGAAGCCATTTTTTAAAAAGCTAAATAAATTTAACTAACATAAAATTACAAAAACATGCATGGCTCTAAATACTCACCACAAATGAAATAAAAAGACAAATCATAATCTGCATAAACTGTTTAAAATATTAAATTTATATTAGTCAAAAGCCTAATTTTTGTTAACACACAAAAAGATTTTACAAATAAATAAGTAAAAGGTAGATAACCTAACAGGAATACTGGAAGACTTATGTAGGCAGTTGAAAGAAATGGAAATACAAATGTCTTTTTAAAATATTAAAAGATGAACATTCTTCAACAGACGGTACTAGATAAATTGGATATCCCCATGGCAATAGTGTATTTTGAATCCTACCTGACATTATAAATATAAAATATAAATATAAAATATCAATTGCAGATCGGTTGCAGACCTAAAAGTGAGAAGTATTAAAATACTTTGTGTAGAGAAAGACATGGGGAATCTTTGAAACCTCGGAGTTGGCAAATATTTGTTAAATAGGGCATAAAATATAAAACGTTAACTACAAAAAAAATCAAACAACAAATTGAATCCTATTTTAATTGAGAAAATTTGTTCACCAAAAGATGCCATCAAGAAGGTGAAAAAGTAAGCCACAGTGGGAGACATTATTTGGTACATATAGCAACTTTTACATACATCTGAGTATATTTGTATCTAGAAGATATTAAAATTTCCTGGGAATCAATAAAAAGTAAAGATGTTTAATTTAATTTAAAAATGTGCAAAACACTTTAAATGGACACTTCACAATAGAGGATAAGCAATGGTCAATAAATATATGAAAAGTGCTCCAAGTTTATTAGCCATTAGAAAAATGCAAACTAAATACAATGTGATGTAATTTATACAAATAGGACAACCTTTTGTATAAATTGTTCAGTAAAACAAATAAACAAAACCCCCCTCAAAACCTAAGCTGATGAATAGTTTGTATAGTTGGCTACTATCTGTTTATAAACAGATATACATACACACACACACACACACATATATACACACAAACACATACACATACCTACCCACCAAATGAGTAAAAAGAAAAAGATGGAAAAACAGTGTTGTCAAGAATCTGTAGCAAATGAAGCTCTCATGTTCTTCTGATGGAAGTATAAATTTGTGCAACTGTTTTATAAAGGTGTTTGGCAATATCTATATAAAACAACATGAATGAACTTTGCAAACATAATATTAAGTAAAAGAAGCCATTTACAAAATAGTATATAATTTATGATTCCATTTATATAAAGTGCAAAAAAATATTATGTTAGTGGTCAGAAGGGTAATTACCCTTGGTGGGGGGTAGTAACTGAGAGGGAGCATGAATGGTGCTTCTGGGCCACTGGCAATGTTATGATTATTGATCTGAATGCTAGATTCATGAAAAAGTTGAATTTACTAAAAATATTGAGCTGTACACTTACGATGTGTTCAGTTTCTTGAAATCTATCATATTTTAATATTGTGTTTAAAATGGTGATAGAAACTTTGATATATTGAGGGTGGTAATATGCAGAGAGGATATATGTTGGTAACAGCAATAAAAAAATTGAATCTTTACTCCTAAGAAAAATGTAAATTTAAGCTACAATATGAAGTTTATATTAAGTTTAACCTATCAAATTGGCCTAGATGAGTATATCGGTAGCATATTTATTAGTAAAATTTGTGGAAATAGGTATTCTCATACACAAGCAAAGGAAAGTAAGCCAGTGCAATTCTTATGAACAACAACTTAGCAATAATATACATAATCTTTTCCTTATTCATTTCAGTTCTAGGAGTTCATTCTAAGTTTATGCTGGCATATGTGATCAACAATATTTATGAAAGGGTGTCTATTTCAGCATTATTTATTATAGCAAAAGACAGAAAACAACCCACATACCTATTTTAAAAGGAATGTTATAACAAATTATGCAATATTTTTTACAATGTAAGACATTGTATCTGTTACAAAGAATGAGGCAGCTTTTTATAAGCTAATATGGGAAGGATGACCTGTATAAATTAAGTAAAATAAACAAACAAAAACCCTACAAAACTGAAGCTCATGAACAGTGTGTATAGTTTCTTACCATTTGTTTATAAAGATATATATATATACACACACAAATACACACACAGACATATACATGAACACACTAACATTCTATATATACTGTAGAAGGAATATCACTGGAAATTGATACAGGGAACTAGTCATAATATTTACTCTGTGGAGAGTAATTGGATATCTCTGTGGCATGAGAGGTTGACTTATTTTTACAGTATAGCCTTTTAATTTTTACAGTTTGTATTTTTAAACGAAGTTTGTGTACTATATATTTAAAATTATTATGCAAATAAGATAACCTCATAATTAATAAATTGAATTACAAAATAAATACAGTTGAAAATGAATTAATGGCTTAGAAGAATTAGCATTTGGGGTCTCTCAGAAGGAGGTGCAAAAGGTCAAGGAAAAGAAAAGTTATAGAAAAAGTTAAACACATTGAGGTTCAACTTGGAAGTTCCAACATCTATTACAAAGAAATACCAGAATGAAAAAAATGACCAATGACATAATAGAAGATAATTTTATGAGACGAATAAAGCCTGGAGGATTCGCCTTGAAAGGGCCAACAAAATGCAGAGGAGGAATAATTAAAGAAGACATTGAGGTATTAAAACACACCTTAGAAAAATTTCTGGATGTCAACACTTAAAAGTTCCAAAGAGAAACAAGTATGATACCTACAAAAGAACAAAATTCAGATAGACAGCTGAAACATTAAATACTAGGAGACAGTGAATCAAGATAAAAGTTTCAAAGGAAACTATTTGAAACCTTTAGGTTTATGTGGAGACAATGAATACATATATGAATTTAACGGAAAGTTTTTGAGTTATGTGTTATGATTTTGGCATGATGAAGAGACTCCCAACAGGACAAAAATCCCCTAAATCATAAAAAATTTATTGCAAGACAATCAATAACAAAGTGACAAAAATATTTACAATGCTTATAAAATAAAACTGATTAAGGTCTATATCATCTAAATAAATTCTGTATTGTTTAGATTTGGAAATGACCAATTATATTAGAAAATGTTCAATAATCCAATAGAAAAACAGGAAAAGCCATTTCCAAGAAAAAGTAATATAAATGACCAATGAACACATAAAAGATGCTTACCTACATTAGTAATCAGGGAAATGCAAATTACATACATGATGAATTTTTTTTACATATTGGATTTGAAAATCAAACAGATTATTAATATACAGCGTAGATGAGGATGCAGGAGAAAGGAGCTGTATTATATATTGTTTGTGGGGAACAGGCATGATTCTATATAAATTTAATAATTGGTATGGCACTAAACAAATTTAATAATTGGTATGGTACTGGCTCTGATCAATAATGGACACTGCTCAGTGCACTCCATCAGTATATACCAGTGGAATATCAGTCCTGTGTGAAATAGTAAATTGGTAGAACACTTTACTGGAGAGGAATTTGTGACCCATTGACACAAAAATTTACGTTTAGGAGTCTATCCTACAGAAATACTTACATGTGAGAAATTACTTAATGGGTACACTATTTGGGTGATTGTTAGATAAAAAAGCCCAGACCTCACCACTTCACAATATATCCATATATGAAAACTGCACTTGTACTTTCTAAATTTATAAAAGTAAAAAAGACATGTGTATGTATGTGTACATATGTATAATATGTGTATGTGTATATATGTATGTGTATGTGTGTATACATAGATATACATACACAAGACATTAAAACTTCTGTGAAAAACATTCATATATGCTTGTTGCAGATTTTTAAACTTATTTTTAATATTTGTGGGTACATAGTAGGCGTATATGTTTATGGGATATATGGGATATTTTGATACAGGCATACGGTGTGGAATAGTCACATCAGGGTTAATGAGGTATCCATTACCTCATGCATTTGTTTTTTGTGTTACAAGCAATGCAATTATACTCCTCTAGTAATTTTTAAATGTAGAATTAATCCACAATAATCAAGTAGGCTTTATTCTTGGGATGCAAGGTTGTTTCAACATAGGCAAATCAATAAATGTGATTCATTATATAAATAGAACTAAAAACAAAAACCACATCATCATCTCAATTGACACAGAAAAGGCTTTCAATAAAACTCAATATTATTTCATGTTAAAAAATCCTCAATATTTACTGATTTGCATATGTTGAACTAAACTCACATCCAAGGGATAAAGCCTACTTGATCGTAGTAGATAAGTTTTTTGATGTGCTGCTGCATTTGGTATGACAATATTTTGCTGAGGATTTTTGGATTGTTGCTCATCAAGGGTATCAGTCTGAAGTTTTACGTTGCTGTTGTTGTATCTCTTCCAGGTTTCGGTATTAGGATGATGCTGACCCAACAGAATAAGTTAGGGAGGGTTCCCCCCTCCTCAATTCTTTGAAATAGTTTCAGCAAAAATGGTATCAGCTCTTCTTTGTACATCTGGTAGAATTCAGTCATAAATACATCTGGTCCTGCGCTTTTTTTTTTTTTTGATTGGTAGACTACTTATTACTGATTCAATTTCAGAGCTCATTAATGGTCTGTTCAGGGATTCAATTTCTTCCCATTTCAATCTTGGCAGGATGTATGTGTCCAGGAATTTATTCATTTCTTTTAGATTTTCTAGTTTATGTGTATAGAAGTGTTCATAATATTCTCTGATGGTTCTTTGTATGTCTTTGGGATCAGAAACTATCAACAGAGTGAACAGATAACCTACAGAATGGGAGAAAAATTTTGCAAACTATGCATCTGACAAAGTTCTAATATCCAGCATCTATAAAATATTTAAACAAATTTACAAGAGAAAAATGAACAACCCCATTACAAAGTGGGCAAAGGATATCAACAGATAATTTTCAAAAGAAGACATACTTGTGGCCAACAAGCATATAAAAAAAGCTCAACATCACTGATCATTAGAGAAATGCAAATCAACACTGCAATGAGATGCCATCTCACACCAGTCAGAATGGCTATTATTAGAAAGTCAAAAAATAACATGCTGGTGAGGTTGTGGAGAAAAAGGAATGCTTATACACTGTTGGGAGTGTAAATTACTTCAACTATTGTGGAAGACAGTGTGGCAATTCTTCAAAGACCTAAGAACAGAAATACCATTCTACCTAGCAATCCCATTACTGGGTATAGACCTAAAGGAATATAAACCATGCTATCGTAAAAACATATGCATGCATATGTTCATTGCAGTACTTTTCACAATAGCAAAGACATGGAATCAATCCAAATGCTCACCAATGATAGACTGGATAAAGAAAATGCAGTATATGTACACCATGGAATATATTTTTTAATTATACTTTAAGTTTTGGGGTACATGTGCAGAATGTGCAGGATTTTACATAGGTATACATGTGCCATGGTGGTTTGCTGCACCCATCAACCCGTCATCTATATTAGATATTTCTCGTAATGCCATCCCTCCCCTAGCACCCCACCCACCGACAGGCCCCAGAGTGTGTGATGTTCCCCTCCATGTGTCCATGTGTTCTCATTGTTAAACTCCCACTTACGAGTGAGAACATGTGGTGTTTGGTTTTCTGTTCCTGTGTTAGTTTGCTGAGAATGATGGTTTCCAGCTTCATTTATGTCCCTGCGAAGGACATTAACTCATCCTTTTTTATGGCTGCATAGTATTACACCATGGAATATTATACAGCCATTAAAAATAAAATCATGTCTTTTGCAGAACATGGATGGAGCTGGAGGCCATTATACTTAGAAAACCAATGCAGGAACAGAAAAGCAAATACCTCCTGTTCTCACTTATAAGAGGGAGCTAAATGAGGAGAACACATGGAAACATAGAGGGAACAACACATAATGGAGCATATCAGAGGGTGGAAGGTGGGAAGAGGAAGAGGATCAGAAAAACAACTATTGGATACTAGGCTTAATACCTGGGTGATGAATTAATCTGTAAAACAAACACCCATGACAAAGTTTACCTATGTAACAAGCCTGCACATGTACCCCTGAAGTTAAAATAAAAGTTAAATAAAATAAATATAAAAACAACAACAACAAAAACTTCTTTTCATACTCTTGTTTTCCGTGGTCCCATATAGGCTTACAGATGGAGATGTGTTTCCTAGAAAACAAAAACAAAAACAAAACCCTAAGCATCAAAGGTACATACCTAATATAATAAGAGCCATCTATGAGAAACCCACAGCCAACATCATATTGAACGGGCAAAAGCTGGAAGCATTCCCTTCGACAATCAGAACAAGACAAGGATGTCCACTATCACCAGTTCTCTTCAACATAGTACCGGGAGTCCTAGCCAGACCAGTCAGGTAAGAGAAAGAAATAAAAGGCATCCATATAGGAAGAGAGGAAGTCAAAGTATTCCTGTTTGCAGATAATGTCATTCTATACCTGGAAATTTCCATAGGTTCTGCCCAAAGACTTCTGGACCTGATAAACAATTTCAGCAAAATTTCAGGATACAAAATCAATATACAAACATCAGTAACATTTCTATACACCAATAACATTCAAGCTGAAAGCCAAATAAAGAACACAATCCTATTCACAATAGCCACAAAGAGAATGAAATATCTAGGAACACAGCAACCCAGGGAGGTAAAATATGTCTACTATGAGAATTACAAAACACTGCTGAAAGAAATCAGAGACAACACAAACATATGAAAAAATCAATTCATGTCCCTGGATAGGAAGAATCAATTTTTCTAAAATGGACATACTGCCCAAAGCTATTTACAGATTTAATGCTATTCCTATGAAACTAACAATGACATTTTAAAACAGAATTAGAAAAACAAAATAATTCATTTGGATCCCCAAAAGAGCCCAAATAGCCAAAGCAATCCTAAGCCAAAAGAATAAAGCCAGAGGCATCGTATTACTCAACTTCAAACAATACTACAAGATTACAGTAACTAAAACAGCATAGCACTGGTTTAAGAACAGACACATAGACCAATGGAATCGCTTAGAGAACACAGAATTAAAGCTTCATACCTACAACCATCTGTTGGCAAGACCAACAAAAGCAAGCAATGAAATACAAAAATTAGCTGGGCATGGTTACGTGTGCCTGTAGTCCCAGCTAATCTGAGGCTGAGGTGGGAGGATTGCTTGAGCCTGAGAAACTGGACCCCTACCTTTCACCAAATACAAAAATCAACTCAAGATGGATTCAAGATACATATAAAACCTAAAACCTAGAAGAAAATCTAAAAAATACTATTTTGGACATTGGCCTAGGCAAAGACTTCATGACAAAGACACCAAAACAATTGAAACAAAAGGAATGCTTATAAACTGCTGGAGAGAATGTAAATTAGTTCAGCCACTATGGAAAGCATTTTGGAGATTTCTCAGTGAACTTAAAGTAGAAGTACCATTCAACCCAGCAATCCCATTACTGGCATATACCCAAAGAAATATAATTATTCTACCATAAAGACACATGCATGTGTATGTTCATTGAACCACTATTCACAATAGTAAAGACACGTAATTAACATAGATGCCCATCAATGGTAGACAGGATAAAGAAAATGTGGTACATATACACCATGGAATACTATGCAGCTAAAAAAATGATATCATGTCCTTTGCAGCAGCATGGATGGAGCCAGAGGCCACAATCTTAAGTGAGTTATCACAGGTATAGAAAAACAAATACCACCTGTTCTCACTTATAATTGGGAAGTAAACATTGAGTACACATGCACACAGTAAGGGAACAATAGACACCAGGACCTCTTTGAGGGTGAAGTGTGGGAAGTGCGTGAGGAGTTATGCTGATTACCTGGGTAACAAAACTGCTTGTATACTAAACCACTGCAACACACAATTTACCTCTGTAACAAACCTGTATATGTATTCCTTGAAACTAAAATAAAAGTTCAAAAGAATAACACAAAATAACATAGCTATGAAGTGTATAGACATACACAGAAACATTTAAAAGTGTAAAGTAACACAGCCAATTAAATATGGAGAAAAATATAACCTTGCTTCATTATAATTATTATTTGTATACATTGAAAGAATTTTGTTGATAGATGCCTCAACCTTTTAAAAATCTTCCCAAAACTCTCAACAATTAATATTTTCTTTTGTTTTCTTTAGCATTCAAATTTATTTTTAATACAGAAAAATAATAAAATGGAAAATTTCTCATGATATTATCTTGAATACATAGCAGAGTATACATTTTTATGAGTACAATTAGCAATAAAAAACCCTAACCATTGAATAGATAATAAAATAAATTTTTTAGAATAGGTATAATTTTGTTTGTTCAAACATTTTTAATTTTTATGTATTCAAATATCTATTTTGCATTTTTCTAGCATATGCACAGTAATTGGTCCCCAACCAAATGTTGCCTTTGCATAAAATTGCAGCATATGTATATTTCTACTATACCCAAACAGGAAAAAGAATTTAAAGGAATAAATTTGGAAACCATACTGTAAATAAATTTTTAAAAACTCAACTTTTTGTTTTGTTGATCTCTTGTATTTTTTGTTTTAATTGCAATTATTTCTGCTCTAATCTTCATTATTTCCTTCTATTAATTTTGGGCTTGCTTTTTTCTTGCTTTTCTTCTTGTTTAAGATGCATGATTAGATAGTTTATTTCATGTTTTGCTGCTTTTTTGATGTAGGCACTTTTTGCTGCAAACTTTCCTTAGTACTGCTTTTGCTGTATCCCATAGATTTTGATATGTTGTGTTTCCATGTCCATTTGTTTCCAGAAATTTTTACATTTTCTTGTTAATTTTTTCAATGACCTAGTGATCATGAAGGAGCATATTGTTTAATTTTCATGTGTTTGTATATTTTCCAATGTTTCTCTTGTTATTAATTTCTGGTTTTATTTAATGGTGATCAGAGAAGGTACTTGATGTTACTTCAATGTTTCAGATTCCTTAAGACTTGTTTTGTGACTTTACATATGGTCTATCTTTTAGAATGATTCATGTGCAGAGAAAAAGAATGTGTATTCTGCAGCTGTTGGATGAAATATTCTCTAAGTCTCTATTAGATACACTTGGTCTATAGCGCAAATTAAGTTCAGTTTCCTTGGTTTTCTGTCATGATCATCTATCCAATGTCGAAAGTGGGGTGTTGAAGTCTCCAGCTATTATTGTATTGGGATCTCTCTCTCTCTAGATCTAATAATATTTGCTTTATATATCTGGGTACTCCAGTGTTAGGTGCATACATGTTTAAAATTGTTATATTATCTTGCTGAATTGACTTATTTATCATTCTATAGTGACCTTCTTTGTCTCTCTTATAGTTTTTGTCTTGAAATCTATTTTGTCTGATATAAGTTTAGCTACACCTACTCTTTTTTGATTTCCATTGGCATGAAATATTTTTGTCTATTCTTATATTTTTAGTCTATGTGTATCCTCATAGGTCTTATAGGTTAAGTGTTTTTCTTGTAGGCAACAGATCATTGGGTCTTTTTAAAAATCTATTCAGCCACTGTATGTCTTTTGATTGGAAAATTTAGTCCATTTACATTCAATGTTATTATTTATAAATAAGCATTTACCCCTGCTGTGTTGCAATTTGTTTTATGGTTGTTTTGTGGTCTTCTCTTCTTTCTTTTCTTATTGTCTTCATTTTAGTGAAGACAATTTTCTCTGGTGGTATGATCCAATTTCTTACTTTTCATTTTTTTTTTTGCACATCTCTTGTATTTTTTTGATTTGATGTTACCATGCAGCTTGCAACTACAATCTTATAGCTCATTATTTTAAAGTGAGGACAACTTAACATTGATTGCATAGACAAACAAGCAAGCAAAAGGAAAACAAATAAAAACTCTACACTTTTACTTCATCTCTTCACTTTTTAACATTTTGTTGTTTCTATTTACATCTTATTGTACTGCCATGTCTTTAAAAGTATAGTAGTTATATTTTTGATTTTTTCATCTTTTAGTCTTTCGACTTAAGAGTAGTTTACACACAACAGTTACAGTGTTATAATATTCTGTTTTCTGTGCCAGTGAGTTTTGTATCTTCAGATGATTTCTTATTCCTCACTATCATCATTTTCTTTCTGATTTTAGTACTCGTTTTAGCATTTCTTGTGGGACAGGTCTGACGTTGATGAAATCCCTCAAGTTTTATTTGTCTTAGAAAGTCTTTATTTCTTCTTTGTGTTTGAAGCATATTTTTGCTGGGCATGCTATTCTAAAATTAAAGTTTTTTTCAGCACTTTCATATTTCATGCATCTCTTTTCTGGCCTCTAAAGGTTCTACTGAAAAGTTTACTGCCAGACATACTGAAGCTACACTGCATGTTGTTTTTTTTCTTTAGTCTTGTGTATTTTTTTTTTTAGACGGAGTCTCACTCTGTTGCCCAGGGTGGAGTGCAGTGGTGCAGTGGCATGATCTCAGCTCACTGCAAGCTCTGCCTCTTGGGTTCATGCCATTCTCCTGCCTCAGCCTCGCGAGTAGCTGGGACTACAGGCGCCCGCCACCACACCAGGCTAATTTTTTTTTCTTGTATTTTTAGTAGAGACGGGGTTTCAACATGTTAGCCAGGATGGTCTCGATCTCTTGACCTTGTGATCCGCCCACCTCGGCCTCCCAAAATGCTGAGATTACAGGTGTGAGCCACCGCGCCTGGCCTGTCTTGTGTATTTTTAAGATTCTTTATTTATCTTTGACTTTTGACAGTTTGATTACTAAATGCCTTGAGGTAGTCTTCTTTGAGTAAAATCTGCTTGTCCTTCTGTAACCTTCTTGTACTGGAATATTGATATGTTTCCATAGGCGTGGGAAGTTTTCCATTATCATCCCTTTAAATAAACTTTCTACTCCTATCTCTTTATCTACCTCCTCTTTAAGGTCAATAACTCTTAGATTTGCCCATTTGAGGCTGTTTTTATAACTAACAGGTGTAATTCATTCTTATTATTTTTTGTCTCCTCTGTGTATTTTCAAATAGTCTATCTTGAAGCTCACTAATTTTTTTTTCTGTTTGATCAGTTTTGCTATTAAGAGATTCTGATGCATCTTCAAATATAACAATTGCATTATTTAACTCCACAACTTCTGCTTGATTCTTTTTGATTATTGTAATATCTTTGTTAATTTTATCCAGTAGAATTCTGAATTCATTTTCTGTGTTATCCTGAATTTATCTGAGTTTCCTCGACACCAATTTTTTGAATTATCTTTCTTAAATGTCACATATCTGTTTCTCCAGGATTGGTGTCTGGTGCCTTATTTAGTTCACTTGGTGAGGACATGTTTTCCTGGATGGCCTCGATGCTTTTGGATGCTCATCAGTGTCTGGCCATTGATCACAGCTCACTGGAACCTCAAACTCCTTGGCTCAAGTAATCCTCCTGTCTTGGCCTCCCAACATGCTGAGATTGCAGGTGGGAGCCACCATGCCAGGCCCAACTTGTGTTTTTAAGAATCATTGTGACTGCCTTATAGAGAATGGAGTCTAGAATGGCAGGAGTGGAAGCAGATTGACTATTTAGTAGAGTATTAAAATTGTTTAATTGATTCTAGCGTGGACTATGGAGATAATGGAGATGGTTAAAAGAGGTCAGATTAGGGAACATTTTGAATTACTATTACTATTTCTAGATTACTATTTCTAGAACCTTGGCTGTGCAGATAATTACGGAAATAGGATAAAAGTTAGAGGGGTATTCAAGGTCAGTGGAGGGTTGTTAATAATTGATAACAATTTGAATATATTTGTAGCCTGAAGAGAAAGAGCCAATAAAGAGAAAGATGTTGAAGATCAGAAAAGAGTAAATACACTTGATAGAGAAAATCATTAGAGGATGTCATAAGGACATGGGACACAGAGCACATGTGAATGAATTAGCTTTGATAAGAAGGAAGCATATTATATTTTATAAAATGGTGAAAAAATAAAAGGATAGGTAGAAAATATTGCTATGTTTGTAGATGGTAAACAAAGAAGATGAAGAAATTCATACCTAAATACCTTTATTTTCTTCATAGTGGTGCAAATGGGCACTAGAGGCAGAGACAGCTTCATGGGATAGTGACCTATACAGTCACATAGGGCCTCACACTTAGAAGGGGATCCTGCATTTGGGGTTTTATGCTCTGTGGCTGCCTTCTGGAAATTCCTTCTAAAAAAAGCTTGTTTTATTTTTAAATTAACATTTTATAATTATACATATTTATAAGGTATAACTTGATATTTAGATACATATTTGTATCATATAATTGAATTATTAATAATTTTACCTTTGCATTTCTAAGTAAAGTCCACTGGGAAAGTGGATCATGTGCTGGGATTTGGAGCATTGGCTCAGGTGTTCCTCAGCTTACCCAAGGTTTCAACTCCTACTGCCTCCCTGCTTCTTCAGGATTGATTTTTTGCTGCCATTGCCCTTCCCACACACAGTTTCTGCTGCCACCCTGCATCCCTGAAAGAGGCTTGGGCATGGACATGATGAAGATCAGAGACAGGTGTGCATGTCCCATTTACTGAGTCATGGGATAAGGCCTAATTGTGAGTTTCTGCCTTTGTCTCATGAGTATCTCTACACCTGAGGGAGTAGAGTTTTATATTGTTATTAGAAAAGCATTATATCAAAAAATATCTTTGCCTAGACCAATGGAAAGAAGCTTTTTCCTTATGCTTCCTTCTAATAGTTTTAAAGTTTCAGGTTTTATTTTAAGTCTTTAATCCATTTGAATTGATTTTTGCATATGGTGTAATATAAGGGTCCATTTTCATTCTTCTGCATGTAGATATCCAATTTTCACAATAACGTTTATTGAAGAGATTGTTCTCTCCCCATTGTGTGTTCTTGATGCCTTGGTGAAAGATCAGTTGACCTTAAATGTGTGAATTTATTTTTGGGCTCTCTATTCTCTTCCACTGGTCTATATGTCTCTTTTTGTTCCATGCTCTTTCAGTTACTATGCTTTCTAATAGATTTTGAGATCAAAAGCACAGTCAACAAAATTAAAAATAGATAAATGGGATTGCATTAAAATGGAAATCTTCTGCACAGCAGATAATCAACAGAGTGAAGAGAAAACCTATGGGATGGGAGAAAATACTGGCAAACCAAACATCTGATAAGGGTTTAATATCCAAAATATATAATGAACTCAAACTACTCAATAGCAAGAAAACAAACAGCCCAGTCAAAAATGGGTGAAGAAACTGAGTAGACTTTCCTCAAAAGAAGACATACAGATAATCAGAAGGTATATATGAAAAAATGCTCAACATCATTAATTATCAGGATAATGCCAATTAAATCAACAATGAGCTATTACCTCACTCCAATTAGAATGGCTATTATCAAAAGGAGACAAAACATAACTGTCAACGAAGTTAAACTCTGTAAAATATTTGAAGAGATTCAATCTAAGCCAAATATGAGTGACCATGGCCCATGACGCTGTCCTCAGGAGGTCCTGAGAACATGTGCCCAAGACAATTGGGGTGCAACTTGGTTTTATACATTTTAGGGAGACATGAGACATCAATCAAACACATTAAGAAATATTTTAGCTTAGTCCAGAAAGGCAAGACAATTCAAAGTGGAGGGCGGGCTTCCAGGCTATAGGTAAATTTAAACATTTTCCAATTGACAATTGGTTGAGTTTGTCTAAAGACCTGGGATTAATAGAGAGGAAATGTTCAGGTTAAGATAGATTGTGAAGACCATGGTTCTTTTGAAGTCTCATAGTGGCTGCCCTTAGAGACAATAGATGACAAAAGTTTCCTATTCAGACCTTTAAAAGGTGCTAGACTCTCAGTTAATCTCTTCAGGATTGGGAGGTCCTGGAAGAAAAAGATTTAGCTGTGTTAATAGAGATTCTTTACAGATGCAAATTTTCCCCCACAAAGGATGACTTTAAAGGGCCATTTCAAAATATGGCAAATAAACATATTATAGGATAAAATATTTTTATTTTTCTTCTTTGTCACGTAATGTTATGCCAGAGTCAGGCTGGAAAGTAAGTTACAATATATAGAGTTAAATAAAACCCATCTGATGAGCATTTATGATTTTTAGGGCATGACTCCCCAGACCCCTTAGATATTTCGGCAACATAAGAGAAAATCAGAGCTTAGTCCTCATAACAAATGTTGGCAAAAATGTGGAGAAATGGAAATGCCTGTACACTGCTTGTGGAGAGGTACATTGGTACAGTCATTATGGAAAACAGTATGGAGGGTCCTCAAATTAAAAATAGAACTTTTTCAAAATACTGCCTCTGGGTATATATCCAAATGAAATGAAATCAGCATCTTAAGCAGGTATCTGCACTCCCATGTTTGTTGCAGCATTACTTACAATAAGTGTCCATCAATGAATGAAGGGACAAAGGAAATGTGGTACATATACACAATGGAATAATATTCATCCATAAAAAAAGAAATTCTGTCATTTGAGACAACATAGATGAACCTGGAGGACATTATTATAAGTGAAATAAGCTGGTCACAAAGACAAACATTTCATGATCTCATGTATATGTTGAATTAAGAAATTCAAATTCACAGAAGCAGAAAGTAAATGGTGGTGGCTAGGAGCTGGGGGTGGAGGGATTGGAGAGATGTTGGTCAAAGGATGCAACATTTCAATTACACAAGGGGAATAAGTTCAGGAGACCTACTGTATAACATGATAACTGTAGTTAATAACAATGTATCACTTACTTGAAAATTACTAAGAGTATATTTTAAATGTTCTCAATACACACAAAAAAATAAGTATATGAAGTAATAAATGTGTTAGTTAGCTTAATTTAGCCACTCCACAATATATGTGCATATAGCA
The DNA here is from genome assembly GCF_000001405.40 of Homo sapiens. NCBI lineage: Eukaryota > Metazoa > Chordata > Mammalia > Primates > Hominidae > Homo > Homo sapiens. Next base: position 116,226,434 of record NC_000023.11, read on the forward strand.
TGTTTTCCAATATAAATATATACAATTCTATTTCTCAATTAAAAAATACAGAAGACAAAGAAAGAACATCACATTTAGACAGAGACTGCAGAAGGAAACACATGCTTTTTAATTTTATTTATTTATTTATTTATTTATTTATTTATTTTTTCTTTTCGAACAAGAGGCCCTGCGTTTTCATTTTATGCTGAGCCCTGTAAATTATGTAGTGGAGCTTGATTAAGCCCCCTGAGGAGGACAGTAAAGCTTTAGAATAATGCCTCAGGAAAATGGGTGATGGAGTATGTAATAGGACCTCTTAACACTGTTCATGAACTTGGATTGACATTAATTTATATTGTTATAGGTCATCTGTCTAGAAACATTTAGTATCGATTTATCTGTTACTGGTGATTTCAGAACAAGTGTAATAGAAATGCAATAATGAAATCAAGAAAGCAGTCTTTATGTGATTAACAGGCTTTTTAATGGAAGAGCCACTAAGGAATGATTCTTTGAAAGCATTAACCCTAACACAAAGAGAGTCCTCAAATTTCTGTAGTATTCATGCAGAAAATATTTAGCATTTAGCTTTTCAAGGCTATTTGGACACTTCGTTATCTCTGTATCAACTGTCCCCAATTACAGTGAAATGGAGGATGTAGATTTTTTTTTTGTCTTTTGTGATTGTTCAGACATTATTAGTGATTTTGCATTAGGCATAGTTTAAAATTTGAAAAAACAGCATTTCATAGTAAATTTCAGTCTCATTCTCAAAGACCCAAGGTAGAAGTTCAATCAGCTTTATATCAGAAAGTTCCCGGTTTCAGAAACTCAATGACTCATTTGAAACATTTATTTTTCTTTTAATCTCCACTAAGATCACAAACATTTTTTGCTTGACTGAAGCAGCAGCATTTTGAGAGGATTTCAGTATAAACATTAATTTAGGTCTTGCAAGCTAACATCAGCCTTTGCCTTTTGTTTCAGGCCATGCATTGTTTTCATTTCACCCATAATCCCTTTAGATTGGAGAAGGTAGGGGTATAAAGTGTAATTTCTCAGTAATGTTAGTCTGAGCTACATTATTAAGCAGTTGGCTGTTTGGCCAGCAATGTGTTCAGTGATCTGCTTGATTTTCTGTGCACATATGCCTTCTTTCTTTCTTTTCTATGGCATTAGTTTCTATGATTCAAGACTAAAAACACTACAGGGTGAGAGTAACCAAACAAGGATGGTACCCGTACAAAAACAGGCACATAGGCCACTGGAACAGAAAAGAGAGCCCAGGAATAAGGCTGCACAGCTATGACCATCTGATCTTCAACAAAGCTGGCAAAAGCAATGGGGAAAGGACTCCTTGTTCAGTAAATGGTGCAGGGATAACTGACTAGCCATATGTGGAAGATTGAAAGTGGACCCCTTCCTTGCATCATATAAAAAAATCAACTCAAGCTGGATTAAAGACTTAAATGTAAAACCCAAAACTGTGAAAACCCTGGAAGACAATGAAGGCAATACCATCCTGAACATAGGAACTGGTGAAGTTTTCATGACGAAGACACCAAAAGCAATTACAATAAAAGCACAAATGGACAAATGGGACCTAATTAAACTTAAGAGCTTCTGCACAGCAAAAGAAACTATCAACAGAGTAAACAGACAACCTATAGAATGCAGAAAATATTTGCAAACTATACATATGATGAAGGCCTAATATCCAGCATCTACAAGGAACTTAAACAAATTTACAAGAGAAAAACAAACAACCCCATTAAAAAGTGGGCAAAGGACATGAATAGATACTTTTCAGAAGAAGTCATACATGTAACCAATGAGCACATGAAGAAAACATCAATATCACAGATCATTAGATAACTGCAAATCAAAACCCCAATGAGATACCATCTCACCTTACACTAGTCAGAATGGCTATTATTAAAAAGTCAAAAATAGCAGATGCTGGCAAGGTTGTGGAGAAAAGGGAACACTTATGCACTGTTGGTAGGAGTATAAATTAGTTCAACCATTGTAATTAGCATGGTGACTCCTCAAAAAGCTAAAAAGCAGAACTACCATTCCCCCCAGGAATCTGTTTAGGAGATACATATGCAGAGGGATATAAATAATTCTTCCATAAAAACACATGCACATGAATATTCATTGCAGTACTATTCACAATAGCAAAGATATGGACTCAACCTAAATGCTCATCAATGATAGACTACCTAAAGAAAATGTGGTACATACACACCATGGAATACTATGCAGCCATAAAAACAATGAGACCATGACTTTGGCAGGAACATGGATGGAGTTGGAGGCAATTATCCTTAGAAAACTTACGCAGGAACAGAAAAACCAAATACTGCATCTTCTCACTTGTAAGTGGGAGCTAAATGATGAGAACTCAGGAACACAAAGAAGTGAACAACAGACCTTGGGGCCTACATGAGGGTGGAGGTTGGGAGGAGAGAGAGGATTAGAAAAAAATAACTACTGGGTACTAGGTTTAGTACCTGGGTGATGAAATAATTTGTACAACAAATCCCTGTGACATGAGTTTACCTATATTATAAACCTGCACATGTACCTTCAAAACTAAAAGTTTAAAAAGTTTAATAATATATTCCTAAACAATGTATTATCTACTTTTGTCTTTTAAAACATTTATAAAAATGAAGAAAAGACTAGAAACATTATCAAATGGGAAGTGTTTAGCACCTCTGAGAAGCAATTTGTTGATCTCACATAAGTTGTTTGAGAATAGGCCTGCATCTGAAAAATATGACATTTTCTAAGGAGAAAAATAGTTGGAAAGTCAGATAAGTGGAGTATTCACTTCTTTAAGCTACTCTTTGTATCAATATGTAATTCATAAATGAAGCAATGTAGTAAGTTTGTCCCAAATTTGGGGTCTTTGATCTCAGCCGTCTACCAACTGCAGGTTCATCTCTTTCTCCTGCTTTTGGACAAATAAGTGGAGCTGCAACATCAGACACAAGGAATTCAACATCAAGGCAAATTTGATTCTAGTTTTTTTCAAACTTTTTATCTCAGGTCAGGTAACTGAGTCTCTACCTTGTCATTGAAACTTTTCTGTACTGATAAGTTACAAAGTCATGAAGAGATGGGGATCCTGCCTTTTTCTTGCTAGTTCTGACCCCAAATGTCATTCCTATAACTAAGGCCTTATTACCAGCTACCAGACTTTCCTTGGTGCAGCCTGCCATTTTAGATCTCTGAACTGTGTTCCTAAATTGTCCATGGTTCTGCTTTGTACACTTGTTGAGAGACAATTTTATTTTTCGTTGCCGTCACTGTGTCAACAGCTTATGTATACCATGTGGCTGTTATATTGCCTTGAAACCCGTATCTGTTTTTGGCCTGGCAGGCTCTATTCCCATAACTTGACACTTAGTTCCCCCAGAATTTGCAGCACCCCAAATGTGTCCTACTTTTGTTAATCCTTTGGCTCCTAATTCTGTTGCAGGAAAAGACAAAATGTCACGCAGGAGCGTAATAAAAAAGTGCACATTCAGACCATTTGAACTTGTAAGACATAAGAAGGCCCTAGCTTTTTCACTGAGAAGATGGTCATAATGTGAAGATAGAGAAAAATCCATAGTATGATAAAGGTAGACAAAAGGAATTTTTCAAGTTTAGAGGTAGAAGAGTAAGATAGTTACACATATTTCGGTCAGTTGGAACTCAACAGAAAACAATCAGAAATACCTTAAATAAAAAAGGGAGAAGTTGTTTTAAAGAATTACCCCATGGAACTCGAGTATAAATGCAATTCGTCTTGTGGGAGAGACTTTATTGTCGTCTCTCACATTTGTTTCTATTGACACATCTGCTTCACTCTCTGAAGATAAGTTTTCTTAGCTTTTAAGGTGATGCAATACAGAATATGATCTTTTAAAAACAAACATATACTTGACTATGTAACTCCCTGCTTCAAAACCCTCCAATGGATTCTAACTGCACTTAGAATGAGATTTAAAGTCCTTAACATATCCTACAAAGCCCTACATTCTCAGATCTCTTCCTACCTCTCCATTCTCATTTTCTACAGTTTTTCCCTCTCTAACTTTGCAAGTTTGACCAACTATTTTAGGCATTTACATTTTCCTGTTTTGCTTACTCTTTCTGAAATTATGCAGTCTGTGCATGTATCTGTTTGTAGTCTAGTACCCTCTCTGTTGTAAACTGCACAATAGTTGACACTGCCTTTCCTTTGAACTCTTGTAGCTTCAGTACACAGGATTAGGTGTGGCACATACTATGGACTCAGTAAACATTTGCTAAATCAGTTTTGAAAGGGTAGGATGATTGAACGTTGAGAATTAGATATCAGCAGAGTGACCTGGCATTAAGAAGAGACAAAACAATTATTGACTCATACTGTTGAATACTTATTCTCTGTTCAGCACTGTTCAAAGAAATTTACTTGTTAACTGAATACTATTAGGTAGATGCTATTATGATCCTCATTTTAAATTTGTGGAAGATGTAGCATGAAAATGTTAAGTGGCTTGTTCAAAGTCAGACAGATAGTAAAACGGAAAGCCAGGATTCAGGTAGTCTGAGTTCACACACAGTGCACTTAATCACTATGCATACTGCCTACTTTGATTGCAGAGCAACAAAGTTAGCAAAACAAACTTGATTCCCAAGCAAAATCTCCTTTATACATTCTTCAGCCAGAGTTATATTTAAGGCCTGAAGGTGTGAGTCCTAACTTGAATATTGGAATAAGTAAGCATACCCAAGTGTAAATCAAAGTGGGCGAGAGGTGAGAGCCAAGTTGTTCTCAACACAGATAAATAGGACTCAAAAATGGAATTCATCAGCTTTAGGAATAGTGAGTGAGCTCACTGGAAAAAAATGTGAAGGTAGATTTCATTTCACTGTCTCTAACTGGTGGTCTTTCAGAATGAAGTAGACAGTGCTGAGACTTTAAGAAACACTTTAGTGGGCCACATTCAACCACTTCTTCATAATTTGTCTCAAATTAGGGCAATGATAAATTCCCATGCATTTATATTCATCTCATCTGTGGAATGTTATTTTTTTCGTGTAAAGCAAAATAGGTGTTCTAAAAGAACTACTGTAGTGTAAATGCTGACATTACTCTGCTATCCAAAAAATCTCAGACCAAAAATAGTAATGGTTCTTCCCTTAAAGGCAGGTGAAATGGATACAGAATCATCCATTAAGAGGAAATTAAAATGAAAATCTTGAGATTTACTATGAAACGTTGATTTTTTTTTCAGCATGTGTTATTTGCCACAAGATGGCAGCTAAACAATTTTCATTTCAGTATGGCAAAGTTAGGTAGGAGATTTTGTGTAGAAATCTTTTTTTCTTTTATGAAGCACAAATCAAAACTCAAAATTTGCTTCTAACAATATACAAATTTATAAAGATCATAGGACATAGGACTTTGCCATCAAGTATATAGACTGCCAATATTTTTCGGAGTTTATAGAACCTTAAAGTTATTGGGAAGATGGTATTGATTGTTAGCCAAAAAAACCCTCCTGGATAACAATCATGAAAGTAGGATTAAACAATTAAAACACAAATTATTTAAAGATGTGCCAGTGTCTTGGGGAGCATAGAAATGGGCAGTTTGGATGAGAGAACCAGGCTTCATTACAGCTGATTGATCATTCCAGCGATGTCACTCAATCTGGTTGTTGAATCAATGGTTCAGGAAACCGCATGAATAATTAAGAGAGACAAACCATAAGACAAAAGCTCTTCTAGAGGCCAGGCACGGTGGCTCACACCTGTAATCCCAGCACTTTGGGAGGCCAAGGCAGGTGGATCACTTGTGGTCAGGAGCTCAAGACCAGGCTGACCAATATGGTGAAACACTATCTTTACTAAAAATACAAAAATTAGCTGGGCATGGTGGCAGGTGCTTGTAATCCCAGCTACTCGGAAGGCTGAGGCAGGAGAATTGCTTGAACCCAGGAGGTGGAGATTGCAGTGAGCTGGGATCAGGCCACTGCACTCCAGCCTGGGGACAGAGAGAGATGGCATCTCAAAAAGTTTTATAAAAAGCAATTTTATAAATGTCTTTCAGGCATTGGTCCTTTAAGCTCACCTCTGCCTGGACCTATCTTTTAGTCTGTATTTTTGTATGTTCATTTAAAAAAATTAGATTAAAAGCTGTAAGACTTGTGTTTCACTTTTTTGATAAACCTGTAGTTCAGTTAGCACAGTGCTCAGCTACAGAATGGTCATAGTAGCATGGACAATATAGTATAGTAGTTAAGAGTATAGACACTGGAGCCATATTGCATTGAGTTATAGCTCATCTCTGTGTTGCCTTATGTAAGCCATGTAACCCTTGGAGTCTTAATTTCCTCAAATGTAAAATGGTTAACAGTTAAAATAAGCAAAACATTTAATGTGGTACCTGGTGCAAAGTAAGTTCTTTATTAGTAATTGATATCAATGATTCATGTATTGGAGGGGCCTCTAATATGAGGCGCCTGGGCTAACCCTTTGTAGAGTGAGTTAACCGGGTATTGGGAAATCAACCGCTCTCTACTAGTAAGTCCTCTCTCCACAATCTTGATGAATGATGTTTCCTGAAGAGGGAGAAAAACATTAGTCATAAGTACCTAAAAGTCCCACAGCCAGTTTTATAAGGAGGAATTTCTTCTCTCATACTTCCTGGAAGGAAGTTTTCTCAATACTGAGATTTTTTTCTTTTTTTCTTCTTGTTTTTTTTAAACTTTTATTTTAGGTTTGGGGGTATATGTGAAGGTTTGTTACATAGGTAAACTCATGTCACAGTGGTTTGTTGTGCAGATTATTCATCACCCAGGAATTTAGCCCAGTACCCAACAGTTATATTTCTTCTCATCTCCCTCCTCCCAGCCTCCACTCTCAAGTAGGCCCCAGTATCTGTTGTTCCCTTCTTTGTGTTCATGAGTTCTCATCGTTTAGTCCCCACTTATAAGTGAGAACATGCAGTATTTGGTTTTCTATTCCTGCATTAGTTTGCTAAGGATAACAGCCTCCAGCTCCATCCATGTTCCCACAAAAGACAAGATCTCATTCTTTTTTATGGCTGCACAGGACTCCATGGTGTCTATGTACCACATTTTCTTTATCCAGTCTGTAACTGATGGGAATTTAGGTTGATTCCATGTGTTTGCTATTGTGAATAGTGCTGCAATGAACATTTGTGTGCATGTGTCTTTATGGTAGAATGATTTATATTACTCTGGCTAGGTACTCAGTAAAGGGATTGCTGGGAGGAATGGGAGTTCTGCTCTTAGCTCTTTGAGGTATTGCCATACTGCTTTCCATAATGGTTGAACTAATTTATACTCACACCAACAGTGTATAAGTGTTCCCTTTTCTCCACAACCTTGCCAGCATCTGTTATTTTTGACTTTTTAGTAATAGCCATTCTGATTGTCATGAGATGGTATCTCATTGCGGTTTTGACTTGCAGTTCTATAATGGTCAGTGATACTGAGGGTTTTTTTATATGCTTGTTGGCCACATGAATGTCTTCTTTTGAAAAGTGTCTGTTTCATGTTTTTTGCCCACTTTTTAATGGGGCTGTTTGTTTTTCTCTTGGACATTTGTTTAAGTTCTTTGTAGATGCTGGGTATTAGACCTTTGTCATTTGGAGAGTTTGCAAATATTTTCTCTGATTCTGTAGGTTATCTGTTTACTCTGTTGAGAGTTTCTTTTGCTGTGCAAAAGCTCTTAAGTTTAATTAGATTTCATCTGTCGATGTTTGCTTTTGTTGCAATTGCTTTTGGTGTCTTTTTAATAAAATCTTTTCCAGTTCCTATGTTCAGGATGGTATTGCCTAGGCTGTCTGCCAGGGTTTTTATAGTTTTGGGTTTTACATTTAAGTCTTTAATCCATCTTAAGTTGATTTTTGTATATGGCCTAAGGAAGGGGTCCAGTCTCAATCATCTGCATATGACTAGCTAATTATCCCAGCACCATTTATTGCATAGTGATTTTTTTTTTTCCCGTTGCTTTTGTCAGCTTTGTTGAAGATCAGATGGTTGTAGGTGTGCATCCTTATTCCTGGACTCTCTTTTCTGTTCCATCGATCCTTGTGCCTGTTTTTGTATCAGGACCATACTGTTTTGGTTACTGTAGCCCTATAGTATAGTTTGAAGTTGGGTAACATGATGCTTCCAGCTTTATTCCTTTTGCTTAGGATTTCCTTGGCTTTTGAACTCTTTTTTGGTTCTGTATGGATTTCAAAATAGTTTTTTCTTATACTATGAAGAATGTTATTGGTAGTTTGACAGGAATAGCATTGAATTTGTAAATTGCTTTGGACAGTATGACCATTTTAATAATATTGACTCTTCCTATCCATGAGCATAGGATGATTTTCCATTTGTTTGTGGCTTCTTTGATTTCTTTGAGCAGCGTTTTGTAATTCTCATTGTAGAGATCTTTCGCCTCCCTGGTTAGCTGTATTCCTATTTTATACTTTTTGTGGCAATTCTGAGTGGGATTGCTTTTCTTATTTGGCTCTCAGCTTCGCTGTTTGGTGTATAGAAATGCTAGTTGTTTTTGTACATAGATTTTGTATTCTGAAACTTTGCTGAAGTCGTTTATTATCTGAAGGAACTTTGGGGCCAAAACTGTGGGGTTTTCTAGGTATAGAATCATGTTATCTAAAAATAGAGCTAGTTTGACTTCTTCTCTTCATATTTGAATGCCCTTTATTTCTCTCTCTTGCCTGATTGCTCTGGCTGGGACTTCCAATACTATGCTGAATAGATGTGGTGAAAGAGGGCATCCTTGTCTTGTGATGGTTTTCAAAGGGAGTGCTTCCAGCTTTTCTCCATTACATATTGGGATTTATTAAGTTGGTGTACTACCTCCTGTTGATATGGAGAGCCCTGTTCTCTAAAGGTGAAGTCTGTTATTCTGTGATGTAAGCAGCTCTCTTGAATGCAAGTCCAGTATTGTCTCCTGGACTGTGTCTTGTCCCAGCCATATGATAGGTTGTGTGGGAGAGGGAGGGGGAGTGGTGGTAATAAAAGTTATTAGTATTCATTGAAATTTACTGTGTGTTAAGCCCTGTGGTAGGTGCTTTCATATACAGTATCACATGTAATTATCACAATTACTAGTCAACTTTTATAGGTAAGGAATCTGAGAATGAAAAGGTGAGTAACTTTTTCAAGTATATATGACTATTGTTTTATGCATCATACAATCATGGTTATTGTGTGATGTTGGAACCAGGATTTCAGTTCAGATCTTCAGATGGGCATATGTAATTCTTTCTAAATACCTTATATATTACCATAAGAAAGATCAGGGCTTCCATCCTGTTCTAGTCAATGATGCCAGCAATTCTGACATTACTTAAAAACAATGTGACAGTTCAGGGAATGCCTCTGAGAGGCTAATCTTATCAGTTCAACTCTGTTATGAATTTTTATCTGCCCCGACCCTTGCTGCTACAAGTATATACACAGGAACAAGATTTTTGTAACTGTTTTCACGTGTCCACTCTTCTTAATCTCTTGCTTATGGAGGTGTTTTACTGGCCTTTATTGCCACACAACTATTACTCTTTCTAGGGCTCTTGACTAGCTCACTCTACGCTGGTGGCTGATTTTGCATATGGGTTTACTTTGAATTATCTCAATGCCTTTCCTCCATCCTTGTGCTCTTTTAGTTCTGCTTGCAAGAAAGCAGATAATTTTTCCTCAATGGACTGCACACTTGTCAACCCATGGAGAGTTTGAAGCTTCCTTCTCATTGCTCTCACTATATTTTTTCATGCTTCTATTTGAGTGTTTAGATATATGAGCAAATTTTAGCATTGCCAGACTTAGTAAATATTGTATGAGATGCACTTTTACTAAAATATTATTTGTTGTTCATCTGAAATTCAAATTTAATTGGGCATCTTGAATTTTTTCTAGCACTTCCTCTCTCACTTCCTGCCAATGTAATCTCATTCTCACGTACACATACGGAGGAAGAGGGCATCCTCAGTGCCTACCACAGTGCACACATACTATAGGTGCTCAAATGTTGAAAGGAAATAGTTTCTAGGGGATGTTAATTAGTTCAATTGATTCCATGCTATAGGTATTAGTGTTCATTACCTAAAGAACTGGTAGATGAGAAACAGATAATCTCCATCAATCACTGTAAATTATGCCTAAAAGAATGAAACAATTGTTAAGTAGAAAATTAATTTGGTAAATACCAGATAAATTATTCTTCTAGTGTAGGTATGGAGAACATAAATCTTGTTAAGTTGGTTAGTTTCTACTTTCATCTCTATAGTTTGCTCTCAAAGAAGTGGGTCTATCCAAGTTTCTATTCCTCCTTCTCAAATGAGGTAATCCACATGCAACAGATTTACCTCAGTTATCAACTCATGTTGGTGTTTGTTTTGATTGGAATTCTCCTGTTAATGTCACCAATCTGCACTCTGCACCACCCCCTCTTTCCACCCCTACTGTTATTATATCATGATGGATCTAGCCTAACTGAAATGTGATGAAAAATTTCTAAGAGGGTTTGTTTATTGTTTTTGTCTATGAATCATCAGCTATAGTAAAAAAATTGTGTTAATGAAAAAAATGTACATCTTTGTATGTATCTAAATGCTTCTAAAAATATCCCCTTTTTCTGAAATGTGGTGGCTAGTGTTGGAATTATTTCCAAAATAGGGCCGGCGCGGTGGCTCACGCCTGTAATCCCAGCACTTTGGGAGGCTGAAGAGGGTGGATCACGAGGTCAGGAGATCAAGACCATCCTGGCTAACAGGGTGAAACCCCGTCGCTACTAAAAATACAAAAAATTAGCCGGGTGTAGTGGTGGGTGCCTATAGTCCCAGCTACTCGGGAAGCTGAGGCAGGAGAATGGCGTGAACGTGGGAGGTGGAGCTTGCAGGGAGCAGAGATCGCGCCACTGCACTCCAGCCTGGGCAGCAGAGTGAGACTCCATCTCAAAAAAAAAAAAAAAAAAAAGAATTATTTCCAAAATAGGAAAGCATTTTTATAAATATAGATTTTTTTTTCTCTTACCTTCACTGTTACAGCTACCCTCAAGGGGAACTTAAGCTGATAATCATGATATCAATTTATACTTTAATTGGTGGAAAACATCTGTTGAGCTTCACTAGATTTTAAAAAAATAGCTAAATGTATGCAGCATTTACAGTCTTAATACTCTCAACAAAACACAAAATTTCAATTTTTAAACGTACTACTAATAAAAGTCCCCTACACAACTTGGAAGCAACAATTATAACATGCTGTACCTCTGATTTGTACAAGTCATTTATTACCAATAATTTTTACCTTGCTGAAGGTTGTAAATAGTTAACTTAAAATATAATTTTGTTTACACTGTTGCTTCTACCACTTGCAATCATTTAATTTTTTTTTTGAGAGAGATTGCAAAAGGAAGGTGTCATTCGTGTGAATATTTCACCTATTGGCTCCTCATCTGGCATGCAGGTAGGCTTTTTGGACCTTTTGTCCAGGTCTTGCACAGATGTCAAGAGTGTGCAAGGCATTAGGAAAGGAGAAATGGAGAGTGGGAGCAAAAGCAGGAGTCTAGATGGACTCTTGCCTATGTCATTGTGAAAATATTTCTTTCTTCTGGGTGATAGTTCCCCTCAGATTTTATTTTTATCTTTTGGGCCTTTCTTGGATCCATGCTTTCCAGGTAAATAAGCCAAAAAACCTCTAATTACTTATCAGTCACCTTGAAACTACATTCAGTCACAGTATAAGCACAGCAGAAAGAGTAAAAGATGGCAACTGAATGGAAGGTGCCAGAACCAAACTTGGGCATGGCATGCCTCTGCAAAGTTTGTGGTTTGTGTGCCTGGTAACTACTTCCTCCTCCAGCATGGCTCTCTGTGTGTGCATGTGTATGTGCATATGTTTGTGTATATGTGTGGAGAGGAGATGTCCAAACGGAGAATCAGTATTACTTGCTTCAGAATTACCTGCTTCCCTTCTTTGTAATTACAGAAATAGCTGGAAGTACAACTTGACAGATTCTAGAAGGAACAAAACTACCTTACTTTTTGCAGGGGCAGTGTTTTCACAAAGAACCATAAATGATCCTTGTAACAGTACTATTTGAACAGAGCAGGGGAATCTCTATTATGATAAGCCAAGGCTCAGAGGAATAAAAATATTTCTCAAAGCCATGTATCTCATAGAACATGCCTGCTCAGTATCTTTTTGCATCCAAGTCAGTAGTGGAACAAATGGCCATTCTTCTGCCACTGCTGTTTTGTTCCTCCTCCGATCCCTCTCTGTCTTTTCCTGAATTTACTGAGTGAACCTATAACTTACTTTGCTTATGTTGGCAGGAAGTCAGGCCTGAGGTAATAGCTGACAATAAAGTCTTTTTGTACTCACAGATATTTTGCTTATTGTATTAGTGAGGCACCTTTCTAGACTTGTCCTATGTGGAAGTGGAGTATCTTTTGAAATAAGGGATTTGTCCACCTTTCCCCTTCTCTATCTCATTGTAGCAAGGAATAGCAATAGAGACAGTTCACCTTCTCAAGGCCACCATGTATTGCTAACTTCTTGACCACTGACATTGAGATTTTCCTTACCTTGTCTAATCTTGCAGTGTGAGTCATATAAAAGCAGAAGCTGTGGCAGGTGCTCACAGATGAGCCGGCACTTGCATGCAGATGGTATATTTCCTTACATCTAGAATGGCAGGCTGCCTGGGACTCCTTGGCTGGTGCTCCATTAACCTTCATGCAACTTACATTACTCCCACCTGATCACCTCACAAAGTGGTCAAGAAAGCCCTGTTTTGTTTTGTTTTGTTTTGTTTGAGTTTGGTTTGGTTTGTTTCTTTTCCTTCTTCTGTTTAGAGCATCTCTGTATGTCTGAAATGCTGAAGCCACCTCTGTGCTCTTCAGTTTTCCTTGTAGACATGATTATTTAATATTTTATACAGATTCAATGCCCCTATTAAAATATTATCTTCAACTTCTATCTTATTCCATCCAGTCTATTGTAGCACATTACATATGTATACTTAGTTTAATTTTAATTTATGTTTAGATCTTGTTTTCTCAAGATGGATATAGCAATTTTACAGTGCACAGGAAAGAGTGTCCATCACCAGAAGGGGTCAAGGTGGGAGTGGGGAGACACTAAAGATGATGAGTTAGTAGAAAGCCTAATGGATGGAGTGCCTCTGCCTGGCTTTCATTTATATACATTTAGAGTCTATAAAATGCTGTCCTTCCGAGGAGATCGATTTGAACTCTATTTTTCCTGTTAACGTATTGCATAGAAAGCTTGATGTAAGTGTCTCCTTTTCTCTATTTGTACTAAGAAATTCATTCTGTCTTAAATATGTGTAGAAAGCTTGGTAAGATAGGCCCACTTCCAGTTCCATGTTAATATCCGGGCTAATAGGTTTTTATCCTAGGATTCTGGGACTGCCGCTCTTCACTTTGAAATAGAGCCATCCTGATGCAGCCAGAAAAAATAACACTGACAGGTGAGTATGTACTCAGGTGATCCTCGGCTAGACTATCAATCCCCCTAGAAATTAGTCAGACCCCTATTCCTCTGGACAAAGAGAGATCAAACTGGGATTACTCAGAATCTCTGAATAATATGACAACAAAATGACTCAATGAGAGCATTTTCGGTTTTGGAACAAACTTCTGGGAAGCTGAAAGTTGGTTTCGCTTTTGGGCACTAAAGCTGAGTGGAAAAGTGAAGGCTCACATCCTTGTATTTGTGAGCCTAGGAAGTCATTTACTGCAGTGTAATTTGTTGGCTGCAGTAAAATATTGATGGTGGCAGTATGCTACCTTTCTCTTTTAATTGGCAGAGAAAAGCATTATGGAACAATTAAATATTACCGAGCCAGTTTAGAACTTGCTGAGCAGGAATTGCCCAAAAGAGTGGAGAAGAAAGAAGACAATGTTTCACTGAATTCATTCTCTGCTATGTTACCGTAAGTCCTAGTGGGCAATATCAGTGTAGTGGTATGAAAATAGATTTTTCAGGTTGGGCGTATGCTACTTGGAGATACAGTGAGACCCCTCTAATTTAAGAAAAAGTCAGCATTCATTAAAGGCAATTGTAGACTCAAGCATTCTTTTATGGCAAACAAAAAAACGAAAAAAACTTGTCTCACTGCCAAAAGAGTTGTTAAATAAATACACCTGCCCTGCTGGAGAATGAAGCAAATCTAGATGGGTTGCCAGGCTTCTGAATAATCTATCACATGATAGAGCTGAGAGTGCCATGTCTACACTGACAGCCCAGTTAACTAAATCTTTTGTTTTGCATGTAACAAGTTCAGTTGGTAGTATCTTAGCCCAAAGGTTTGGTTTAAAAAATGAACTGCACTTCACTGAATCACGTTTAAGAAATGTAATAACTCTTCCACTTATTGTAATTACAACAATCCTTTTTTGGCGGGAGCTATTAAAAGACAGTTTTTAACTTTTGCTATAAGTTCAGGGGTACATGTGCAGGTCTGCTTGACTTTCAGTAGGAAAACACTCCTGTTGAAAGAAACACAGAATTTTGCCCACTTCAAATATGAATAAAAGTGGGACTGCAGTTGGATGGTGGTGAAGGGAGGTTTCACTGTTTGAAATACTTCATTCATGTTTAAATTTCTGCAGTGAGAAAACACTATATTCAAATTTTATCTAAATAAACAAATGTAGATATAGATGTAGAGAAAATGACACTGAGTCAATAAATATAGTGGTTAGCAGCATGGAATTTGAAATATGCCAGATCTTAGTTCATATTTCACCTCTACTATTTATTAATTATATGGCCTTGGCCAAGTTACCTAACCTCTTTCATAAAATGAAGATAATAATACCTATTGTGAAGGACTGCTGAGAGATTGTGGTAATGTATGTGAAGTGATTAGCATAGTGCCTAGCACAGAAAGATATCTGATTAATGTTGCCTATTATTTGTATTACTATTACTTGTAGAGTGCTTTATACTTTCTGAGTTCTTTCAAATGTTATTTTATTTAAAAGTCCTAATTATCCTGAAAAAAAGCCAAAACCAAAGGGAGAGTTTTCAAGAATGCTGGTACTTTTTCCTAATAGAATGGTTATTGATGTGGATATGCACTCCCATTCAGATGACTCTCCTTTCAGTTTTCTCCAGTGAGATCTTAATATTTATGTTCAATAATTATTAAGTTGCAACATATCATTCTGAAAATGGCAACCACTGAGACTGTCATTATCCAGAATACAGGGATGATACAAAAACTACCCTTGAAGTGTTTTAATAATTAGAATCAATAAGTTTTAGACATCTATGGAAAGAAAGCTCAAATTCAGCCTCACTAGTAGATACTTAAAGGCTATTGTGAGGAAGCAGGTATAAGGATCAATTTAAATGGCATCCACAGCAAGATATATTGACCTAGACCCAAAAAGTCTAGTAAAAACAATGTTCTGATAAGATTAAATAAAGTAAACTATAAGAAAGGCAGTGGCTATCTTTCTATTCTTGCCTTTTATAGATCTAGGTTTTATACATTTACCCTTTTTCACTTTTTGCCTTCAAGATGACTTCCTTCTACCGTAGCCTTTTTAGAGATTTCACTTGTTGCAAAGAAATTGGATTAGACTGGTGGTTCTGTAAGCATCACAGGGAGGGCTTATTAAAACACAGATTTCTGGGCCTTAGCCCTAGATTTTCTGATTCATTAGGGGACAACTAACAAGTTTCCAGGTGATGTAAGCGTTGCTTGTTCAGGGACTTACAGAACCCCTTAATTCAAATAAGGAAGGGCCACAGAAATTTTGTTTTCATAGCTGCTAAAAGGACAAAATCTAACATTTATTCACGGACATCATGAAAAGTGTGTTTCTACCTACCTCAGGCTAATCACAGAAGAGATTTAACCCTTTTGCCTCCTTTTTCTGGAATCCACTTGACTAGATTGAGAAACACATAAATAATCCCCTCCATGTATCTTACAGAATTGTCAGCAAAATGATTTCTGCTTTCCTGTCTTCCAAAATGCTCCCATAAACAGCCCAATGAAGAGTCCTAGAGAAGTGAGCTAGTAGAGCTTAAAATATCATGAGAGGACATATTTAAAGATATTTAGGATATATATTCCTGACTTTCAAAAACCTGTGTTCAAAGATATGAACCCATAGGCTCTCAAGGCATAAATCAACAAAATAAGTTAATAACATAGTGATTTGATAACTATGAGTTGATAAGCAGGAGGGTGCACACCCTAATGATTTTAAACCTGTGAGCTATAACTTCTGGGCACTGCAAGATTATCTGTTGGTAGATGTTATCATCACCAAAAAAATTAATTCATTTAAAATGTACTAAATATATTTAAACATTTTGTCATGTACTATTTTCATCTAATACAGTGGTCCCCAATCTTTTTGGCACAAGAAATCGGTTTCATGGAAGAAAATTTTTCCATAGACTGGGGAGATGGTTTTGGGATGATTCAAGCATATTTCATTTATTGTGCACTTCATTTCTATTATTATTACATTGTAATATATAATGAAATAATCATAAAATTCACCATAGTGTAGAATCAGTGGGAGCCTTAAGCTTGTGTTCCTGCAACTAGACAGTCCCATCTGGGGGTGATGGAAGACAGTGACAGATCATTAGGCATTAGATTCTCATAGGGAGTGTGCAGCCTAGTTCCCTCACTTGCACAGTTCACAATGGGGTTTGTGCTCCTATGAGAATTGAAAGCTGCTGCTGATCTGACAGGAGGCTGAGGTCAGGTGGTAATGCAAGCAATGGGGAGCAGCTGTAAATACAGATGAAACTTCAGTCACTCAACTACCATTCACTTCCTGCTGTGTGGCCTGGTTCCTCACAGGCCATGAACTGGTACCTATCCATGTCCCAGTGGTTGGAGATCCCTGATCTAATGGATACTGAAAACACAAGTACTATTGAGAGGTGAAGCCAGCTGGGCTTCTGGGTCAGATGGGGACTTGGAGAACTTCAGTCTCTAGCTAAAGGATTGCAAATGCACCAATCAGCGCTCTGTGTCTGGCTAAAGGATTGTAAATGCACCAATCAGCACTCTGTAAAAATGCACCAATCAGCACTCTGTGTCTAGCTAACGGATTGTAAATGCACCAATCAGCACTCTGTAAAAACACACCAATCAGTGCTCTGTAAAATGGACGAATCAGCAGGATATGGGCAGGGCCAAATAAGGGAATAAAAGCTGGCCACCTGAGCCAGCAGCGGCAACCCGCTTGGGTCCCCTTCCATACTGTGGAAGCTTTGTTCTTTCGCTCTTCACAATAAATCTTGCTGTTGCTCACTCTTTGGGTCCACACTACTTTTATGAGCTGTAACACTCACTGCGAGGGTCTGAGACTTCATTCCTGAAGTCAGTGAGACCACGAACCCACCGAGAGGAACAAACAACTCCGGACGCGCCACCTTTAAGAGCTGTAACACTCACTGTGAAGGTCTGCGGTTCCACTCCTGAAGTCAGTGAGACCATGAACCCACCAGAAGGAATAAATTCCGGACACATTTTGGTGAGCAGATGGGACAATCACCAAGTGGTGAGTACCATCAGACCCCTTTCACTTGCTATTCTTTCCTATTTTTCCTTAGAATTCAGGGGCTAAATACCAGGCATCTGTCGGCCAGTTAAAAGTGACTAGCACGGCCACCAGACTAAAGACACGGGTGTCAGGCTTTCTGGGAAAGGGCTCTCGAACAACCTCCAACTCTTCGGAGTTGGGAGCGTTGGTTTGCCTGGAAACAGCTTCCACTTTTCCCATACTTCTGGGCTGAGCCTAGGGTTGACAGAGAGGACAGCCATTCAGCTCTGGGGTCACGACAACAAGTTGGTTGACCCTGCAGCCATAAGCAGAACTCTCAAAGTTACTTCACCCAAGCGAGACTTGCCCATCTATCCTATCTATCCTGACTTTTGCCTCCTGGGTCCTAATGCCTGTCAGACAAACTTCCTCTCGCCTCTCTTCTCCAAGGCTACTCCCACTTCTAAAAACCACTCCCTGTCTCTGGTGCTTTTCTAGTTTCTCCTATAAGAATGATTTCTAGTATAAACTCCAGGACTGTATTCCCTTCTTTAGGCACCTGGGCTCACCAATCAGAAAGATATAATTTTTTCCCAAAGCCCCATTGTAGAGGGGGACTATCTGGAATTTTAGGATCCCTCCTCAGACAAGCAGGCCTAACAAAAGCTATTCCTGAAGCTAGGATATGGGGATCTTCAGAAATTGTATCCTTCCTATTCATATAAGTGAGGACAAAAGGCATCACTCTTGCAACTCTGGAGATCCCTTCCCTCCCTCAGGATATGGCCCTCCACTTCATTTTTGGGGCATAACATCTTTATAGGACACTGGTAAAGTCCCAATACTAACAGGAGAATGCTTAGGACTCTAACAGGTTTTCGAGAATGCGTCAGTAAGGGCCACTAAATCCGATTTTTCTCGGTCCTCTTTGTGGTCTAGGAGGACAGGCAAGGGTGCAGGTTTTCAAGAATGTGTCGATAAGGGCCACTAAATCCAACATTCCTCAGTCCTCCTTGTGGTCTAGGAGGAAAACTAGTGTTTCTGCTGCTGTGTTGGTGAGTGCAACTATTCCGATCAGTAGGGTCCAGGGACCGTTGCAGGTTCTTGGGCAAGAGGTGTTTCTGCTGTTGCATTGGTGAGAGCAACTATTCTGATCAGCAGGGTCCAGGGACTGTTGCAGGTTCTTGGGCAGGGGGAGAAACAAACAAACCAAAACCATGGGTGGTTTTGTCTTTCAGATGGGAAACACTCAGGCACCAACAGGCTCACCCTTGAAATGCATCCTAAGCCATTGGGACCAATTTGACCTGCAAACCCTGAAAAAGAGGCAGCTTATTTTTTTTCTGCACTATGGCCTGGCCCCAGTATTCTCTCTCTGATGGGGAAAAATGGCCAACAGAGGGAAGTATAAATTACAATACTATCCTGCAGCTTGACCTTTTCTGTAAGAGGGAAGGCAAATGGAGTGAAATACCTTATGTTCAAGCTTTCTTTTCATTGAAGGAGAATACACAACTATGCAAAGCTTGCAATTTACATCCCACAGGAGGACCTTTCAGCTTACCCTCATATCCTAGCCTCCCTATAGCTCACCTTCCTATTAATGTTAAGCCTCCTCTAATCTCCCCTGCCCAGAAGGAAACAATAAAAGAAATCTCCAAAGGACCACAAAACCCCCTGGGCTATCGGTTATGTCCCCTTCAAGCTGTAGGGGGAGGGGAATTTGGCCCAACCCGGGTACATGTCCCTTTCTCCCTCTCTGATTTAAAGCAGATCAATGCAGACCTGGGAAAGCTTTCAGATGATCCTGATAGGTATATAGATGTCCTATAGGGTGTAGGGCAAACCTTCTATCTCACTTGGAGAGATGTCATGCTATTGTTAGATCAAACCCTGGCCTTTAATGAAAAGAATGTGGCTTCAGCTGCAGCCTGAGAGTTTGGAGATACCTGGTATCTTAGCCAAGTAAATGATAGAATGACAGCTGAAGAAAGGGACAAATTTCCTACTGGTCAGCAAGCTGTCCCCAGTATGGATCCCCACTGGGACCTTGACTCAGATCATGGGGACTAGAGTCACAAACATCTGTTGACCTGTGTTCTAGAAGGACTAAGGAGAATTAGGAAAAAGCCCATGAATTATTCAATGATGTCCACCATAACTCAGAGAAAGGAAGAAAATCCTTCCACCTTCCTCGAGTGGCTATGGGAGGCCTTAAGAAAATATACTCCCCTGTCACCCAACTCACTTGAGGGTCAATTGATCCTAAAAGATAAGTTTATTACCCAATCAGCCACAGATATCAGGAGAAAGCTCCAAAAGTGAGCCCTGGGCCCTGAACAAAAGGCATTATTAAACCTGGCAACCTCGGTGTTCTGTAATAGGGATCAAGAGGAAGAGGCCCAAAAGGAAAAGCAAGATCAGAGAAAGGCTGCAGCATTAGTCATGGCCCTCAGACAAACCAACCTTGGTGATTCAGAGAGGACAGAAAATGGAGCAGGCCAATCACTTGGTAGGGCTTGTTATCAGCGTGGTTTACAAGGGCACTTTAAAAAAGATTGTCTAATGAGAAACAAGCTGCCCCCTCATCCATCTCCACTATGCCAAGGCAATCACTAGAAGGCACACTGCCCCAGAGGGCAAAGGTTCTCAGGGCCAGAAGCCCCCAACCAGATGATCCAACAACAGGACTGAGGGTGCCCGGGGCAAGTGCCAGCTCATGTCATCACCCTCACTGAACCCCAGGTATGTATAGCCGTTGAGGGCCAGGAAATTGACTTCCTCCTGGACAATGGTGCGGCTTTCTCAGTGTTAATCTCCTGTCCCAGACAGCTGTCCTCAAGGTCCGTTACCATCCGGGGAATCCTGGGACAGCCTGTAACCAGGTATTTCTCCCACCTCCTCAGTTGTAATTGGGAGACTTTTCTACAGATAGTAAGTATGCTTATCTAATCCTACATGCCCATGCTGCAATATGGAAAGAAAGGGAGTTCCTAACCTCTGGGGGAACCCCCATTAAATACCACAAGGAAATTATGGAGTTATTGCATGCAGTGCAAGAACCCAAGGAGGTGGCAGTCTTAAACTGCCAAAGCCATCAGAAAGGTGAAGGAGAAAAGGCAGAAGGAAACAGTTGGGCAGATGCTGAGGCCAAAATTGCTGCCAGGTGGAACCTCCCATTAGAAATACCTATGGAAGGACCCTTGGTATGGAACAACCCCTCCAAGAGATTAAGCCCCAGTATTCTCTACTGAAACAGAATGAGGACTTTTCCCGGGGCATAATTTTCTCCCCTCAGAGTGGTTAACGACAGAAAAAGGAAAGGTAATTATACCCGAAGCCAGCCAGTGGAAAATACTTAAAACCCTCCACCAAACTTTTCATATGGGTATTGAAAACACTCATTGAATGGCCAAGTCCCTATTTACAGGGCCAAATCTCCTCTGGACCATCCAACAGGTAGTCAAAGCCCATGAGGTGTGCTAGAGGAATAATCCCTTGGTTCATCGTAAGGTCCCTTTGGGGGAACAAAGAATAGGTCACTATCCCAGAGAGGAATGGCAGTTAGACTTCACCCATATGCCTACGTCAAAGGGATTTCAATACTTGTTGGTCTGTGTTGATATCTTTACAAATTGGATAGAAGCTTTCCCCTGCAAGACAGAGAAGGCTCAGGAAGTGATTAAAGTCCTAATTCATGAAATAATTCCTAGATTTAGGCTTCCCCAAAGCTTACAGAGCTACAATGGTCCGGCTTTTAAAGCCACGATAACTCGGAATTTCCAGGGCGCTAGGGATACAATATCACCTTCACTGTGCTTGGAGGCCACGATCCTTGGGAAGGTCTAGAAGGCAAATGAAACACTCAAGAGTCACTTAAGGAAATAACACAAGAAACTCATCTCCCATGGCCTACTCTTTTGCCCATGGCCTTGTTGAGAATCTGAAATTCTCCTCACAAAATGGGGCTCAGTCCATATGAAATGCTGTATGGATGAACTTTTCTCACAAATGACCTCCTACTTGATCAGTAAATGGCCAACTTGGTCAAAGATATAACTTCTTTGGCAAAATATCAATGAAACCGTAAAAAACCTACCTGAAGGATGTCACAGAGAAAGAGAACAGAATTGTTTCAACCAGGAGATCTAGTGTTGGTCAAATCTCTCCCCTCTACCTCCCTATCTATGGATTCTTTGTGAGAAGGACCATACTCGGTAATCCTCTCTACCCCCACTGCAGATAAGGTGGCAGGAGTGGAATCTTGGATTCACCACACCCGAGTTAAATTTTGGACACCCCCTGAGGAACCTGTGGGACAGTCAGCTCAGGAGTCCCAAGATCAGCCAGACCAGCCTTGATACACCTGCGAACCATTGGAGGACTTGCATCTCCTATTTTGGAAGGAAACATCCCAGACTAAAAAGGCTCCTACCACTGATCCTGAGGAACAACCCCTTCCTCCTTAAAAAAGATAAGTGAAAACCTACATAATCTTTAACACCTCTCCTTGCCCCTTTAATGGAATCCTTTTACTATTTCATCATATTATTAAGCAGCTTACTAACCGTACTCTTTGTGATAGGACTATATACTGTAGCTTCTGCCAGGATGAAAATACTAATCACATCAACCTTCTTTCTATCTCCCTTCCTTCTGACAGCAATTTACTCCTACCTTTAACTCAGACTGGATAAAATTCCAGAGCACCCTCTTTACCTTCCTATTTCCTCTTTGCCTATCTATCCCTCCTGCTTCCTTGGATACCTCATACAATCACCCCTCTCCTTCCACTAGCTCCTAATTATTTCTACAAGACTGTGAACTTAACCCACTCTCTGTTAAACTAGTCCAATCCTTCCCTGGCAAATGACTGTTGGCTTTGTATCTCTCTATCAACCTCTGCTTACATTGCCACTCCCATTCCCACAAAAAATTGGGTCTTTACCAACTTAACCTACCACCCTCATTATGAAGGAAAAGACCCTTTCTGACTTCTAAATATGCAATCATTAGCTGACTTCCCCATCTCTGATAGGACCAAGAATACCCTAACAGGATGTGAAATCCAACTTTTACATTCTTACATTTCCAACCTTACCTATTACACAAGCAATGAAAAGCCCATACATGGCCCTGTAACTATGAATGCCATCTTAACTTTCTAAGTCCCTTTATGCATCCAATGCAACCTGTTATCAGACCTGTCCCTGGGGCACCTACTACCCCATCAGTGTAATTACACCCTACATCTTCAAGCCCCAACTGATCATAGTAACTTTCGAGTCACCCAAACAGCTCCATTCAGACGGCTTGTCTGCTTCTCAAGGCCTCCAAAAATCATTGCCTCCTCCCTACTTAACAAACAGTCCAGGTTTTGTTATGGCAAACATACTCCCTGCATGACCATTTACCCCTGTACCCCCTGCATCAGCACCCACACCACTAGTAAATGCCTTCTCATCCCCTCTTTCAATCACTCTCTCGAACGGTTCCTAGTAGATACAAAACGGTTTTTTTCTCCATGGGAAAACAGAACACAGGGAGCCACTCAATTTGCTCCCAACACCCCTTTCCAGCCACTCATTGGAATTACCTTGGCAAGTACTCTAGGAGTATGGGAAAGCAAAAACAACAAACTCAACACACCTTTTTAACGTATACAACCAGTTCTGTCTACCCAGCCAAGGTATATTCTTCTTATGTGGAATGTCAACCTATATCTGCCTCCCCACTAACTGGACAGGCACCTGCACCTTAGTCTTTCTAAGTCCCAACATTAACATTGCCCTAGGAAATCAGACCCTATCAGTACCCCTCAAAGCTCAAGTCCATCAGTGCACAGCCATATAACTAATACCCCTACTTATAGGGTGAGGAATGGCTACTGCTACTGGAACCAGAATAGCCAGTTTATCTACTTCATTATCCTACTATCACATACTCTCAAAGGATTTCTCAGACAGTTTGCAAGAAATAACAAAATCTATCCTTACTCTACAATTCCAACTAGACTCTTTGGCAGCAGTGACTCTCCGAAACTGCTGAGGCCTAGACCTCCTCACTGCTGAGAAAGGAGGACTCTGCACCTTCTTAGGGGAAGAGTGTTGTTTTTACACTAACCAGTCAGGGATAGTATGAGATGCTGCCTGGCATTTACAGGAAAAGGCTTCCGAAATCAGACAATGCTTTTCAAACTCTTATACCAACTACTGGAGTTGGGTGACATGGCTTCTCCCCTTTCTAGGTCCTGTGACAGCCATCTTGCTATTACTCACCTTCGGGCCCTGTATTTTTAACCTCCTTTAGGATTGAGGCCATCAAGCTACAGATGGTCTTACAAATGGAACCCCAAATGACCTCAACTAACAACTTCTACCAAGGACCCCTGGACTGACCCACTGGCCCTTTCACTGGCCTAAAGAGTTCCCCTCTGGAGGACACTACAACTGCAGGCCCCTTCTTCACCCCTATCCAGGAGGAAGTAGCTAGAGTGGTCATCATCCAATTCCCAACAGCAATTGGGGTGTCCTGTTTAGAGGGGGGATTGACAGGTGAAGCCAACCGGGCTTCTGAGTCAGGTGGAGACTTGGAGAACTTTTGTGTCTAGCTAAAGGATTGTAAATGCACCAATCAGCACTCTGTATCTAGCTAAAGGATTGTAAATGCACCAATCAGCACTCTGTAAAAATGCACCAATCAGCACTCTGTGTCTGGCTAAAAGATTGTAAATGCACCAATCAGCACTCGGTAAAAATGCACCAATCAGCGATCTGTGTCTGGCTAAAGGATTGTAAAAGCACCAATCAGCACTCTGTAAAAATGCACCAATCAGTGCTCTGTGTCTAGCTAAAGGATTGTAAATGCACCAATCAGCACTCTGTAAAAACACACCAATCAGTGCTCTGTAAAATGGACCAATCAGCAGGACGTGGGTGGGGCCAAATAAGGGAATAAAAGCTGGCCAACCAAGCCAGCAGCGGCAACCTGCTTGGGTCCCCTTCCACAGCGTGGAAGCTTTGTTCTTTCGCTCTTCACAGTAAATCTTGCTGCTGCTCACTCTTTGGGTTCACACTACCTTTAAGAGCTGTAACACTCACCACGAGGGTCTGTGGCTTCATTCCTGAAGTCAGTGAGACCATGAACCCACTGGGAGGAACAAACAACTCTGGATGCGCCACCTTTAAGAGTTGTAACACTCACTGCGAAGGTCTGTGGCTTCATTCCTGAAGTCAGTGAGACCACAAACCCACCAGAAGGAACAAAAAACTCCAGACTTGCCACCTTTAAGAGCTGTAACACTCACTGCAAAGGTCTGGGGCTTCACTCCTGAAGTCAGCAAGACCACGAACCCCCCAGAAGGAAGAAACTCTGGACACATCTGAACATCTGAAGGAACAAACTCTGGACACACCATCTTTAAGAGCTGTAACACTCACCACGAGGGTCTGCGACTTCATTCTTGAAGTCAGCGGGACCAAGAACCCACTGGAAGGAATAAATTCTGGACACACTATGATGTGAAAAAGAGATCCTAATATTTTAAAAGTTTAAGGGATCACCAATCTATTCCCAATTCCTCAGTTCACAGATGAGAAAAAATAATTACAACTGAATGAGGTTATTGAAGACTTGAGAGGAGAGATGAGTTTCCTAAGGTCTCCTGATTTTGAACATATATATGCATACATATTGATCTATGTTTTAAGCACCTGGTACATGCTTAGCACTGAGATAACCCCCTAGTGTGGAGGTGGGAGGAAATGCAAGTAGTAGGAGAAAAGGTATCTGCTTGTAAGGAGTTCACATATCTAGTTGGGAAGACAGGGCTCTTTTATTATACTCTTCCTTGTATGATGCAGGCTAAAAGTGTCTTAAGAGTTCAGATATGGGGAGGGATGATGAGAGCTGGTATAGTTAGGCAAGACTTTGAAGAAAAGCTGTTGAATCGTGGGTATATTGGAAAAAAGAAGATGCTGAAGTAGTAGCAGCAGCAATAACAGCAAATATAGATGAGGAGATCAAAGACATAAAAGTTTATATCCTCATCATCTGCTAAAGATAATAACTTTAAACATGTTAGCATGCTTATTCTTAGTAGTTTTGTATGATATTGATGTGTGTATTATACCCAGTTTATAATTTCTAAATAATTTTGAATCATCTTAGCCATTGAAATGAAACTACTTTCCTATATCAATAAAAGGAATATATTGATGGTTTTACTTCTGATGTCTTAACTATGGCCAATTGGATCAAATAGACCCTTTATTTATTTTAAAGACCCTTATGAGCTCTTCCACACACATCTTGCTCATTTTTCATCTGAGAAAAATACACACTCCAAGTTCTTTTATTCAATGATAATATCAGTGAGTCCCTGGAATATGTCAAGTACAATTGTGAACACCTTATATAAATCAACTCTGGAATCTTCACAATCATGTTAACATGTTGGATTCTGAGTTCCATTAAGACAGGAGCCACATCTATTTTGTTGACTGTTGAATATCTCCTAGCAGAATGACTAGCACATAATAAGTGGTTGATAAATATTTGTTGAATGAATGATAATTTTCTTTTTTCTAAAAGGAAATTGAGGCTCAGAGAGATTAACTTGCCTGATATTATTTAGTTACAAAATGGAGAAACTTTGGTTTCAAATATTATCTGCACTGGGCAGCATGGTGTCGTGCTTAAAAGCATAGACTTGGAGGGTGGATCCAAGATGGCCTAATAGGAACAGCTCCAGTCTACAGCTCCCAGCGTGAGCGATGCAGAAGACGGGTGATTTCTGCATTTCCAACTGAGGTACCATGTTCATCTCACTGGGGATTGTCAGACAGTGGGTGCAGGACACTGAATGCAGCACACCGAGTGTGAGCTGAAGCAGGGCAAGGCATCACCTCACCTGGGAAGCACAAGGGGTCAGGGAATT
The DNA here is from genome assembly GCF_000001405.40 of Homo sapiens. NCBI lineage: Eukaryota > Metazoa > Chordata > Mammalia > Primates > Hominidae > Homo > Homo sapiens. Next base: position 116,252,932 of record NC_000023.11, read on the forward strand.
CCCTTTCCTAGCCAAGGAAAGGGGTGACAGATGGCAACTGGAAAATCGGGTCACTCCCACACTAATACACTGCTTTTCCAATGGTCTCAGCAAACGGCACACCAGGAGATTATATTCCACGCCTGACTCAGAGGGTCCTACTCCCACAGAGCCTCACTCATTGCTACCACAGCAGTCTGAGATCAAACTGCAAGGTGGCAGTGAGGCTGGGGGAGAGGCACCCACCATTGCTGAGGCTTGAGTAGGTAAACAAAGTGGCCAGGAAGCTCCAACTGGGTGGAGCCCACGGCAGCTCAAGGAGGCCTGCCTGACTCTATAGACTGCACTTCTGGTGGCAGGGCATAGCCAAACAAAAGGCAGCAGAAACCTCTGCAGACATAAATGTCCCTGTCTGACAGCTTTGAAGAGAGTAGTGGTTCTCCCAGCATGCAGCTGGAGATCTGAGAATGGACAGATTGCCTCCTCAAGTGGGTCCCTGACCCCCGAGTAGACTAACTGGGAGGCATCCCCCAGTAGGGACAAACTGACACCTCACATGGCCGGGTACTCCTCTGAGACAAAACTTCCAGAGGAATGAGCAGGCAGCAACATTTGCTGTTCACCAATATCCACTGTTCTGAAGCCTCTGATGCGGATACCCAGGCAAACAGGGTCTGGAGTGGACCTCCAGCAAACTCCAACAGACCTGCAGCTGAGGGTCCTAACTGTTAGAAGGAAAACTAACAAACAGAAAGGACATCCAACCAAAACCCCAGCTGTACATCACCATCATCAAAGACCAAAGATAGATAAAACCACAAAGATGGGGATAAAACAGAGCAGAAAAACTGAAAATTCTAAAAATTGGAGCACCTCTCCTCCTCCAAAGGAATGCATCTCCTCACCAGCATTGGAAGAAAGCTGGATGGAGAATGACTTTGACGAGTTGAGAGAAGATGGCTTCAGATGATCAAACTACTCCGAGCTAAAGGAGCAAGTTCGAACCCATGGCAAAGAAGTTAAAAACATTGAAAAAAGATTAGACGAATGGCTAACTAGAATAACCAATGCAGAGAAGTCCTTAAAGGACCTGATGAAGCTGAAAACCACAGCACAAGATCTATGTGACGAATGCACAAGCCTCAGTAGCCGATTTGATCAACTGGAAGAAAGGGTATCAGTGATGGAAGATCAAATGGATGAAATGAAGTGAGAACAGAAATTTAGAGAAAAAAGAATTAAAAGAAACGAACAAAGTCTCCAAGAAATATGGGACTATGTGAAACGACCAAATCTACGTCTAGAACTCAGGATTAAGAAACTCACTCAAAACCGCTCAACTACATGGAAACTGAACAACCTGCTCCTGAATGACTACTGGGTACATAACAAAATGAAGGCAGAAATAAAGATGTTCTTTGAAACGAACGAGAACAAAGACACAACATACCAGGATCTCTGGGACACATTCAAAGCAGTGTGTAGAGGGAAATTTATAGCAATAAATGCCCACAAGAGAAAGCAGGAAAGATCTAAAATTGATACCCTAACATCGCAATTAAAATAACTAAAGAGGCAAGAAATAACTAAGATCAGAGCAGAACTGAAGGAGATAGAGACACAAAAAAACCATTCAAAAAATCAATGAATTCAGGAGCTGGTTTTTTGAAAAGATCAACAAAACTGATAGACCACTAGCAAGACTAATAAAGAAGAAAAGAGAGAAGAATCAAATAGACGCAATAAAAAATGATAAAGGGGATATCACCACTGATCCCACAGAAACACAAACTACCATCAGAGAATACTACAAACACCTCTATGCAAATAAACTAGAAAATCTAGAAGAAATGGATAAATTCCTCAACACATACACTCTCCCAAGACTAAACCAGGAAGAAGTTGAATCTCTGAATAGACCAATAACAGGATCTGAAATTGAGTCAATAATTAACAGCTTACCAACCAAAAAAAGTCCAGGACCAGATGGATTCACAGCCAAATTCTACCAGAGGTACAAGGAGGAGCTGGTGCCATTCCTTCTGAAACTATTCCAATCAATAGAAAAAGAGGGAATCCTCCCTAACTCATTTTATGAGGCCAGCATCATCCTGATACCAAAGACTGGCAGAGACACAACAAAAAAAGAGAATTTTAGACCAATATCCTTGATGAACATTGATGCAAAAATCCTCAATAAAATACTGGCAAACCGAATCCAGCAACACATCAAAAAGCTTATCTACCATGATCAAGTGGGCTTCATCCCTGGGATGCAAGGCTAGTTCAACATAGGCAAATCAATAAACGTAATCCAGCATATAAACAGAACCAATGACAAAAACCACATGATTATCTCAATAGATGCAGAAAACGCCTTTGACAAAACTCAACAACCTTCATGCTAAAAACTCTCAATAAATTAGGTATTCGTGGGATGTATCTCAGAATAATAAGAGCTATCTATGACAAACCCACAGCCAATATCATACTGAATGGGCAAAAACTGGAAGCATTCCCTTTGAAAACTGGCACAAGACAGGGATGCCCTCTCTCACCACTCTGATTCAACTTAGTTTTGGAAGTTTTGGCCAGGGCAATCAGGCAGGAGAAGAAAATAAAGGGTATTCAATTAGGAAAATAGGAAGTCAAATTGTCCCTGTTTGCAGACGACATGATTGTATATCTAGAAAACCCCATAATCTCAGCCCAAAATCTCCTTAAGCTGATAAGCAACTTCAGCAAAGTCTCAGGATATAAAATCAATGTGCAAAAATCACAAGCATTCTTATACACCAATAACAGACAAACAGAGAGCCAAATCATGGGTGAACTCCCATTCACAGTTGCTTCAAAGAGAATAAAATACCTAGGAATCCAACTTACAAGGGATGTGAAGGACCTCTTCAAGGAGAACTACTAACCACTGCTCAATGAAATAAAAGAGGGTACAAATAAATGGAAGAACATTCCATGCTCATGGGTAGGAAGAATCAATATCATGAAAATGGCTATACTGCCCAAGGTAATTTATAGATTCAGTGCCATCCCCATCAAGCTACCAATGACTTTCTTCACAGAATTGGAAAAAACTACTTTAAAGTTCATATGGAACCAAAAAAGAGCCCACATCGCCAAGTCAATCCTAAGCCAAAAGAACAAAGCTGGAGGCATCATGCTACCTGACTTCAAACTATAGTACAAGGCTACAATAACCAAAACAGCATGGTACTGGTACCAAAACAGAGATATAGACCAATGGAACAGAATAGAGCCCTCAGAAATAATGCCACATATCTACAACTATCTGATCTTTGACAAACCTGACAAAAACGAGAAATGGGGAAAGGATTCCCTATTTAATAAATGGTGCTAGGAAAACTGGCTAGCCATATGTAGAAAGCTGAAACTGGATCCCTTCCTTACATGTTATACAAAAATCAATTCAAGATGGTTTAAAGACTTAAATGTTAGACCTAAAACCATAAAAACCCTAGAAGAAAACCTAGGCAACACCATTCAGGACATAGGCATGGGCAAGGACTTCATGTCTAAAACACCCAAAGCAGTGGCAACAAAAGCCAAAATTGACAAATGGGATCTAATTAAACTAAAGAGCTTCTGCACAGCAAAAGAAACTACCATCAGAGTGAATAGGAAACCTACAGAATGGGAGAAAATTTTTGCAATCTACTCATCTGACAAAGGGTTAATATCCAGAATCTACAATGAACTCAAACAAATTTACAAGAAAAAAACAAACAACCCCATCAACAAGTGGGCGAAGGATATGAACAGACACTTCTCAAAAGAAGACATTTATGCAGCCAAAAGACACATGAAAAAATGCTCATCATCACTGGCCATCAGAGAAATGCGAATCAAAACCACAATGAGATACCATCTCACACCAGTTAGAATGGTGATCATTAAAACGTCAGGAAACAACAGGTGTGGAGAGGATGTGGAGAAATAGGAACACTTTTACACTGTTGGTGGGACTGTAAACTAGTTCAACCATTGTGGAAGTCCGTGTGGCGATTCCTCAGGCATCTAGAACTAGAAATACCATTTGACCCAGCCATCCCATTACTGGGTATATACCCAAAGGATTATAAATCATGCTGCTATAAAGACACATGCACACGTATGTTTATTGCGGCACTATTCACAATAGCAAAGACTTGGAACCAACCCAAAAGTCCATCAATGATAGACTGGATTAAGAAAATGTGGCACATATACACCATGGAATACTATGCAGCCATAAAAAATGATGAGTTCATGTCCTTTGTAGGGACACGGATGAAGCTGGAAACCATCATTCTCAGCAAACTATCGCAAGTACAAAAAACCAAACACTGCATGTTCTCACTCATAGGTGGGAATTGAACAATGAGAACACATGGACACAGGAAGGGGAACATCACACACCAGGGCCTGTTTTGAGGTAGGGGGAGGGGGGAGGGATATCATTAGGAGATATACCTAATGTTAAATGATGAGTTAATGGGTGCAGCACACCAACATGGCACATGTATACATATGTAACAAACCTGCACGTGTTGCACATGTACCCTAAAACTTAAAGTATAATTTAAAAAAAAAAAAGCATAGACTCTACAGCCAGAAGGCTTAGGTTTGACTACTGGCCCTTCCCCATCTTAACTACAGAACTTTGGAGAAATAGACTTAACTTCTCTGTGCCTCACTTTTTTCATTTGTAAAATGGAGCTGATAATATAATATTAAGGATGATATAATAATTTCCCCATAGGGTTGTTATGAGGACTAAGTGAGTTAATATATGTAAAATATTTACATATATATTTATTTAGAAAAATATATAGAACATAGCAAGTGTTAAGCATTTAGTAAATAAATAAAATGTTTTAAAGATCTGTGTTCTTCCTCTACTGTTGAACCAACTCTCTAATACCAACAATTATATCCCTGTTTTGTTTTCCTAATGATCTTCTCTATCCAAACAACTCTCTTTTATATCTGGTCTTGTTTTCTTTTCTTCTTTTGCCTTCCATCTTGTATGTTAATTCTTTCAGTTCCACTTTTCTTACCTAACATTTATTTGTCATGTAGGGAAGCACAAATAACAGACAGAACAGAGACAGAAGAATAAAAAGGCAAGAGAAGCAGAGATATAAAGCCATATGGCCCAAAAAAGATGGAGGAGCTCTAAGTTCTTGACTTTTTAAATTTTAGGTCCTGCCCTACCAGTGTCATTTTCTATTATCAAGATCCACATGATACCCTTAAATGCTTTCTGTAAATGCCCTCATTTGTTTGTTTTCTGTCCTTCGCAGTAAAATAGTACATCCTAAATTATATTCATAATGGACAACCAAGTTTTCAATAACTGTTAAATTATGTTTAAATAGTAATTACCACGGCAATAACTTTGGAAGGTTTGGAAGGCAATAGACTAATTTCATTGCTTAAAAATATTGTTTAACAAGAGAAGAAAATGCAGAGACTCACTTCTATTGAAAATTTACTATGTACCCAACACTGCTCTAGGTTCTCTTACTACATACTTTTAACTCTTTTCATCTGTGTATCATTTTTTTCCAGAAAGAACTGAATAATAATCATCAAAGAGGTATTCAAGAACATGAATTGATTTTGTTGCACGCAGGATAATGTTCTTGTTTAAGAAACAGCATGAAGGCCACTGTGGATGATGAAGGTTGAAAAATAAATGAATAAATGAGTGAGAAAATGAATAATAGAAGACAAAGTCAACAGGTTAAAAGAAGCAAAGCCAGGTGGGCACGGTGGCTCATGCCTGTAATCCCAGCACTTTGGGAGGCCGAGGAGGGCAGATCATGAGGTCAGGAGATCGAGACCACCCTGGCTAACACGGTGAAAAACCTGTCTCTACTAAAAATACAAAAAATTAGCCAGGCGTGGTGGTGGGCGCCTGTAGTCCCAGCTACTCGGGAGGCTTAGGCAGGAGAATGGGGTGAACCCAGGAGGCGGAGCTTGCAGTGAGCCGAGATGGCACCACTGCACACCAGCCTGGGCAACAGAGCGAGACTCCGTCTCAGAAAAAAAAAAAAAAAAAAAGCAAGCCAAATAGAGCCTTGTAAGCCATCAGGAAGACTTTGGATTTTATTGTAAGTTAGAGGAAAATTCAGGAATACAAAAAATAGACATTCGTATGACAATGTGAATTTATTATTTGAATTTAAAAGTTTTGATAATTGTATATAGATAATCATTTATGGCATTAGCTTCTGAAAATTTCAATATCACAAATATCCCATTTTTATTCTACCCTTCTAAGGAAAATTTTAGACAAATTTTATGTTTAACTTTTACGTAGTACACTCATCTGTTGAGGGTGAATAAAACAGATGCCATTTTTCCTTGAATGATTTCAGTTATGTTTCTGGTATTTATTTAGTTTGCTTACTGTCTTTTCTGACACTTGTTTGTTTTTTCCCACAGTATAGCGCAAACTGAAAAACTTACAGACCTTAACTGGAATTTCTTCTTCTAGGTGATGCCAACTGCTGTCTTATCTTTTCTCTAGGGATTTGAAAACTTGTACAGTAAGAACATGCACATTAGTTACTCAAATACAAAATGTGAAGAGTTCTTTGGGGGAGAATCCTGGTAAGTGTGGAGATGTCCTGATCCCCTGTGTGAGTGAAAAAATAATTAAAATAAGAACACTTCTTCTTTAAAGTTTTATTCTGATGTCTATTGGTAACGTAGTATACTTGCAGTTTAAAAATAAACTGGTGGAGTCACACTAAGACAAATTCTGTATGATTCTGCTTATATGAAGCTCTTAGAACAGTCAAATTCATAGAGACATAAAGTAGAATGGTGATTGCCAGGGGATGTGGGAGCGGAAAATAGAAAGTTGTTTAACGGGTACAGAGTTTCAGTTTTACAAGATAAAAAGTTTTGGAGTCTGATTGCACAACAATGGAAATATACTTAACACTCTTCAACGGTGCACTTAAAATAGTGAAGATGGTTAATTTTATGTTATGTATATTTTATCCACTATGACAGAATTTTAAAAATAAACTGTTGGAATCTAATAGCAATAGGGAGACTGAATTACTAATATAACCATGGTACAAAATGATAAATCTAAATCAGGGTGTAGATAACATCAAATTCCCTATTTGGGTCTCCACTTCAGTAGACATTTACTGTCTATTATGTATATGGCAGAAGCCTAGGTGCCATGGATACAGACAGGAATAAGATGATGATTCTTTTTCTCTAAGAACTTGGAGCCTAGGAGGGAGAAACAGACTCATGAGCAACAACAACAACGACAACAAAATAGAATGATATTAATGTTATACTAGAGGTACGGCAAGATAACTTTGAAACCCAGGTGAGTTAGAGAACATGTAAAGGAAGGCGACTCCTAAATTTCATTTTGGAAATGAATTTTCATGTTGGACTGAAGGAAGAATATTCCAGTCACAGGGAGTGAACTGTGGTATGAGAGATTGTGGAATTTTTAAGGAAACTTCAATGTAGAAGCAGTAATGATGGAAAAGATAGATGAATTTGAGGCGGTAGAGATCACAGGTTCTAATAAATGATTAGTTGTTAATGCAACAGGAACAATAAATTGAGAAAGATGGGTTTCAGGGTTTTTTTTTTTTTTTTTTTGGCTTGGGCTACTGCATGGATGGTGAGAGAGAGAGAGAGAGAACTCTCAGCTCTAGATCTATGTTCAGCAGTCTAAGCACTTCTCTACATGGATTAATTAGAAGGAAGACAGAATTTCTGTTTAAAATTATCATTCAATCTTCCTGCCCTGAAATACCCAGTATGCTCATTAATTATACATGAAAAAGTTATTGTCAGAAGAAGGCCAAAGTGAAATCTCTGCTACATAGTATAAATGATACCATAGATTAAGCCATTCAACATCTATATTATCTCCCTGCTAGCTTGTCTCTGTATTCAGAGGGTGAAAAGCTAAAAATTCATTTTTCAGATTCCCTTGCAACTAGAGTGCTGGGGTATGACCTGGGCCTGCCGGTTCACATGCCATGTATGAGACAGGGAGGCATAAGTGCACAACATGGGGCAGAAACTGAATTTGGGGAGATGAATGTTCTGCCAAACAGAGCAGCTGAAGTATCTGGTCCTGACACAGCTGTGGCAGAGTTTTTGGCTCCAGGCTCAAGTTAAAAGTGCAAGGCAGGAGGTAGCAGTGGTAGTCTTTCCACTATTACCATCCTGAGTTATGGCTGGGCATTTCTTTTTGCTGCATCATTGCTTCTGGCTATTTGGCATCCAAGCCTGGTTGCTGGCACCTCGAGAGATTCTATGGGGTACCCAAACTATTTTACGAAATCTCTTTTCTTAAACTAGCTGGGCTAGATTTTGTTGTCCATACCTAAAAGCTCTGACCAATAGAAATAAGACAAGACTTCTCTCATTAGTACATTTTTAACTGGTTGATATTTAGGCTCCTTAGAGTACCCAGGACAGTAGGTTTCAGTGATGGAGGCAAGACTATAGCTCTGAGATCAGACAGATCAGGTTTAAATTCTTGCTCTACCATATGCTATCCATATTACTTATCCAGGTAAGTCGCTTAACCTTCATATATTGCAGTTCTTTCAACTGTAAATTGGAGATGATCAAAGTGTCCAACTCCTAGTGATGTTATAAGAATAATAGGAGATAATTTATACAAAAAACATCACAGTGCTGGGAAAGCAATTAGTGCTCAAAAGATGCTTACATTTGCTCATATTTACAATGCATGGAAGGCTTTGTCGTGCTCACTAGGATTCCTTGGCTTTTCATCAAAGCTTGTTCTTGTGCTTGGTCTAAACAGGTCCATTTCTCTACACAACGTACACCAGTTAGAATCTATTTTATCCTTATTGTATGAAGTCCATTAAATAAATAAAAGCAAAAGAAAAAAAGGGAAAACAGTTTTTTGAATCAACTCAAGTCTGAATTTGGATAAACCTATAAACTTCCATGATAGCTGTTAGAATTTTTAACAGTCAATAAGCTGTGGCATTAAAGATGCTAGAGCTATTCTTAGGGTCCTTTTAGAATCAGGCAGCTGTTTTACTTAGTATCTGGCTTGAGGATCGGAATACTTTATCAGGGGTGCAATGGCAAGAGGTTGAGACAACTCTCTTCACAAGGGCCACAAATGTCCATTCACCCATGTCAAAGGTGCCTAGTGGACATTTTCCCCCACTGTTCCTATGTATACTACGTAGTAATTAGGCATACATTCAAACAAATGCTGTCCCATTAAAAACCATATACATAGCTTGGTGGATCTGACATTATTCAAATAATTTAAAAAACTTTTCCTTTTAAAAATTTGTATATTTTTATAGATTCAGGGGGTATAAGTGCAGGTTTGTTACGCAAATATATTGCATAATGGTGGGGATGAGCTTCCAGTGTGCTAATCACCCAGATAGTGAGCATGGTACCCAATAGGTAATTTTTCAACTCTTGACCCCCCGCACTGTCCCCCTTTTGAAGTCCCCAGTGTCTAGTTTTTCCATGTGTATGTCAGTGTGTACCCATTGTTTAGCTCCCACTTACAAGTGATAACATGATTTTCTGAGCTATTTCACTTAGGATAATGACCTAAAGCTCCACCCATGTTGCTGCAAAGGACATAATTTCATTCTTTTTATGGGTGCATGATATTTTATGGTGTATATATACCATATTTTCTTTATCCACTCATTGGTTGATGAACACTTAGGTTGATTCTATCTCTTTGCTATTGTGAATAGTGCTGTAATAAACATATGAGTACAGGCATCTTTTAACTTTTTTATTTTTAATTTTTGTGGGTATAGTAGTTGTATATATTTATGGGGTACATGAGATATTTTGGTACAGGCATGCAATGTGTAATAATCACATCATAGATGGTGTCTTTTTTATATAATGATTTTTTTTCCCTTTTGGGTAGATACCCAGAAGGAGGATTCCTGGATTGATTGGTATAGAACTTTTCCTTTTGTGTTGTTTTTAGGGACCTATACATAGGTGTTATTTAATTATCTTCCTTAGTTTTAAACTCCAAATGGTAATACGTGGCTAGATTAGTTACTTTATTAGTAGTCATTATTCATGACATTTATTACCGTTTGACCCAGTTATGCCCCTTTAAGGGTATCTCTCAACTCCAAGAAGCAAGCCAAGATACATAAAACAAGTTACATACCATAGGTTTGTTCCTGCCAGGGCAATTTCTAAGTCGGCTACTTAGATTAAGAACCCACTTCCACACTTACATGTGTACTGAGTTCATAGATAGCACTCACATCCCCTTGATTAGACTGGGTGGGGGTTGTATCATCATAATCCTCATCATTTTCACCTTAGTTCTAAAGATTTAAATATTTTTTCCAGGAGTCAGCCCCCTCACAGTGATGTGAATATTTTTCTATTGAAGAGATCAAAAGAATGTGCCATAAGAACATCTCTTCAGCAAATGATATGATTAAGAAAGTGAAAAGGTAAGCTACAGTATAGGAGATGTTTGTAATACATTAATCTGACAATTTCTATCTGGAATATATGAAGACTCCCTACAAATCAAACAGAAAAAGGAAAAACAAAACACATGGGCAAAAGAACTGAACAGGCAGTTAACAAAGGAATATATCCAAATAAGCAATTTTCTTATCAGAGGGTACTTAACATCATTAGCCATTAGAGAAGTGCAGAATAGAAGCATAACAAAATGTCATTACAGACTCACTATTATGGTTAAAATTAAATAAATGAACAATACCAAGTTCTTGTGAGAATGTGAAACAATTGAAACTAAAATACATTGCTGGTGGAAGTATAAATGAGTACAACCACTTTTGAAAAATGTTTGATATATGTTTTTTAAAAGTTAATTTGGTAAAATACACATAAAATACAATTTACCATCTTAACCATTTTAAAATGTACGGTTCCGTGGTATCAAGTATAGTCATATTGTTCTGCCACCATCTCCACCATCCATCTCCAGCACTCTTTTCATATTGCAAAAAACCCTGCACCCATGAAATATTAACTCTCCCTTTTCCTCTACTTCCAGCCCCTGGACACTACCACTCTACCTTCTGTCTCTATGAATCTGACTACTCTAGATACCTCACATAAGTGAAATTGTAAAGTATTTGTCTTTTTTGATAGGCTTATTTCACGTAGCATAATATCCTTAAGATTCATCCACATTGTAGCATGTGTCAAAATTTATTTTCTTTCTATGGCTAAAAACATTCAATTGTGTGTACATATCACATTTTGTTTATCCATTCATCTCTCATTGGACACTTGAGTTCATTCTACCTTTTGGTTTTTGTGAATAATGTTACGAATATGTGTGTACAAGTATCTCTTCAAGATCCTGCTTCCAATTCTTTCGGATTGGCAGCACCTTTTAAAAAGCTACATATGACTTTCTATAACCTAAAAATTTTGGATGAGAAGTACTTATGTTCATAAGAAGACTTGTACAACAATCTACATAGTGTTTTTCTTTTGTAATATCCCCACATTGGAAAGAAGCCAAACATCCTTAACTACTAGAATCCACAGATAAACTGTGGTATATTCCCACAGTGCAGTATTACATATCAATGAACAGAACAAGCTAATGATACATGCAAGAACATGGATTATTTTAAAAACATAATGCTGAGGAAAAGAAGCTACATACTCAAGAGTGCATACTGTATGATTCCATTTATATAAGGTTCAAACACTGTCACAACAAATCTATGTTGACACTGCTTAGAGGAATGGTTTCTTTTGGGAGAGGGCAATGACTGATAGAAAGCATAAGGGAGCTTTCTGAGGTTCAAGAAATGCCCTACAACTTGATCTGGGTGGTGGTTACATGGTTGTACACCTATGAAAAATGCATTGATCTGTATATGTAATATTTGTGTACTCTGTGTGGTTACCTATAAATTTTAAAAAGGAAAGAGATTGTCAAAGAGGATTCTCATCATGCTTTGACTAGTGGCAATATCACTGAAATAAAAACAGGAAGTGCTGCATTGAAGAGACAACATTAATATGATCATATGTGTTCTGATATGTCTATTAGAGACAGGCATATCACTATATAATCACTCCTATTAGGTTCTATCCATAGTCTGCAATCCAAGAAATAAAAGCAAGTGTGTCTTTGGTGGAAATATCAGAATAAGGTAATTTAGTCACTTATCTTGGACTTTGACCTTTGTAAAATGCTGAGCAGTTACTGTTAACTAGTTTAATGCCCATTACTGAAGAACTTGAGAATTACTTTTTAACACTTCTATCCTATTGATTGTCTTTATTTTACCAGTAATTTTAAAAGTAAAGTACTGCCTTTCGCATCCTTTCAGGTTGAAACGTAACCATCTGAATGCTATGTAATGCTGCATTTTTGTTTGATTATAATTCAAAAATGTTCCTTTAATTATGAAAAGGTGAATTATTTTTGGATGCCAAATATCATATACAATTCCACTTCATTTCCAAATTGTGAACATTAATTTTTCTTGTATATAAACCTTTCCTCAGCTGTTTCATTGATTTGGATATCTTCCCATAATTCCCTAAGAGCTGGCATTAGTCATTATGAAGAACTTTCAAGTTCCAAATACCAATTTTCTACCAATAAATGTGAAGAAGACTATTATATGTAATAACACATATTAAAGAGCAAATTTTAAAAATGTAACATGCTACTTAAGATCTATATCTTTAATTATTGTTTTTTATTAATATTTAGAAAAACATTTTCTTACACATCATGCTCTCCAGAGAAAGGGAGAAAAGGTGTTCAATAAATACTACCTCTCTTCTACCCCTGGTTGTAAACATTTTAGGAAACAAAACAGAGACGCCCAGATATTAACTTTATTAGTAGTAAGGCCTGGTTAAAGAATTTGGTTTTAGACCTCTTATCCAGGTGGGCCTGCTAACTGATCCCCAGAATTAGGCAAATTTACCACCCAATCTTAGAACTGGATTGGAGTAAGCCTCTCCCTGCAGGTGTAAGCAATAATAATCTATGGCATGGAGGAACAGAAGAGAACTCACGCTGGCTGCAGCCAGGCTTGCTCCCCAAAGTAAAAAGAGAAAATTTGAGTTAATCATGCCCAGCTATTCCTTCCAAATTTACCAATCACCTGTCTCTTTCCATCTCTCCTTGGACAGCCTAAGTAAAGGATGCAGAAAGAGGTCACCAGTACACTATCTGAGCTCACTTTGCAAGCAAGGATATCAGAAGTGGTGAAGTGTTCCTAACTAACTCAGCTTTTTTTCATCGAATATATTTCCTCTGTCTTCCTAATTGCTAAAGAAAAAATATAAATGAAAAATATAAGGTATAATAAAAATCTAAATCAATTGATATTATTTTATTATCAGCTGTGGCACTATTCTTAAAATTTTAAAATATATCTCTAAAGCCATAAACTACAAAATCAACAAAAGCAGGAAAAGGTTAAAAATCTCTCAGATTTGTATCATATTCATCTTTGACCGGCTTCAGAATTTGAAATGTTAAATATTAAGATTATATTAAAAAACCATCTCCAAATATCTTCAGGCCACTTTATTGTTCAATGCAAAGTACAAAGCTTAGAAAATTTCAAGAAAAATATTATAGCTTCAGTTTATAAAGCATGAGAGAATTTATCCCAAACCTACTTTTTCAGTCCAAATTTCTGTTCTTTTTCAGAACACCTCTTCATCACAAAAAAGAGCCTCCTTACCATAAAACTCTCTGGGCCATGTTACCAGTGTGTTCCTCAAGTACTTTTCTGTACCATTTTCTGATAACATGTTGACAGAAACAACAAAGTAGATCTTATTCATATTTTTCCCAAAACTTGGTCTTGTCTATAGTCTGTTTGTTAGTCTAAAAGATGAAGTCCTCATTTTATGATTTTCTAGAATGCAAAGTCATGTGCATTGGATGCCAGTACATGAAATAGAAATAAATTTTCAAAAAGATTGCTCATGTCATAGCTAAATAAGAAAATAACTTGTTCCCCAAATAGAATTAATTTCTCCATGAAAATAAATGGAGAATAAAGCTTTAAAAATTGCACACTTTTTATTCAAAAAAAGAGAAAGAACAGTCATATTTGAATAGTGTATTATAAGGGCCAGGTTCTGTGTTTTGGGGATGTTTCATAGGTTATTTTATATAATCTTCACAAAGATCCCATAAGGGAGGTGGCATGATTCCCATTTGGCTCATTTGCCTGACAAAAAGCTAAAGATTAAAGAAAATAAGTGTCTTACCTGAAGGTCACTAGTCAATGGTGGAACTAGAGTTTGAACCCAAGTATGTCTGACCTGAAAGCCCATGCTCTTTATCAGGTTAAAAGAAAATGGAATGTGAAAGGGTAAACATTTTTTACATAGTTTAGATAAAGTTTGAAATTCTTGACTTTATCAGCTATAATTCTAGTTTTCTCTATATTATATACCATTTTCTGGCAATTTTGGTGAAAATACAGATGGAACCTTCTAGACATCATTGACATAGTATTCTGTGCCCTAGACCAGATCGTATCAAACCAGACCAAATGGCAATGCACAACAAAATTTTACTCCAGGCCTCTAAGCAAGTGGTTGGCAATAATAAAGTTCTGTCATGATTTCACTGAAGACAGAATTTACATGCTATGTTGCAGTTAGGCCTCTCAGCCAAATGTTGCAAACTCCCAATTTCCAGCCCATTGTTTCCAAAAATACTTTAAAATGTTTCTCAGAAGCATGGTAATATCTTTTCTGGATTCCAGGGTTTTTGATAGATCTGTCTGCATTGTCTGGCAGCTTCTTTTTTTGTTGTCGTTGTTGCTTTTCCTAATTACCTCCAAGTATGCTTAAATTTATGCCATTAAAGAAAGCTCTGACTCACTTAAACTGGCAAAACCACAAAAAGTATAGCTGCTCTTGTGTTTTGGGGTCTAGCGGTTTCTTCATTTTAAAGAAGAGAGAGAGAAAAAAACCTGTCAAGGCGCCAGAGTAGTCTTTCTTAACTATTGTTAATTATGCCAGAAAGCCAAATACATTAAACAAACTGAGCAGTTTAATTACTTAAATATCCAGCAAAAATCCAAATCTGCCATTGAATAGACAAAAAGAAAAAAAAAGATTCAATTTGTTTGATGAGATTATATTTGTATCAATTTTGTTTCAAAACTGCATTTGATGAGAAAAAATTACAGAGAAAACCCAATTTTCAAATGGCTCAATGTAAGTGAAAATTATCACACGTACTAGGATTCTCAGTTGAAAGCAATAGAAACTAACTCTAGCTTGATTTAAATAGGAGATAAATACACTGCATGAACAGGAGTAAGCTAATAAATTGTAAACCAAAGATAGTGCTAGAATATTAGGATGGCAAAAGCACAATGAAATTCCAGAGGAAAGAGTGATTGATTCTGGGTAGCATGAGCATTCCACTTTATGGAAGTGGTGTCTGAACCAAGTAGTATCTCTTCTTTATAATCATTCCAATATGTAGCTTATCTCGCTGTTAGATTGACATTCCCTTGGGATTTCCTATTTTGTCAGCATCTAGTGCCATTCTTTGTATACATTAAGATGATTCAACATGTGTTTATTAAAGAAAGGTTAAGTACTCTTAATTCAAAAATCCACAAATCCAAAATGCTCCAAAATCTGAAACTTTGAGTACTGATGTGACACTCACAGGAAATGCTCACTGGAGCATTTTATATTTCATATTTTTGGATTAGGTATGATCCAATAAGTATAATGCAAATATTCCCAAATTTGAAAAAAGTAAAAATTTGAAACATTCTGGTCCCAAGTATTTCAGATAAAGGATACTCAACCTGTACCTACAATATGATAGGCACAGTGTATTACATACTAGAGATATAGAAATGAGCAAAAAACAAAAATAAAAAAAAGACTTGACCCCAGTTCTCATGGAGATTGCCATCTGGTAGGGGAAACAAACAATCAGGTGATCACATTAATAAATGCATGATTATAAACTGTCAAAACTGCTATGAGGGGAAAAGCAGCGCTACAGAAGCATACAACGGTGGGGGCTAGCCTTATTTCTGGGGAGTCACAGAAGGCTTCCTAGCAAAAGTGACAGTTGAGCCTAAGTATGAATGAATAGAAAGATTTGGCCTAGTGAGAGAGGGAAAATAGTATCTCAAGGAGAGTGAGAGCAGTATATGGAAAAGATCTTGTACATAGTGGTTGCTGCACAAATTACTTTGTACTCAACTTTATCTTCTTCTGTCCAACTGCAGGTAAAGGGACATTTCTTGCCATTTAAAAAAGCAAATCTTTCTTCCTTAATATTTATTTATATCCTTCATCTGCCTCCTTTGAACCTCAATCCGTCAATTATCTTTTATTTCTCCTATACAGTATCTCAACTACCCTCTCCATTACATCTTTCTCTTCAGGACATATAATGCTAAAGTCTCTGTGACCTACAAAAACAAAAACTACAAACACTTATCTGAATCCTACAAACCTCCTCACTACTTCCTATCTTTTGCTATTATTTTTAATAGCAAAATTTCTAGAATAATAGTATTCTTCACCTGCAATCTCCACTTCCTCAATTCCTGTTTGCATTCTAACCCTACTAAATATGATGCCCAACACAATCACTTCACTAACAGGATCTTGCTAAGATCACCAATACCTCCCTTGTAAAGTCAGTGAACATATTTTTCTTTTTTTTAAATTATACTTTAAGTTCTAGGGTACATGTGCACAATGTGCAGGTTTGTTACATATGTATACATGTGCCATGTTGGTGTGCTGCACCCATTAACTCATCATTTACATTAGGTATATCTCCTAATGCTATCCCTCCTCCCTCCCCCTACCCCATGGCAAGCCCCGGTGTGTGATGTTCCCCTTCCTGTGTCCAAGTATTCTCATTGTTCAATTCCCACCTATGAGTGAGAATATGTGGTGGTTGGTTTTTTGTCCCTGTGATAGTTTGCTGAGAATGATGGTTTCCAGCTTCATCCATGTCCCTACAAAGGACATGAACTCATCCTTTTTATGGCTGCATAGTATTCCATGGTGTGCATGTGCCACATTTTCTTAATCCAGTCTATCATTGTTGGACATTTGGGTTGGTTCCAAGTCTTTGCTATTGTGAATAGTGCCACAATAAACATACATGTGCATGTGTCTTTATAGCAGCATGATTTATAATCCTTTGGGTATATACCCAGTAATGGGATTGCTGGGTCAAATGGTATTTCTAGTTCTGGATCCTTGAGGAATTGCCACACTGTCTTCCACAATGGTTGAACTAGTTTACAGTCCCACCAACAGTGTAAAAGTGTGTTAGTGAACATTTTTCAAGTCTTGTCTTATTTGACTTTTGATAGCATTGGACATTCTTGACAACTCCGTCTTTTTTGGATGTTATGATACAGCTTTTTCTTTGTGTCCTACCTTTTTCTCAGTCTACTTCAGAATTTCTTTCATCTGTGTGTATCTCTTAAATACTGGAATTTCATCTTTGACCCAAGTTCTTCTTACCCTATAAACTAGCTGACTGAGCTCTCTCATCTCACTTCTTGTCACCTTGGCAAATGCTTTCTTCTTTGTTAAGTCTTGGTTAAAACTGATACATTGTGACTCCTTCTTTGACTCCCTTAGTCATTGTTAAGAATTACTTTTTCTAAGTTTCACTGCATTCTCTGCATATATACCCTCATAAAAGCAAGCCTTATTTTATCATGTTTATCTGTTTCCTAATGTATCTTTAACTAGATTGGCAGTTCCTTGAAAATAGACAATCTTTTTACACCTAACTTTTTGGATGATGCCTGAGTGTAGATACTCACTAAACATATGTAGATGAGTTAATAGATGTGTTTGGGTAAGCTCCTTCCTCTTTGCAGCCCTGTGGAGAGTGTGGCGGGGTGGTATGGAGGGAAGTTGTGACTACCTGAAAATTGCATAGGTGGTAAGTGGTGGAGCCAAGGAATATTTCACCCAAAAAGCCTGATTTAGCCTGATTTGCTCATTCCACAATGTATACATGTATTGAAACATCACATTGTACCCTATAAATGTATTCAATTATTATGTATCAATTAAAAAATAAAAACACTTTTTAAAAAGCAGCAAAGTTACCCTACTAACTCCACAGAGTTCCTATGAAAACTACATGAAATCATAGGTATGGGTGGTATATAATGCTAGGTATAAAAACGTTTTCCCTGTTTTCAAGGAACTGCCAATACAGTTAAAGATACAGGTTAGGAAACAGATAAACATGATAAAATAAGGCTTGCTTTTATGATGGTATATATTCAGAGAGTACAGTGAAGCTTAAAATAAAGGTAATTTCTAACAATCACCAAAGGAGTCAGAGAAGGAGTCACAGTGTATCAGGTTTTAACCACGACTTGACAAAGAAGAAAGGATTTGCCCAGGTGCTAAGAGTGGGATGAGAGAGCTCAGGCAGCTAGTTTATAGGATAAGAAGTTTCTTGACGTGTCTATACCTCACGTTCATCTCTAGACTGGGATAATACTATATACCCCAAAGTGTTGATGGGGAAACTAAGTGAGAAAAGATATGGGACACAGAGGTGCTCAGTTAATGCTAATCTTTTCCTTCCTTCCTTCCTTCCTTCCTTCTTTCCCTCCTTCCCACCTTCCTTCTTCATTTCTCTCTCTCACTTTCTCTTTTTATTTTTTGCCTCCTGACTTATTCCACTTAAGTCTTCCTTTATTTTATACTGACCTCAATGCCTGTAGTGAGGCACCACAGAATCTACTTTGGAAAAATTTCTCAGGGCATTCTTTCCACCTCTTCCCTCATCTCAAGCTTGTCTTGTCCCTTTTTAAAAATTCTTGGTGATCTTTTATTTTCTTATTTTTTCTTTTCATACAAATAATACAAGTTTTTTTTTGTAGAAAATATAAAGAAAATTAAAACTTAAAATCATTCATAATTTTAAGCTCACATCCAGAAATAATCACTGACAACAGGGAATACAATTCAGATCTGTTATGAATTATATTTACATATATTTAAATATATCTATGTTTGCATATATCTATCCTTTTAAAAATAATATAATATGAAACTTGAAGCTAAAATATAGATGCCAGAGAGATCTTTTCCTGCCCTAGGTGAAGGTGTTATTGAAAAAAATAAACTCTACTTGTTATTCTGTCACTGTCCCCACCACCTCCACATATGCATGTTCCCATCACTACCCTTTTCTAGTAGAAACTTCCTTTCTTCTTTGCCCATCCAAATCTCACCCACCCTTAAAATTTACATACATTTTATCTCCTCCAGGAAACTATTTTGAATTTATCAGCCCACACTGAGCTCATTCTTCTCTAGGCTTCTAGAACACTTCCAGTTTATGTCATAGTTTATCACTTCCTTGTTGGGAAGGGGAACTGGATGATAATTAGGTGTGCTTTCCCAACTCAAGTGTGAGCTTCTTGAGGCCAAGGAGTCCATCTCATGCTTCTGTACTCCCCACTCACACTTTCCTCAACCCCTTGACTTCTGCCAGTACTGATGCAGGGCTGGGCACGCAAGAGGAATTCAGGAAATGCTTGTGGTTTGATTCATCTTGCATCCTTAACTCTTGACGTCAATAGTAGATGAATGAAGGGCGCTTCCCAAGGGAAGAATGTGAAAGTCTCCACTCCTTTAACTCTGTTGTGTAAGCCATATTAAAAGGTGAGAAGCTAAATACAATGGCTTGACAAAAGGCAAGTGAGAATCAATGGCACTTTAATCCTGTCTTGCTTTTTTGTCCAGTTCTGTAACCTGAAGTATCTGTACTTTAGGGAAGAAATACAGTAACAATCATGTTTAATAAACCAAAAAGTAAAGGGCCCCAGTAATCTACCTTTTCTGTGTATTCAAGGAAGTCTAGAAAAATTGATGTGATTTACATTCATATCTACAGTGAAGGCTATGAAATTTTGCTGCTGTACTTCCTGAGAACTACTTCCCTAGCACCTTTCTGTCTTTTGAATAAGATAAGAAGCCTTTGCACCTGGGCTGTGCTTTATGTTTTACTACATGTACCCTGATAGTATGTTAGTCCAGAGTACCATCATCTCAAGCCAATATTATTGCAACATCCTCCTAACTGGTTCCCCTGGCTCAGTCTTTTACTTGTTAAAGTCCATTCTTCATACTGCAACATGATCTATCTGAAACAGAAATCTGATTGTGCCACACACCTGTTTAAAACTCTTCAATGGCTTACTATGTCCTTAGGATAATGTTTCACCCATTTACCATGCCTTAAAAATCTCTTCATAATTTGCCTCCTGCTTAGCTCTTGAGTTTCATCTCCTCCCATTCTCTAAGCTCCAACCACCCTAAAATATGTGTAGATCCAAAAGTGTTCTGTATGTATATCTTTCACTGCACATGTCATTCCTTCTGCCTGGAGTGTCTTCCTACCCTCTTTTGGCCCATAGTTGGTGAACTTTTCTACATCTTGTATGACTTAACTCAAACCTAACCTTCTCATTGAATCCTTCCCTAATGTACCATCCATTATTATTTGTTCCCTTTTTATATGTATCTGCATTATAATACTTTCCACACTGCATTATAAATGTCTGTTTATATATATGTTTCTGCAACCTGTATGTGAGTTTCATGGACATAAGAACTATGGCCCCCCTACTCCCCACCTTGTTGCTTTAGCACTGCACACAAAGCAGATAATCAGGAATGCTGTTTAAATAAATAAATCATTATATTTCCTTATTTAAAGGGCCCATCAGAGCTAGACTGACCTTGGAGTTGCAGCCAAATAACCTGTTGTTCAACTATCCTCAGGCATTTGGCCTGTTTTAGATATGGTTCTTTCTTGAGAAGGAATAAATTTAAATGTTCTGGAAAGTTTCTTTCTTAATGTAAGATTCTATAAATAATCAACATATTGGAATAATAGTCTCAACAATGCAGAAGCCCAGAAAGCTCCTTTTTTTGCACTATATATATCCCAATATTTATCTAAACATATTATATCCTCGAGGCCTCCTATACTATTCTTCGTGTGTGTGTGTGTGTGTGTGTTTTATTTAGGAAGTGATTTTTTATTCTTTAGCCATAATTATCCCACACTATTACATTATCACATTTTTTCCATATCTTTTAAATATTAGATACACGATTTGTTAGAAGTTAAAAGGGAAAATCATTCTTTTTTGCTGAATAATATCACATCATATTTAACTTAAAGATTATTAACTTTTTGAATATCAAAAATTGAGGCTGCTGGGAATCCCATTTATTTGTAGGTCCCAAAATAGCCCTGAGGTCTGAATAGGAAAATATCTTTTATAAACTATAACAAAACTCTCACCTCAAAATAAAACACTATGAAATTTACACAATTGTATATGTACTCAGTATCTTCACAATATCCAGAAACCTACTAGATTTTTAGAAATGGCAATGCCAATAGGTTTACATTAAGAAAAGAGAGCTTATATTAAGAGGACCTAACTTAAAACCTGGCATCCTGTGCAGGAATCTGTTCAATCCTTAGAACGGTCATAAAGTCATCTTTGTTGAAAACACAGGTCCTTGGACACCCCCAAATGCCAGGCAGAACAAAGAGAATTCCAGTACATTGGCTTTTATTGTTCATCTGAATGGGGTATAATTTTCAAATTCCTTTGGATGCCCCAAGGGCTCATGGGGTTGCTGGTCATATTTTGGGGCCTGTCATCGCCTTTTGCAGTTTTCATCAGGTGTATCCATAGCTGTGCAGTTCTAAACCAGCTTCTAGAACTTTTGCTCAAAAACTGGTGTTAAGGTGCCTCCATACCTACCTCCCAAAACTTCATAAAGCATCAGGCCAACACGGACCATTGCTTTACCTGATGGATAGCTTCATTTTTTCCTTTTTATTTAAAAACAATAGAGGGATGAGGGATGTAGTATTATGACAAAACTGGTTCCCTCCTATACTAATCTTATATAAGGAGAGTGTGGGTGATTGTTTGCCTCAATCTGTATTTAAGCTCAACACAGACTACTTTTCCTCATCACATATATAAATACACACATGCATATATGTAATACTTACAAATACTTACATTATTCAATGCTTACAAACACTCTATGAGATAGTTACATTATCCTTATTTTATATATTAGACAGTCATAGCTCAGAGAAGTTAAGAAACTTGTTGAAGCCTGTACACCTGGGAAGTGCTAGAGGACTGGACTTAAACTCAGGTCTATCTGATTCTGGAACCTGTGTTTAGAAATTTTCCCCCAGCTTTATTAAGGTATAATTGACAAATAGAGCCTGTGTTTTAACCATTATACCACACTCCCTCATCTAATTTAAAAGATTGAGTTGAACTAGATCATCCTTGAGAACCCCATCTGAAGTTTCTTTGTCCCTTTCCTCTCCCGTCAAGGTCGCTATTGGGGCCAAGGTGGGAGGGTGGTGTTCTGAAGATCTGGGAGCTGAAGTAAAGAGATATGAGGTTCCAAATACCCTCTTTTGCATTTCTTTTTCTATAATCATTTTTCTTTGGGATACATGATAAAGACTCCTACAATGGCATATTAAATAGTGATATTCAGGACTTGTGGTTGCTGCCGCTCATTTATCTTCCTCTTACACAACCTGATATTTTTGAGCTAAATTTTATCCATAGATGAGTAATGAAATAAACAGATATATGACTTTTGGTAAGCATTTGTTCCAAAAGTGTGAATGGTCTAAAAGTGTGGACTATTTCACTAAAGAAAGAAAACTTACACTGAGCAAAAGAGAACCATGTCCTGAAAGAAATGAGTTGAAAAAGGAATAAAATCATCTACTTTTCATTGTATGATCCCTCAAAATACTCTGGACATTACATTTATTCCACTGCAGGCATCTTGTAGACTAAAACAAAGAACACTGGACTTGGAGTTGGAGACCTGGGCTTGATTCTCATATAGACCTTACTAACAATATAACCCTGAGCAAGTGACTAAACCTCTCTCGGCTTCTATTTTCTCATTGTCAAGTTGGAGATTAGAACAGGATCTACCTTAAAGTGTTGTTCCTAGGAATAGATGAATTAAGTCATGTTTTAACAATGCTTTATATACTTATATTTGCATTGGATATTATTACAACTCACCGTGGTCCTGTGCAAAGCCACCAATCTAGTTAACTTTCTTTTAATACTGTGGTCTCTATCTGACTCCATAACACAATCTGTGGTCTCTGACTCCATAACACAATCCCCCTACCCTACCCCAGGCTAACTGACAAAGCACCACTATGATTGTACTAAGAAACAGTCACTTTAGCCAATGTAAGCAGATAGCATTCACAGTGAACTATGGCAATAGTCCTGTTTATGATAGAGAATATCTGGGTGCCAAGAGACCTACATCTAAGCCTCCTTACTGTTTATTTCTAGACGGGTGGAATGATACCAGCCAGAACAGTTGGACCCAGCTGCTCTAGTGGAAAAGGGAAAAATTTTCTGTTTGGAGTCAGACCACACAGGGGCTTGAAACTTGAGATTAAAATAACATTTTTTGTTGTTGTTTTGAACCTAAGAGTGACTGAGAAATCAGTGGAGAATGTGAAAGTGTCACTTTGTCAGTGGTATGTTTTGTACACAAAGAATAGGCCATCATATATCCCATGGTCACAACTACTCATGTTTGGTTAGCCTGTTGCTGGCTGCAAATTTCACATTAGAAAGTCATAACAGAATAGGAAATTGAGGAAATGCATGAGTAAATTAGAATGCTGACTATCTCTTTAGAGATTAGGATGAGGGGCAGAATGGGATGGCATAGCTAAAGCTCAAAATCTAGGGTAAACTGTTGCAGCAATAACAAAACAAACTAAACCATGTAGTTGTGTTGCCATCACTAGTCTAATTATCCACTTTGATTAACCCTGCCCTCTTTATTATCCCTTAAAGTAGTACCCTTCGTATGATCTCTAACAGAAAGATTTAGCTTAGTGATAAAAAGAAAAAAACATTTAAAAATTGTGCATGCCAGGGGAAAGCCAGTAAAATAAGCTAGCCTTGTGTGGAAGTTATATTTTTGGATCAAAATGATTACATTCGGCTTGAAAATCAAATGGTATGCTTGTTTACTAACATATTCTGAGATTTTTTTTCTCCCTGCAGATGTAAAATGAAAAAGGGAACAGGGCTATAGCTAGCATATGGAGGTGATTTGTTCAGATCTACAACTGGGCTAGAGCCATCAGTAACCCAGCTATAAATTCTGAACCTCCTGTATTTTCTTATTTCAAAATATGCTCTCCTCCATTTAAAGACAAAATAAAATCGAGTTGCTCTGAAAGATATCACATAGAGTAGAGAAATATCTCACTGGCAACAGTTAGGACATTGGATTATACCAAATCTGTCTGACTTTAAACTCATGAACTCGCATGTTTAAATCCAACATAAATCGTTTAGTTTTCAAGTTCCCTTAAGCTAGGAAAATTAAGACTTCCTGTTCTTCAGGGAGAAAAGGGGCTTAAAAACTTGAGAGGTTAGAGAATGTCTTAAAGCTCTTCATAATTGAGCATAAATAAATCCAAACCATATGGATTGCATTTCCTTTTTTTACTTTGAACACCGAGGGGAAAATCATGCTTGGCAAACTGATCTTTTTTTTTTTTTTTCCTAAATCCAAATATGTTACTTTCACCCCTGAGTCTCCTTCCCAAGCTGTACTACATCTGGAATATTCTCAGGACTCTTCAGTCTTTAAATGTGCAGCTCCCGTGAGGCCTGTCTTCTTCAAGAAGCCATCCCTGAGTGATTAGAAGAGACATACCAAATGCCTCTTAAACCTCACTGGGTAACATGTAACTTTCAAGGCTCCCCTTTAGTCATTTATGTGTTCATTTATGTATTCTGGTAGTTGTGTTTGCTAAAGGCTTATTGTGTTCATGTATAACAGCTCATGTCCTTTATTCTACATTTAACAACCATTTATTTAACATCTAATACTCCAAAGTTTTACGGATAAATGCCTAGGTTTGCACAGTCTTATGTTGTGCTTAATGACGCAACCCTCTATGGAAGACTAAAGATAGCCCCAGCTAATAATTCTCAAGTAAGACACAGCTGAGGAAAGAAAATTGGAATAGCTCTACCAGAGAAGGAAGTGCCTTAATGATGAGATTTCAAAGGCTCCAATAAGTCTCCTCCAGAAGTATCAGATTCATATGTTGAATTAATAGAGCTATTTTAAAAGACAAATCGTTTTTAAAATACACTAGAGTAAAATTTTAAATCCTGCAATTTGCTTTTTTTTCCCAAGTATCTCACTGTGTTCCACACATGAAGAGGGATACATGTTCCAATAGGGGTAGGAAGGGAATGAGATCTGCGGGTTATACACCCTACAGATTTTTATTTTAAGCTATATTACAGCAATATGGTAATTTGGGTAACATGAGGTCAGAAGGAGGAGAGAGAAAAAAGAAGAGATGGAAGGGTAATTACTTTAGTTAGAATTTGACTTATGTTTTAGGACTTCAAGAGAAAATCCACAGAAAATAATTCACATTTGAAGAAATTTGCCTATAATATGTATAGTATTTATTTTTTATATTTGCCTTATTTATTTCTACAGTGAAACTCCAAGTATTTTGGAGGTTAGGGACTCTCTGATACTTAACTATTTGCCACCCATGTGGTTCCCACCCCACCCTCACCTCAACATCTAACCAAGCCTTGGCCCAGAGGAGACATTAAATTTTTGATTGTTTGATAATAAGGGTTATTAAAAGTTTTACTGAATGTGGACACTGCCCTCAGCACTGTGTTAGGCATTGTGGAAAATAATGCAACACAGGGAGAGAATAAAATGATTGTCACTGTTCTGTTTGGAAAAGCAAAGCCTGTATGTGGAAATAACCAAAGTCATGTATGTCAATCATACAGAATAAACCCAAGAAATTAAGAATTTTCAGGCAAACTCTGTGGCCGTCTAGCACAGAAACATTTTATTAAGTCTGAAGGAAGCTTTAAGCAAATGAAAAGGTCTATTACTTTGTATCGTGGAATTTGAACTTAGGAAACTTGTTACCGTGAAGTTATACAGGCTGAAAATATGTGTACATAGCTTATCTTACCCACTCCATTTCCTATTTTAAAAGACTTTCTCTTCCTCCTTCTTCTTTTATTCAACTTCTGATAACTTTTCTAGGAATCCACTATGGGGGAGAAGAGGAGATGTACATTGATACATAGCTTCAGTGAGTTGAATCATGGTAATATGGAGATTAGGAAGGGGTGCCCAGGGCCCAATATTTGATAAAAAAGGAGGGTAATGCTTGTCTTACTTTGTTTGACATTAATAGGCATATACCAGACACTGTGCTAAGCACTTTACATTAGTCACTTCATTTAATCAACACAAATTTTTGAAGTAGGTACTATTATTTCGTCCATTTTACAATAGAAAAAAATGAGTTTCAGAAATCAAGTGATCTTTCCCCAAGTCACTCAGCTAGTATTCAGTAGAAATAGGATACAAACCCAGACCTGTCTAGCCCCATTTAACCACTTTAGTATACTGCCTTAAATGAACTCACCTCTTCTGAGTCCCAGGGTGTTCCTAAGCCAGAAGAGTAAATGACCACATTGGTTATACCTCAGTCCATGGACTCAAGTAATTATGACTTGTGGAACAGGAATTACTGAAACTATTGAGACAGACTTGAAGTCCTGTCTCTAAAACTTCCCTTTCTAGATGTTTGCTCAGATGTAGCCACCATACTTTAAGCAGAATACGTGAAGAAAATAGGTCAAGTGGAACATGTTGTAAAAGCTGGTCAGAATAATGAGAGGACCCATTGACATATCTTTTGAGGGACAGATGAAGAAATGTGGGATGATTAGTTTGAGAAGGAAATCCTATAGACATGTGATAGTTGTCTTCCAATATTTGATAGACTATCACATGGAAGTAGTATTAGACTTAGTCTATGTAGTTGTAGAGGAGAAATGTTTAAGAACAGATGTTAGAATAAAAATTCTGAATTAACAGAAAAAATTATAAACATAAGGCACAGTTTCATAACATTCTTTTGTGCCTTGAACCCTTTTGGAAATCTGGTAAAGCCTATGAACTTTCCTCAGAATGTTTTTAAATGCATAAAATAAAATGCATAGGATTACACAGGAAATAATTTGTATTTAAATATAATTTTTAAAATTTCAAAAAAATTGAAGATACCTACGATAATTTTATTTATTTATTTATTTAGTTCACATACATGATGCAAGACAGAGTGATAATTTTAAAGTGGTATAAAATATCTGTTTTTTAGGTATTGATAATATGATTAAGTTTTGTTGCCTACATTCATAGTCAGAGAAATATCGAATTTAAGTTAGAAATTAAATAAAGGTATAATATTTTTTTCAGTCAAAGTTTATGGTACCTCTAAGGGATCTGTGGATTCTATGTTTAGATCTTCTGAGTTAGAGGTATCCAATGGTGGAATGCGTTGTCATGAAAAGTTGTGGTTTTTCTATCACAGGAATTATGTTTAAGGAAAGAACATCAAGGATGTTTAAAAAGGATTACTGCTTTGTTTACATACTGGATGAGATAAACTCTCTATTGTGCTAATTCTAATATTCTATGCTCAAAATTCTTTAATGGCTTTTATTATATCTAGAGCAGAGATTTTCAATTTTTTAACCAGGGGATGACTTTCTTCCAAATAAAATCTCACATGATCTTTTAACATATCAAACAGAAAAAGTAAGATCAGTTTGGCTGAAGTGAAAATGGAAGTCCTAGATTCCCACCTGCTCAGCCTCCTTACTCAATTCGCTCTCCCCTCTTCACCTGCACCAATTCTGTTTCTTGTTTGTTTGTTCGTTTGTTTGTTTTGAGACACAGAGTCTTGCTCTGTCGCCCAGGCTGGAATGCATTGGCGTCCTGATCTCGGCTCACTGCAACCTCCACCTCCCGGGTTCAAGTGATTCTCCTGCCTCAGCCTCCCAAGTAGCTGGGATTACAGATGTGTGCCACCACACCCAACTAATTTTTGTATTTTCAGTACAGGGGGGGTTTCACCATGTTGGCCAGGCTGGTCTTGAACTCCTCACCTCATGATCCACCAGCCTTGGCCTCCCAAAATGCTAGGATTACAGGTGTGAGCCACCACGCCAGGCCTAATTCTCTGTGTTTGAATGTGAGATCTCTTCTGAGGAGTCCTAGGGCTTTGTGAAACACAGCCACATGATCAAATACACATTCCTTAAATTAGCATTCAAGGCCTTGTAAAATCTTACCTCACAATAGCTGCTCAACAGAATGCTCATTGTTTCTAAACAACCTACAAACATCCTGGACACCACACCTTTGTTCACACTGCTCCCCAGTCTGGAATGCCCTACACACCCTCCTCCTTGCATTTCCCTAAAGTATAGCCTCTTTAGAGTTCAGATTATGTTCCACTTCCTCTAAGAAGTATTCCCTGATCAGTTACTTTTCACAATTGTTCTTACACTCTGATCCATTTTCATACTTCTCTATATTTGACACAATGTAAGTGATGATGCTTTGATTTTTTTTTCTAATATTTATTTTGTCTCCTCACTGAGGGAGCAGGCAACAAGAGCTCCTAGACTATCTGTATCTCTGAGGTCTGGTAAAGTATCCTGTACACATAATATGCTGAAACAGTTCCCTATGAAATTCCTTTTTCATGTTTGTCATATTTCCCTAAATAAACCATAAGCCTTTTGTAGACAAGGACATTCTTAGACGTTTCTTCTGTCATAATTTATCTAGAATCTAGCATGATCCAGAGTCCACAGGAGACTTCAACTGGCCATGGTAGGATTTGGACAGGAAAGATGTTAGATGTGGGAAATTTAGAAAGAATGAAAATCATGATTTGATGTAGAGAGAGGGGTATCTGTTGTTAGGGAAGATGACAGATGCTAGGAATGAGGTGTAGAGGGGTACTCAAGAGTGAAGGAACAGGTTGAGACGTGATTAGGTAAGGCAAAGAATAAGATGTCAACAAAGAGATAATATTATTCTCAATGAGAGAGATCAACAAGGATTAACATGAAAATTTGATTTGAGATAAAATCAGAGATAAGGCCCTTCTCTTGCCCATCATTCATCAAAGCTCAAACAGAGTTACGCAGTCCAAACACAGAGAATGTCTACTTTGGGGCCTATATTCTGAGTTAAGACTCTGGGTCTTTGACTTGGTCCTCAAATAGATATCTGAGATTTCAAAATTCTCACTTGAAAGAAAAATGGTTAGACGTGGTACCTCTGGACCACTAACATCTTAATGTCTGTTTTCTACCACATGTTCAGAAATCCAATTTAATAAAGATAAGAAGAATAACCATTTGTTGAAGACTTACTATTGTAATACTCTGTGATAAGTGATTTAGATGAGAGAGGGGAGTCTCTACTTTCAGGAAGAGAGTGGATAGAATAAGATGAAATAAGATAATAGGATAAAGTGCTTTCAGGAATCCAAGAAGGGTGAGAACTTATAATAAATAACAATAGCTTACAATGCCCAGTACTTACCCTATGACAGGCGCTGTTTCATACATTTGGCAAATGTTACCTCATTTAATAGGCATAACAACCATTTGAGCTAAGTATTATTTTTCCCATATTAGAGATGAGAAAACAGGCTCAGAGACATTAATTGATTTAAGTTGAAGAGCTGGTGTGAATGGCAGAGTTGAAAAGTCAGAGTCTAAACCCAAGTCAGCATAGCTCCAGCTGAAGCTCTTTACTGTGACTTACACTGCCCCAGTATATTGCTATACTGTCAAATATTATTACTAGTTTCTTGGGAAGAAAGAAAACAAAAGAACTCATTCAGTTAAATTGCTAATTGTATGTAGAAATAGAGGCCAGGAAGTTTGAGTGTAATAGAAAGCCAGAAAATTTCAAAATCTTACTTGAACCAGATGTTTTAGTCTCTTTTCCCATCATATTTCAATACCTCTCCCAAGATTTCTGGAGACACTATAAAGAAATAGCTAATAAGTTGCCAATGGAATTTTGTGGTCTTTTCATTTAATTCAGGTCTTGGGAACAAGAAACTAACCAACCATTAGAGTAGATATCTAGAAAAGAAGAGGGTGATTTACAAGACAGGATAACTCAGTTGGAATAATTAGAGGGTGACTGGCTCTTTATTTATTTAGGCTGAGGGATGCTCCAAATAGGAGGTTTGTGATTCGCACTGGGTCAAAAGAATTCTGCATTTTCTGTTTCTGAACACCATATTCTAAGAGCAGCCCTGTCTTTGCACTAGGCCAGACATATCAGAGGGATTCGCCTCAAGCTCTCAGTCAGTAAATCCATTGTAATTTACCTCAAGAAAAGATACACAGGTCTTGACAAGGGGCTTTTGTGCTTCAGGTACCTATTTAAAACGTTTATACATTATGACTACAGTCAACAATAATTTATTATACATTTAAAAATGACTATAAAAGTATAATTGGATTGTTTGTAACACAAAGGAAGGATAAATGCTTGAGGTGATATATACCCCATTTACCCTGGTGTGATAATTACACATTGTATGCCTGTATCAAATATTTTATGTACCATATATATATATTCATTTTTGCCTGTATGTAGTAGGTATATACATATATATATGTATATACCTATATATATATATAATAGATGTATATATATAGGTATATACTGGTATATATATATATACACACACACACACCTGTATATATATATAGGTGTATATATATAGGTGTGTATATATAGGTGTGTATATACCTATATATACACACCTATAGATATATATAAACCTGTATATATATATACACACAACTATATATATACACACACCTATATATATACACATACCTATATATATATACAAGTATATATATAGGTGCATATATGTGTATATACATATATATATACACACACCTATATATACATATGTGTATATATAGGTATATACCTATATATATGCACCTATATATATATATATACACACACACAGGTTTTTTTTATATATATATATATATACACATCTATATATATACATACAGGTATATACCTATATATATATGTGTGTGTGTATATATATATATATATAGGTGTATATATATAGGTGTATATGTATAGGTGCGTATATAAGGTGGTGGATATATATATATATACACACCTTATATACACACCTATCCTATACATATACACCTATATATATATACCTACTACGTACCCCCAAAAATGAAAAATTTTTAAAAAGTTTTATACAAATTTGAGCTTAAGGCCAATTTTTGAGCACGCATTCGGTGAGATGGCTCCAGCTTGATATCCAGGGTGCTTCACAGCAAACAAATTTTCTTCATCAGTGCTAACTACTTCGTTCTGATCTTTTCCTACCTATCCACACCCTTAGATTATCTTCTTAATGGATCAGACACAGGCATACCCCCTTATAGGTTTGTAATATTTTCTGCAATGCATAAAGTACCTCTTCAAATCTTTACCAAACCACTCTGTTTTTTTTTTCCTCCTCTGCGTTCTTAATAATCCATTGCTCCTTTTCTGACTGACACACATTCACCCCACCCTTCAAGTACCTTGAGGGCATAGTACTTCCTTTTTGGCAAGGTAAAGTTGACATTTGTTTACAAATAAAGCCATCACTTTTCAGCCTGAAAATGAGCTCATGCTGCTTCAGGGAAGAGAGAAGAGAGCACATATTTCTCAACCTGGAATGCTCTGCTTTCTTTTTTAAATCAACTTTATTGAGGTAAAAATTATATGGAGAAAAAAGCATCCATTTTAAGTGTACAGTTCAATTAATCTTGACAAATGTATACGCCTGAGTAGTTTTAGCTCCTCTCAAGAAATGAATCATAATATCATCCTGGAAAGTGCCCTCCTACCCCTTTGAAGTCAAATTCCCACCGTAACTCCCATCTTTGAACAACCGCTACTCTCTTTCTATTATTACAAAATAATTTATTCTGTTTTAGAACTCCTTTATATATATGAAATCATACAGCATTTACTTTGTTTAATTTGGAGTCTGGAGATTCATTTATGTTATTGTGTATATCAGTAATTTATTTTTTTTTTGCTTACTAATCTGTATTTCTTTATAGAATATGACATAATTTATCAATTTTATATTGATAGACATTTGAGTTGTTTCCAGGTTTTAGTTATTATAAATAAGACTGCTATGAACAAATGAACAAATGCAAGTCTTTTTGTCGTTGTACACAAAATATCCAGATATAAAATTGCTGAAGTCATAGGGTAGATGTGTAATTAGCTTGATTAAAAAAATTGAAAAAAAAAACTTTTCTCCTAAGAGGTTGTACCATTTTGCATAGTTCAAAGAGGTTGTACCACTCTTATCTACAATGTACAAGAGTTCTAGTTGCTTCACATCTTCACTTTGTTGATGAAAAAACCAGACTCCAAAATATTTTAAAGAGGTTTGAGTCAATATGAATGACTATGTCCCGAGGAACACAGTCTGAAGAGATCCTGAGAAAGTGCATCTGCAGAAGTTAGATTACAGTTTGGCTTTATACATTTTAGGGAGGGAGGAGTTACAGGGAAAGTCATAAATCAATACATGGAAGGTATATGTTGGTTTTGCCCCAAAAGGTGGGATATCTTGAAGCAATGGCCTGCAGGTTATAGGTGGATTAAGAAATTATTTAATTTGCAGTTGGTTAAAGGAGTAAAGCTTTGTCTAAAAATTTGGAGTCAGCAGAAAGGAATGTTTTAAGATAAGTAATTCTGTTAACCAATACACTGGGTCAGAGTGACCTGTAGGGGTATGTGACTTAATCATTGTCTGGCATGGCCTTAGGTCCTGTTTATAATTTGGTATTTTATTGTCACAAAGAGTCCATTTAGTCTTATGATCTCCATTTTTACTAATTTTATTAATGCTAGTCAATTGTGCCTAAACTCCAAAACCCATCATGGCTGGGAATTCAGGTTTTATGGTTTTTCTGGGGTCCCCTTGGCCAAGAGCGTGTCTGTTCAGTCAGTGGGGGGCTTAAGATTTTATATTTACTTTACAACTTGATAGTGTCACTCTTTTGTAGGGGTTGAGAGAAAGCTTTCTCTCTGCCCACTGAAGATTCACTGAAAATGAACTGACAAAAGGCAGATTAATAGGAGAAAAAGGCATACACATTTATTAACATGCCTAAACACAGAAGCGATACACAAAATATGAGACTTACAGAGGGGCCCTATGGTTGAGGCTTAAATACTGTCTTTATATGGGAGAGATGTATGGACTCAGGAGACAGACATTATTTTGTACATGATTCTATTTGGAAGCTAGATGGACAAGGTTAGGGGCAGAATTACATAGGAACAAAGATTGTCTTTTTATGCAGATAAAGCCCCCCTCCCCTCTAGGAAATCTCTTAGAGCTGCCCTCAGAAAGACAGATGAAACATTTATCTCAGTGTGATGATGACCCCCAGTTTCTTCTCTTCTCTGTGGTTGACCTTTCCTGGTTATTTGATGAGATTCCTAGAGAGGTAGTCTTAATACATAATGCATTTCTTTTTGGAAATAAGCTTTCTTAGATAAGGAAATTTCAGAGAGAGTCTCCCCCAGTGCTTCTGGAAAGAGGATCAGAGAGACAGAAAGGCAAGGGAAGGTCAGAGAGAGCCCTTGGTTCTGAGGCTTATTTCTGAGACCTTTCCACTTTCAAAGTGCTTAGCGTCCTAAAGAGCCATATTTTGGGGAATTATTTTCTGTACCCCAACACTTTTTATTTTTAGCCATTCTGGTAAGCATACATTTTTATCTCATTTTAGTTTTAATTTATATTTATTTGAAGGCTGAAGATGTTGAGCTTCTTTTCATGTGCTCATTGGTCATACATATATCTTCTTTTATAAAGTGTTCAAAAGTCTTGTGCAATCCCCACCCCACTTTTATTAGGTTGTTTATCTTCTTAATATTGAGTTGTAAGAGTTCTTTATATATTTTGAATGTCAGTACTTAGTCAGATATATGCATTATGAATATTTTCTAATGTTCAAAATATACCAATAAGAAAATAAAAATGCAAGTCTTTTATTGGAAGAAAATGTGGTTTCCAGCTTCATCCATGTCCCTGCAAAGGACATGAACTCATCCTTTTTTATGGCTGCATAGTATTCCATGGTGTATATGTGCCACATTTTCTTTATCCAGTCTATCATTGATGGACATTTGGGTTGGTTCCAAGTCTTTGCTATTGTAAATAGTGCTGTAGTTAACATACGTGTGCATGTGTCTTTATAGTAGAATGATTTATAATCCTTTGGGTATATATCCAGTAATGGGAATGCTGGGTCAAATGGTATTTCTGATTCTAGATCCTTGAGGGGGTCTTTGCTATTTTTTTTTTTTTTAATTTCTGTCTGTTTTTAGATATTTGACTATGATGTGCCTGAGTGTGGTTTTCTTTATACTTAGCCTACTGGAGTTTGCTGAGCTCCTGGATATATAGGTTATTGTTATTCACCAAATTTAAGACATTTTGAGCATTATTTTTCAAATAACTTTCTGCCTAATTCTCTCTCTCCTTGCCTCTGGGGGTCCAATTACATGCATGTTTGAGAGCTTTGCATTATCTCACAGGTCATTGAGGCTCTTAATTATTTTCAAATCTTTTTCTTTGTTTTTCAGATTGGGTAATTTGTATAAATTTGTATTGAAATTCACTGACCCCTTTTTCTTCTAACTCCAGTTTGCTGTCAGGCTCTTCCAATAAGTAGTTTTATTTCAGATATTTAACTTTTAATTTATAGATTTTTAAATTAGTTTCTTCTTTATTGTTTTTATTTTTCTGCTGAGATTTTTCTATTTATTCTCTTATTAAAATCATATTTTTCTTTATATGTTTGAATATAATTTAACAGCTGCTTAAAAACCCTTATCTGTTAATCCCAAAATCAGAGTATACAGAGATATTTTAATATTGATTGCTTTTTTTCTTGATTTAGGGTAACATTTCCTTCTTTGCATATTAAGCTATTTGTGTTGCTAGATATTTTGGATAATACATTGTAAGAAATCAATTTTGCATATTCTCTTCCTTTAAATAATGTTTCATTTTGTTGTAGCAGTCAGTTAATTTGCTGGCAGTTCTACTTGGTTTTGTGGAGGCTTGGTTATAGGCTTTCTTAGGGTGTGTTTATAGAGTAGCTGTAACCCTACAGCATGGACCCTTTTTTAATGCATGGCCTTTCTGTTGCCTTAGCTGAATGCTAGGAATTGGATTGGGGTCTTGTCACTCTGGCTACAGTGCCACTCTGATATTTTTTAGCACTGTGCAACCTCTAGAATCTCTGTTCAACTCTCAAATCCATGACAATTTCTTGTTGCTAGGTCTCACACAGTCGTGCCCCACACATCTATATCCTAAACCTTGGCCAGTGACTTATGGGAAACTCAAACAGAGATACCTGTGAACCCTTCTGCATAGCTCCCTCCTCTCCAATATCCTACCGTGAACTTTAATATTTATCTTCTCAGCTCAGCAGGACTGTCTTGGTCTGTTTGAGTTCTACTTTCTTATGTCTTTCTCAAGAAATTTTTCCAAGTCATAGAACTGACATGAATATAGGGCTCACTTTGTATGTTTCTTTTTTCTTGGTGACCAAAGTCCTGTACTACCTATTGTTCAGTATCTTAAAACATTTTTTTTTACATCATGTCCAACTTTGTGGCTTTTCTAATAGTGGGAGAGCATGTTTGGCATTAGCTACTTCATCATAAGCAGAGGCAGAAATCTCCCTGCATTTTTATGCTTTAGCAAATTTGTTTCCAATTATTGTTAGTAGTAGTAGTAGTAGTAGTAGTAGTCACCCATTTAACAAATTAGGAGATGTTACATGAATGAGCTAGGATTCAAACCTAGGCCTTCCAGTTCTAAACCCCTGTGTTTTCCATTACATTGTGCTGTCTTTCCATTTAAGTCATTTTCTAGTTTTAATTTAATAGGTGCTGAAGATCTACCATTATACCCCAATTTCTTGCCCTATGATCTAGCACAAAAATCTAAAGATTTCAGTGTCTTAATATACTTTTAAAAATGTAAATATCCATAAATGTAGTTACAAATAATATAGCAGTGTCAGAAACATTTGAACCAGAGTGACTCCATTTTGAGTGAGGGCTAGGAAAATGAGGCTGGGACTTGCTGGGCTGCATTCCCAGAAATTTAGGTATTCCTATCTTCTTGATGTTTATGGTTAAGGGAACAGATTGATAATGTTTACTAAACAGACCCAGACTTGGGAATGTCCAGATATCCCAATATCTCAAGAAGAAAGGCATTCCTAATTTTGCTTTAAAGATACTAATAATGATTCTTGCAAAATATAATAATTAAGAAAATTAATCCTTTATCACTTGTACCTAGGGTGGACGCATTCCTCCTCTTACTTTCAGGAATGCCCACACTCTGTATGGAGTAGATGTTCTTTCACTACTTTACTTTCTTAATAATCTTGCTTTTGTTTTGCACTGTGGACTCGCCCTGAATTCTTTCTTGCATGAGACCCTGTAACATCTTTCTGGTGAACCACGGAAGGGACGATACTGAAGAGACCCCCAACTGAAAGGAAAATCATCTGTGTGCACCAGTTGGCTGAATTTGGGGCACTATTATTCAATATGTAGATGATCTGTTGATTGCTAGCCCAACCAGAAGAGACTCAGATGAAAATACCAACAGGTTTCTAAATTTTCTGGTAGCTAATGGGTATAGTGTCTCATGGCATAAAGCCCAGTTTTCAACTCAAGAGGGTAAATACTTAGGATTTGTCCTAACCCTTGGCACCTGAGCAGTAGTGCCAGAATAAAGTGAAGCTATCTTAAGTATTCCACAACCCCAAACTAGAA
Organism: Homo sapiens; assembly: GCF_000001405.40. Taxonomy (NCBI): domain Eukaryota; kingdom Metazoa; phylum Chordata; class Mammalia; order Primates; family Hominidae; genus Homo; species Homo sapiens. The sequence continues at coordinate 116,289,853 of NC_000023.11, forward strand.
AGCAGCTGTGGGTTTTCCTAGGGATGGCAGGATTCTGCCATTTATGGTTGCCTGGATTTGGACATATAGCCAAGCCTTTATATGAGGCTCTGAAAGGAGCAGATGTAGATCCTTTTGAATGGGATAGTAACTGTAAACAAGGTTTTAATGCTCTCAAGGAGAAATTGGGATCAGCTCCAGCCCTACGAATTCCTAATCTTGATAAGCCACTTTTCCTTTATGTGGCTGAAAAACAAGGAACCACCCTAGGTGTCCTTGTATAGGAGATGGGAGATATTCTCTAACAGTGGCATATTTTTCTAAGCAATTAGACCATGTAACTTCAGGATGGCCTGGATGCCTCAGGGCAGTGGCAGCAACTGCTCATTTAGTAGATGAAACCAATAAACTGGTTTTAGGAAAATATCTGGAGGTTTTAACCCCACACCAAGTACAAGGAATCCTAGAAGCCAAAGGACACCAGTGGATGACAGGGGGATGCTTATTGAAATATCAGGCTTTGTTGCTAGACACTCCTGATGTAACTCTTAAAGTATGCCAGACTTTGAATTCAGCTACCTATTTACCTGAACCCACAGGCACCCTACCCTAGATCATTCTTGTATACAAGTTATGGAGCAAGTTTACTCCAGCTGGCTGCATTTAAAGGATGAGCCTCTATGTAATCCTGAGGTAGAATGATTTACAGATGGAAGTAGCTTTGTGCACCAGGGAAACAGGAAACCTGGATATGAGTCAACACGAGGTAATTGAATCTCAGGCCTTACCAGCTTCTACCTCAGCTCAAAAGACAGAATTAATAGCTCTTATTAGAGCCCTGAAATTGGGAAAGGACTTAAGAATCAACATTTACAATGATTCTAAGTATGCCTTTCTGGTACTTAATGCTCATGCTGCTGATCTGGAAGGAATGAAAACTCCTAACTGCTAAGGGTTCCCCTATAAAACATCACTTAGAAATTCTGAATCTATTAGATGCTGTTTTGCTTCCCAAGGAAGTAGCTGTAATCCATTGCAGAGGGCATCAAAAAGGAGACTCTACTGTAGCTAAGGGAAACTCCTTTGCAGATGCAGCAGCTAAGGCAGCAGCATTAAAGGAGCCATTTGGACTTGTTGGCATGTTAGTGCCTTCAGCCATAGTAATGACAGAACCAAGATATACTACAAAGGAACAAGAATGGGCTAAAGGTCAGGGTTTAATTTGAGATTCTTCTGGCTGGCTTATCAATGACAACAAACTGTTGATACCTGGTATTAATCAGTGGAAAATAGTTAAGCATTTATATGACCCTACTCATTTAGGAAGAGATTTCCTGTTTCAATTGATGTCTTGGCTTTTTATTAAAAAAGGCTTACTTAAAACAGTAAAGCAGGTAACTTAGGCCTGTGAACTAAGTGCCCAGAATAACCCAAATAACCAATCTTTGCCTCCTCCTTTAGTAAGGCCTGTTCAGCATTGGGGAACATACCCTAGTGAAGATTGGCAAATAGATTATACTCAGATGCCCCCATGTAAATGGTTTAAATATTTGCTAACACTTGTTGACACCTTTACTGGTTGGAACGAGGCTTTTCACACCGGGTCTGAAAAGGCAATTGAGGTTTCTAAACTCCTATTAAAGGAAATAATTCCTAAATTTGGGCTGCTTAAGAGCTTACAGAGCAATAATGGTCCATCTTTTATAGTGAAAATTACCCAAAACATATCTTCAGCCCTAGAAATTCAGTACTGCCTTCACTTGGCATGGAGGCCACAGTCTTCAGTGAAAGTAGAAAGGCTAATTAAACTCTTAAAAGGACTCTTGCTAAACTATGCCAAGGAACATCAGGAGCTTGGCTATCTTTATTGCCTGTAGCCTTGTTACGGGTTTGAGTGGCTCCTAAGGGAAATCTGCAGCTCAGCCCTTTTGAAATAATGTATGGAAAGCCTTTCGTAACTACAGACCTCCTAATAGGTATAGATACTTTCAAGCTACAGAATTATGTAATCAACTTAGGACAAGTGCAAAAGGTGCCCTTGAGTATGGAAATCAAAGACTTCCTTCCACTACTAAGGAAGAGACTCTTGTTACAACCCTGCTGGGGGATTGAGTCCTATTAAAAACTTGGAAGGAAGGATCCCCAGCAGATCAACTTTCCCCAAAATGGAAGGGGCCCTATCAAGTTCTCCTTAGTACCCCAGCTGTAAACTACTAGAAATAAACAGCTGGGTCCACTTATCTCAAATTAAACCTGTCTCTTATGAAGTCCCACAGGCTGACAAAACACCAGAGACTGATCCCATTTATTCCTGTGAGCCAACCAGTGACCTCCAACTCCTGTTTAGAAGAATCGAAAGGGATGCGTAACACAAAGATATGGATTGGCATTCTACTTTTGGGTATAAGTTGGAATCATGCAAAGAGTAACTTATTTACTGAGTGGGCAAAGACTTTAGCCTCTCTACATAGTCAGACAAACTGTTGGGTGTGTGGAGAATTGCCACTTTCCTCCACTTCCGGGTTGCCCTGGCATATTCAACAAGCCAACCTAAGTTTATGGGGATTTTATTATGATTGGTAAACTGAACATTATCAACATAGTCCCTGTTTTCCCATGTATCATAGCCATACAGAACTTAGCCCTTCCCCTTCTACAAAGAGACAAGATGGGACCTTTTTAATCTAATCAGAAAACAGCTAAACTCTACCTCAGCCTTAGGTTATGCTATACGTGATGAACTTGGGTGAATGACAGCTGTTCAAGTGTGGGTATCAGGCAAAGTGTCTCCATGTTTTAAAAGACACAATAATAGTCACCCTCAGACTGAAACCCATGATATGGGATGGCTGCCACTTCAACAATGAAACCAGAATCTTCTTTGTATGGACCAGATGTAGATTGGATGGCAAGATAATTTTCCAAAAATAAGTGGCTACCCTTCTCCTTGGGGATGGTTATGGGCTTGTGGAACTCATGGCTGGTCATACTTACCTTGTAACTAGACTGGAAGGTGTATGTGAAGTCACCCTTATCTCCCAGGATGTATCCTCACTAAATTGGATGCTCTCCCATCTAACTGGGAAATTATAAAAGCTCACCATAGGCAACAAAAATGGGCATCTTGGTGGTTCTATCTGATGGCTATATTTTCCCCACAGGCAGCTACAATCAGTATTGAGTTACAAGTTGAAGCTTTGCCCAAGCACATGGCTCCAGCTTTCAATAATACATGCCATGTCCTTACCCTCCTAATTGAGGAAACTTATCAGATTAGGCAGGTAGTCTTACGAAACCATATGGCTTTGGACATTTTAATGGCAGCCCAAGGGAATACTTGTGCTTTGATCAAAATTAAATGTGTGTATGTTCCAGACTATTCACATAATATTACCCAGCCTATCAAAGCTATAGACACTCATATCTCTGCTGCTGATGTGCTGTCAGTCGAACCTATATTGGCTTGGTTCCAATGACTGCCCAGTTCTTGGAAAACCTTCCTGTTTAGTTTACTTAAAATAACTTTACTTATTTTGCTTTGCTGTTGTGGAGAACATTGTGGTTGTACTCTTCTTATAGGAATGCAAGACAAGCTTACTCAACGTTTTCTTAAATTGGACATTTGTTAATCTTCCAGATATCACCTTTTGTCGGAACGTATAAATGACCTTCACCATACCAATGCTTTCTGACTGAGCCCCTCTCTACCCTGAATGCAAAAGACCAATCATTAGGCAGGAATATCATTGCTTCTATTCAGCCTGAAGAAGTTACAGAAGACGGATCTCTGTCCTTCTGCAACCCTTAGGATTAAGAGTCCTCTTGTAAAGGGAGGGAAGAAATATGTAGGAGGCATTCGAACCAGAGTGAGGGTTAGGAAAATGAGGCTGGGCACTTGGCGGCCTGCAGTCCCAGAAAGTTAAGTATTCCTAGCCTCTTAATGTTTACAGTTAACAGAACAGATTTATAATGTTTATTAAATAGACCCAGGCTTGGGAGTGTCCAGATATCCCAGTATCTTGAGAACAAATGCATTCCTAATTTTGCTTTAAAAATAATAATATCGATTCTTGTAAAATATACTAATTAAGAAAATTAATCATTTATCACAAAACCTTGTAGCAGAGCACATCTCCACATAATTTTTTTATCCTATATATGTATATATGTGTATATATCATATATATGTATATATATGTGTATATATCATATATATGTATATATGTGTATATATCATATATATGTATATATATGTGTATATATCATATATATGTATATATATGTGTATATATCATATATATGTATATATATGTGTATATATCATATATATGTATATATATGTGTATATATCATATATATGTATATACGTGTATATATCATATATATGTATATATATGTGTATATATCATATATATGATATATATGTGTATATATCATATATATGTATATATATGTGTATATATCATATATATGTATATATATATGCACTGTAACTAGGGTGGACACAATCCTCCTCTTACTTTTTGGAATGCCCCATTCTGTCTATTGAGTAGCTGTTCTTTTAGCACTTTACTTTCTTAATAAACTTGCTTTTGCTTTGCACTGTGGACTCGCCCTGAATTCTTTCTTGCACGAGATCCAAGAACCCTCTCTTGTGGCTGGATCGGGACCCCTTTCCTGTAACAGTAGCAATCAGCTATTTTACATAGACTACAAAAGACTTTAACAATTATTAATAACAAGTCTTTCATTTTGAGGAATGTAAGGCAGAAAATAAAACAAATTATCTGCTCCAAGATCAAGCATCTAGTAAACAGAAGAACCAATACTTGAATCTCTCTATTTGATATTGTTACCACGATACTCGGATGTCTCTATGACATCTTAGGGTATTCTCTTAGAGAATAGAGCCTAGAACAGCTGCCTAGGAAAAGGTATAGCATTTCACAGTCATAGTTGCTGCATATCTTTGAAAAGACAATGATGATATCAGCAAAGTGGAGTCATCTCCTACTCTGGTAATTCTCTGAAAAGTCTGTTTCCAGTTCAGAGAATAGATGGGCCTCAGTAATAAACTTTGTCCGAATTACAGAGATGTGAAGAAAAGGGAACCCTTATACACTATTGGTGGGAATGTAAATTAGTACAACCCCTATGGAGAACAGTTTGGCGTTTCCTCAGAAAACTAAAAATAGGGCTACCGTATGATCCAGCAATCCCCACTGCTGGGCATATACCCAAAGAAAGGAAATCAGTATATCAAAGAGATATCTGCACTCCCGTGTTTATTGCAACACTGTTCACAATAGCCAAGATTTGGACGCAACTTTAGTGTCCACAGACAGATGAATGGATAAAGAAAGTGTGGCACATGTACACAATCAGCCATAAAAAAATGAGATCTTGTCATTTGCAACAACATGGATGATACTGGAGGTCATTATGTTAAATGAAATAAGGCAGGCAACAGAAAAATATTGCCTTTTCCCACTTATTTGTGGGAGGTAAAAATTAAAACAATGGAACTCATGGACATATAGAACGGAAGGATGGTTACCAGAGGCTGGGAAGGCTAGTGCAGAGGGTGAGAAAGTAGGGATGGTTAATGGATACAAAAAATAGTTAAAATTGAATAAGATCTAGTATGTGATAGCAAAACAGGGTGACTACAGTCAAAAATAATTTAATTGTACATTTTTAAATAACTAAAAGATTATAATTTGATTTTTTGTAAAACAAAAGATAAATGCCTGAGGTGATAGATACTCCATTTACTCTGATGTGGTTATTATGCATTCTATGCTGATATCAAAATATCTCATATACCCCATAAATACATATACCTACTATGTACCCATGAAAATTAAAAATTTTAAACATAGAATATGAGAAGTGAGCCATACCTCCTTCCAGGAAGTAATTCCTTTTCAGCACAGTGGTGACATAGCAGTGAAATCAGGTGTTGAAATGTACATGTGCTCGAAGGATTTTTAAGTGGAACAAATCCACTCTGTTTTCACATAAGTACCACATGCTAACCAATTGTGCCACTGGAGCTCTGGAAAGCCACTCTACCTTTACATTTCAATTGTGTTAGCCACAGCTAGTATTATTTCAAAGCCTTCCTGAAAATCTGCTAAATGATCTGTGAAAACTGTTGTTGAAAAGATGAAGTTGACTTCATTGGAGATTTTTTTTCCACTTAGTTTTTAGCCATTCAGATATCAGAGTCAGACAGGTAAATACTTCATGGACCCTCTTACCCCTAATTTTAGTTGTTTCCCATTGTTTTATTGACATATGTCTCAAAGCCTGCTGTAATCTCTCTATGTTCTAGAATATTTTCATTTATTTTCTGTCTCCTAGTCAGAGAAAGGAAATCAGTATTTTCATTCACCTGAGTTTGACATTGAGCACCTGCCAAAATTACTTTATCCCTTCTTACTTTTGGGTGTGGTTGACTTATACAAAGTAGACATCCAGACAAATTTTCCACCTCAAATATCAAACCCAAAGAAAAAGTTGTAAAGTTTCTTTCCATTTTGGGTTTTTGTAAGTAATCAAGACATGGGATTTTTATCAACTTGACAAGCTCTGGTTAATTATGTCTCATTTTCCAAGACCAGATTCATACAAATAATCTAATGAAAGGCTGCCTGATATGCCGTGGCTAGCATTTGGATCCTGTAATGTCAGTACCAAAGTGGAACTTTGTAATCTTTTAGACAAAAATGAGTTTGAGAAATGCCCATTTGCATCATTTTACTATTCAAACTTCAAATAGAGAAGAAGAATACATGTGAAGTGGCCAAAGATAGAATTATCAACTATAATAGTGGGAATAATAATCAGTAATAATAGCTGACATTTATTATGTACCATACAGGATTCTTGGCACTTTACATGCATTCATTATTTTAATTCTTACAACAACCCTATGAGGTTGATGCTATTCTTCCATTTCGCTGATGAAGAAATTCTGTCTCAGAGTGGTTAAGTAACTTGCACAAGGTTATTGGACTGAATATGTTGCTATGCCCATATTGCACCTTGGCAGCCTGCCTCCAGAACCATACTTCTAACCATTAAGTAGCATTAATAAAGCATCATCATTGAATATTTGTGCCCATATTCAAATTCTGACTTGCATTTTAAGTCACTATGCAGATGTGGTGTAGAAAGAAGTTGTAGCAAGACTGGATGGCTGATGACCTAGATTCTGGCCCCAGTTTTTCTATTAGCTAGTCTTATACCTAATCATACAAGAAGTCAGTTTCCTCACTTGCAAATTCAACACATATTGAGCACTTAGTATGTGCCAGGCACTGTACTTGGTGTTACAGAAACAGCGATTAACAAGATAGACACCTATTATGGCAACTGAGAATGTCAAACTAGACAATCCCTAAGGTCCCTTCTGGAACTAACTATAATCAAGGCCACCAGTATTCTAGATGCATTCTGTTCCATAAAGGTGCTGACTAAATAGCCAGTCAATAAAATGAAAACAATGTTTCAAGCCTGGACACAAAACTGACTAAAAACTGAACTGCTTTGTAAGCACAAAACTTTCTATGTCATCTCCTAGTTGTTAATGCAAATAATTATCTCTAGGGCAAGACTGTTAGAATGTATCTTCCCTGCTCAGTAAAGGCCCTGGAACAACAACAACAAAAGCCTTAATAGTATTTGTGCCCTCTTCCTTTCTCCTTACCTTCTGGCTTGGCAAACAGTTGCCTTTACTTACAGGGATTTGTAGCTTTAAAGAATAGTGTGCAATCATACCTGGAAAGTAGCATTTAGTAACAACAACAACAACAAAAAACATGAGATAAATGGGCAAACAGGAATCATGTTGCTGAAAACCCACACCCATTGGCTTTCAACAGAGGATCCAAGGCTAGGACTCAACTGTTCCCACCTTTATTCCAGCCAAACTTTTCAGTAGAAGCTGGATATATGTGGTCTAGAACCTTACTTCCCCTTTTTTCTTGGGAATGAGGTTGTCCACTATAATCCAATACCATTCTCTGCTCCTCCAGCCCATAAGATTTAGGGTAGGTCCCCCTCATGAGAATATTGTATGTGATGTCCTACAGTTACATTGATATAACTAAAATAAAATCTATGTCTGGAAGCGGCCTAAGATGGAGTTGAAGATGCAGGGAAGGGCCAGACCATGGTTGACCATGTCCTACCACATGTTATGTACATGAAAGAAAGTACCAGACTCACTGAAAATTCTGATTTATTCAGTTTTGTCATCAATTTGCATAAAAGAATCAGAATGCCATTTTTAAATTTCATCTCTGTATCCCTATTCATATAATCATACAATGATATCACCTATTCACATCCTCTCATTTTACAGATGAGGAAACTAAGACCATAAAAAGTGATGTGCTCACGATCACTCTGCTTGTTAGAATAAAAGAGGATATTGCTGTTTCTTAAAACAGATGAGTCTTAATTCTATTAAGAGTATAATCCCAGGTTTAGGTTTAATTTGAGTTTTATGAATACTTATTCAGACTTCACTGTTGTTGGTATGAGGAGAATGCATCTACTATCAGTGTTCCACACTATAGATAACATCCTGCTTTGATGGGGAGGAATAACAGAGAAGACTGATGATTCCTAAAACTGGGTGTAGTCACTGAAAGAGAGCAACTATTTTTAGAAGAAAAGACACTGTAAGTATTCTGCATAGAATGAGATATAATGTTGTGCATCTCCTAGCCCCTGATCTATGGTAAATAGCAAAATGTCCCAGCTGCCAGCCTGAGGTATGTTTACTCATGCTGCAGCTACCAGAAGATTCTGCCAATAACTGACTTCTCTCCTCACTACTGAATTATGAGCAATATTATATCCTGGCTAGTTGGGATGAGTGCAGCAAAAATATTTTGCTGCAAGTAAAATAAGGGCATTTGAGGTGCCAGCTTTATGAAAGATGAAATACACAGCAAGAGTAGTCAACCTTTAGCTATCCTTGGATACGTCAGGTAATGTGAATGACCTAATTCCAACCTATTTACAGTCAATATCCTTCTCTGCTTTACTGAGGGAGAAGTTCAATTTTTCTATTATTCATTTGCAACTTGGACTAGAACTCTATTCCCCTTTCAGCTACACTGGACTGAGTAAATGAAAACGCCTGAAAATCCTCAAGCCCCTGAGCAGTAGCATTCTCCAGACCCATATGACCCTTCAAGCTTCTCTGCTAACTATTGCTAAGCTACCAATATGCTATTTTTGCCATATTCTCTGTTCCACTTCTCATTATCTACTTCTCCCATTGTTTGGGTTCCAAGCATTTCTTTTCATCTTTTGTTGAGCCGTATCAGCTAAATCTAAGTATGCAATTTTCTTCTTGTCTCGCTACTTTTACACACTAATGAATGTAGCCATATTCCTTAAATCATTTCCTCAGAAGCTGACTTTTTTTTTTCTCCAGAAGATCCAGCAAGAAAATAGATAAGAGAGAGTTTCTTTCACATGCATTAAATAACTCAATACTGAGGAGGTGCCGAGTGCAGTTAGATAGTAATACAGATTGAACTGTGCCAATTTCTTTTTGCCCAGGTTTTTCTGGGAGCTTTCTGATGCGCTGGAACTTTTCTGAACTTGGCCTTAAGATTTGAATTAACCTTATTCACAGACCTTGAAGACAAGACAGAGCATTATAAAATATCAGCTGAAGGCAATTTACTTCAATAGTTCTGTTTGGTTCCATTCAATTTACTTACTTTGGAGTCGGATAACACTAAACTGAAGAGCACCAGTGTGCATAGGACATTATCACGGCTTCTTCCTCATCATATCTCAATAGGGTAAACAGCAATTTACTAGCTTTGCTTTTGGCTTTAGTGGAAGCAGATTTTGATTCGGAGCAATCAGAAAGGCAGACAACTGAGAGACCATCTGTGTGCTTAGCACAACAGCACCAAAATTCAGATGGTGGATGCAGATCTGAACATTACTAGAAGAGCTGTTTAATTTTTTTAAAGTTAGTCAAGTATTTGAATATTCCATCTATCTCTGCTGGCAATATTCAGACTGAAGCCAGGTTATACTTTGAACATAGTGGCTCCTCAGAAAAGCCCAAAGAGGTTGCCTTGGTCAATACTGAATGCAAATGTGGCTCCAGCATCACGGAATTAGGAGAATCATTCATGTATTTATATCATGGAGACAGAGCATGCAAAGCTAATATGGTGGCAGGAAATAAGATGATCTCTAGCATTATTCATTTATTTAAGAAATAACATTTTTTATTCTGTACCTTGTGGAAATTCTACAAAATTTTAAAAAGTATAAAAAAGTAGAAGCACCCAATATTCAAAACCTCAGTAAATAGCCACAAATAATATTTGGAAATACCTCCTTCTTTTTCTATATATTTTATACCTAAATGATATTACATTAGAAGTAGAAGTTTTAATTTTTTTTATTTTTCATTTTTGTGTTTGAACAGCCGGTGTATATATGTATAGGGTACATGAGATGTTTTCATACAGGCAGGCAAAGTGTAATAATCACATCATGGAAGATGGGGTCTCCATCCCCTCAAGTATTTATCCTTTGTGTTACAGACAACCCAATTATACTCTTTCAGTTATTTAAAAATGTACAGCCAAATTGTTATTGACTATAGTCACCCTGTTGTGCTACAAATACTAGGTCTTATTCTTTATTTTTGTACCCATAAATCATATCCACATACCCACTACTCCCCAAATATCCTTCCCAATTTCTGGTCACTATCCTTCTACTCTCTATCTCCAAGAATTTAATTGTTTTGATTTTCAGATCCCACAAATCAGTGAGAACATCAGTTTTGTCTTTCTGTGCCTGCCTTATTTCACTTAACACAGTGACTTCCAGTTCCATCCATGTTGTTGCAAATGACAGAATCTCATCTTTTTTTTATGGCTGACTAGTTCTCTGTTGTAGATAAGTACAATATTTTCTTTATTCATTCACTTGTTGATGGGCACTTAGAGTCCTTCCAAATCTTGGTTATTGTGAACAGTACTGCAACAAATATGGCAGTGCAGATATCTCTTCAATATACTGATTTCTTCTCTTTTGGGTATATACCCAGCACTGAGATTGCTGGATCATATGGTAGCTCAACTTTTAGTTTTTTGAGGAACCTCCAAACTGTTCTCCATAGTGATTGTACCAATTTACATTCCCACCAACAGTGTAAAAAGGTGCGTTATTATCCACTTCCTCGCCAGTGTTTATTATTGCCTGTCTTTTGGATGTAAGCCATTTTAACTGGGATGAGATGATATCTCATTGTAGTTTTGATTTACATTTCTCTAATGATAAATGATTTTGAGAACATTTTCATATGACTGTTTTTCATTTGTATGTCTTCTTTTGAGAAATGTCTATTGACATCTTTTTTTCCATTTTTAGGTTGGATTATTAGATTGTTTCCTATAGAGTTGTTTGAACTCCTTATATTCTGGTTATTAATTACTTATCAGATGTGTAGTTTTCTAATATTTTCTCCCATTCCGTGGGTTGTATCTTCAGTTTCTTGATTGTTTCCTTTGTTGTGCAGAAGCTTTTTAACTTGACGTGATCCCATTTGTCTATTTTTGCTTCAGTTGCCTTGATTGTGAAGTATTACTCAAGAAATCTTTGCCCAGTACAATGTCCAGGAGATTTTCTCCCAAAGTTTTAACTACTTTCATACTTTGAGTTCTTAAAGTTTTCCAATTTCATTCTTTTGCATATGGATATCCAGTTTTCCCTGTACCATTTATTGGAAAAGACTGTCCTTGTCCCTGTGTATGTCCTTGGCATCTTGGTCGACAAAGTTCGTTGTAGATGTGTGGATTTGTTTCTTGGTTCTCTATTCTGTTTTATTGGTCAATGTGTCTGTTTTCATGCCAGCACCACATCATTTGGTTACTATAACTCTGTAGTATATTTTGAAGTCAGGTAATGTGATTCTTCCAGTTTTGTTCTTTTTATTCAAGATAGCTTTGTGGTTCCATATAAATTTCCGGATTTTTAAAAATATTTCTCTGAAGAATTTTTATTGGTATTTGGATAGGGTTTCCATTGAACCTGTAGATTGCTTTGGGTTGTATGAATATTTTAACAATATTGATTCTTCCATTTCATGTACATGAAAATTTTTTATGTCCTCTTTGATTACTTTCATCAATGTTTGATAGTTTACATTATAACAATTTTTCACTTATTTGGTTAATTCCTAGGTATTTAGTTTTATGTGGGGCTATGGTAAATGGGATTACTTTGTAATTTCTTTTTCAACTGTTGGCATATAGAAATGCTACTGATTTTTGTACGTTGATTTTGTATCTTACAACTTTACTGTATTTGTTCATCAGTTCTAATTGTTGTTTTGTGACGTTTTCAGATTTTTTTTTTGAGATGGAGTCTCGCCCTGTTGCCCAGGCTGGAGTGCAATGGCGCGATCTCAGCTCACTGCAGCCTCCGCCTCCTGGGTTCAAGCGATTCTCCTGCCTCTGCCTTCCAAGTAGCTGGGACTACAGGCACATGCCACCACGCCTGGCTAATTTTTTGTATTTTTAGTAGAGACGGGGTTTCACTGTGTTGGCCAGGCTGGTTTTGAACTCCTGACTTCGTGATCCGCCTACCTCGGCCTCCCAAAGTGCTGGGATTACAGGCATGAGCCACCACGCCCCACCGTTTTTAGATTTTTACAAAAATAAGATTATATCACGTACAAACAAAGATAATTTGACTTCTTCCTTTGCAATTTTGATGCCCTTTCCTTCTTTCTGATTGTTCTAGTTTGGATTTCCAGTGCCATGATGAATAACAGTGATGAAAGTGGGTATCCTTATCATCTCCCAGATCTTAGGGGAAAGGATTTCAGCTTTTCCCCATTCAGTATTATATTAGCTGTAGATCTATTGTACATGAATTTTACTTTGTTGAGATGTTTCTTTTATATCCAGTGTATTGAGGGTTTATACTATGAAGAGATGCTGAATTTTATCAAATGCTTTTTCTGCAACAATTCAAATGATCATTTTTTTTTCTTTATTCTGTTGATATGATGTATCACATTGATTTATTTGCATATGTTGAACCATTTGTGTATCCCAGGGATAAATCCCACTTGGTCATGATGAATGATCTTTCTAATGTATTGTTGAATTCAGTTTGCTAGTATTTTCTTGTGGAATTTTGCATCAATATTAGTCAGAGATATTTGCCTATAGTTTTCTTTTTTTTTTTATGTGTCTTCTTCTGGTTTATTATCAGGGTAATATTGGCCTCATAGAATGAGTTTGGCAGTATTCTGTCTTCCTCTATTTTTCAGAGTGGTTTGAATAGGATTGGTATTAGTTCAAGTGTGTGGTAGAATTCAACAGTGAAGCCATTTGGTCCTGGGATTTTCCTTACTGGGAGACTTTTTATTATGGCTTCAATCCCAATACTTTTTATTGACCTTTTCAGGTTTTAGATTTCAGCATGGTTCAATCATAATAGGTTTTATGTGCCTAGGAATTTATTTATTTTCTCTAGATTTTCTAATTTATTGGCATATAGTTGCTCACAGTAGCCACTAATAATCCTTTGAATTTTAGAAGTATCAGTTGCACTGTCTCTTTTTCACCTTTAATTTTATGTATTTGGGTCTTCTCTCTTTTTCTGGCTAAAGGTTTGTCTATTTTGTATAACTTTTGAAAAAGCAACTTTTTATTTTTTAATCATTTGTTTTATTTTCTTTATTTCAATTTCTTTATCCTCTGATTTTGTCTTTATTATTTCTATCTACTGATTTAGGTTTGGTTTGCTTTTGTTTTTCTAGTTCTTTAAGATACATCATTAGGTTTCTTATTTGAAGTTTTCTTTTTTTATTTGGGCACTAGTGATAAACTTCCCTCTTACTACTTCTTTTGCCATATCTAATAGGTTTTGATATGTTAATGTTTCAATTATCAATTAGAACAATTTTGTTCTAAATTGCTTAATTAACTCATTGGTCATTTGGTAGCATATTGTTTCTTTTCCATGTGTTTGCATAGTTTCCATAATTCTCCTTGTTACTGATTTCTGGTTTCATTCTATTGTGGTCAGAGCAGATGCTTGATGTATTTTTTTTATTTTTTGAATATTTTAAGGCTTGTTTTGTCATTTAATGTACGGTCTGTCCTTGAGAATGATTCATGTACTGAGGAAAAGACTGTGTATTCCACAACCATTGGATGAAATTTTCTGTAAATATTTGTTAGGTACATTTAAACTATAGTGCAAATTATGTACAATGTTTCTTTGTTGATTTTCTGTCTGAAAGACCTGACCAATGCTGAAAGTAGAGTGGCAAAGTCTCAGTTATTATTGTATTGGCATTTATCTCTCTCTTTAGGTCTAATAATATTTGTTTTATATATCCGGGTGATCCAGTGTTGAGTGCATATATATTTAAAATTTTTAAATTTTCTTGCTGACTTGACTTTTTATTATATAGTGACCTTCTTTGTCTCATAGTTTTTGTCTTGAAATGTATTTTGTCTGACGTAGTTTATAGCTACTCCTGCTCTTTTTTGGTTTCCACTATCTTGGAATATTTTTTTCCATCCCTTGATTTTCAGTGTATTTGTGTCTTTATGGCTGAAGTGTGTTTCCTGTAGGGAACAGGTCATTAGGTCTTATTATTTTATCCATTCATCCAGTCTATGTCTTTTGATTGGAGACTTCAATACATTTACATTTAATGTAATGTAATGTAATGTAAGTAAGGACTTACTCCTAGCATTTTGTTATTCATTTTTCTGGCTCTTTTGTCATCTTCTCCTTCTTTCTTTCCTTAGGTCTTCCTTTTAGTGAAGGTGATTTTCTCTGGTGATATGATTCAGTTTCTTGCTTTTTATTATTTGTGTACCCGTTGTGTATTTTTTGCTTTGAGGCAAATTTGAGGTAACTTTGAGGTTGTAAATACTATTTATAACAAATTATTTTAGGTTGGTAACAACCTGGCACTGTTTGCATAAACAAACAAGCTAACAGAAAAGTAATATAAACTTTATGCCTTACATTTGTCCCCTTGTTTTAACATTTTGCTGTTTTTATTTATATTTTACTTTACTATGTCTTGAAAAGTTGCTATAGTTTTCTATTGTTTCATTATTTACTTTTCCTTCTTAAAATAAGCATGCTTTACAGTTACACTGTTATGATATTCTGTGTTTTTCTCTGTACTTACTGTTACCAGTGAGTTATGCCTGCAGATGACTGATTATTGCTCATTAAGGTCCTTTTCTTTCTATGTGGAGTACTCCCTTTAGCATTTACTGTAGGGAAAGTCTGGTGTTCATAAAATTCCCCAGCTTTTCTTTGTCTGGGAAAGCTTTTATTTCTCCTTCATGTTTGAAGGATATTTTTGCTGGATATTATATTCTAGAGCTAGAATAAAAGTTTTTTTTTTCCTTTGGTGTTTTAAATATGTCTTACCACTCTCTCCTGGTCTATATGGTTTACACTGAAAAGTCTGTTGTCAGATGTATTGGAGCTCCATTGTATGTTATTTGTTTCTTTTCCTGATTTTAGGATTCTTTCTTTACCTTGACCTTTGGAAATTTATTAAATATCTTGAGTTAGTCTTCTTTGGGTTAAAACTACTTGGTGGTTAATAACTTTTTCATACTTAGATATTGATATCTTTCTCCAGGTTTGGGAAGTTCTCTGTTATCATCCCTTTGAATAAACTTTCTACCCTTTCTCTTTTTCTACCTCCTCTTTAAGGCAAATAACTCTTATATTTGCCCTTTTGAGGTTATTTTCTAGATCCTGTTGGCAGGCTTCATTTTTTATATTTTTTTATTTGGTCTCCTCTGATTGCGTATTTTCAAATAGCCTATCTTCAAGCTTACTGAATCTTCTGCTTAACCAGCTCTGCTATTAAAAGACTCTGATGCATTCTTCAGCATGCCAATTGGATTTTTCAGCTCCAGAATTTCTACTTGATTCATTTTAATTATTTTATTCTCTTATTAAAATTTATGTGATACAATTCTGAATTCCTTCTCTGTGTTATCTTGAATTTCTTTGAGTTTCCTCAAAATAGCTATTTTGTATTCTCTGTCTGAACGTTCATGTATCTCTCTTTCTTCAGCATTGGTTCATGGTACCTTAGTTAGTTTATATTTTGGGATCATGTTTTCCTGTATGTTCTTCATACTCATAAATATTTTTCTTTGTCCAGACATAGAAAAGTCAGGTATTTATTGTAGTCTTTGGAGTCTGGGCTTGTTTTTACCCATCCCTCCTGGGATTACTTTCTACATACTCAAGAGGAATTGGGTGTTTTGATCTAAGCTGTATCTGCTTTAGGGGACACTCCAAGCCCAGTAACACTGTTGTTCTTGCTTACTCATAGAGGTATTGCCTCGATGATCTTCGACAGGCAGAGACTCTTGTTCTCTTCCTTTTCTCCCTCCAAAATGGAGTCTTTCTGTTTTGAGCCACCTGGAGCTGGGAGTGGAGTGACCCAAGCACCTCTTTGGCCACCACCACTAGGACTGTGTCAAGTCAGACCTGATGCCAATAGACAAATACCTGCTGTTATTATTCCCTGGATATGACTTATGTTTACTCAAGGCTCTGGAGTTTAAAATCAGCAAGTGCCAAAGCCAGCCTGGACTGAGTTCTTCCTTTCAGTGTGTCAAGTTCTCCCAGGCCTTTGTTGAGTGCACAGATGCCATCTGGGAGCCAGAGACTACTGTCAAAAACTTTAGAAGTATATCTGGTGCTCTGTTGTACTGCAGCTGAGCTGGTACACAAATCAGAAGACACAGTCCTTCATACTATTTCCTCCGCATGGAAACACAGGCAAAGAAACCTCACTCCACAGCCAACTCCCCGACCGGCCCACAGTGAGTACTGCTAGACTGCTGCTGATGTTCCCTGGAGGCCCTAGGGCTCAGCTTGTGGTGAAGGATGCTTGGCCTCGTACTCACCCTTAAGGGCAGTGGGCTCCCCTGTAGCCCAGGGAAGGTCCAGAAATGCCATCTCAGAGCCATGTCCTGGAATCAGGGATCCAAGGGACCCAGTTGGTGCTCTTCTCTCCTATGGCCGAGCTGGTACCTAAGGACCACGACAAAGTCTCCTTTATTTTCCTTCCACTTTTGTTTTTTTCAAGCAAAACGAGTATCGCCTCTCAACCACCACAGCTGGGAATATGCTGGGTCTCACCTGAAGCCAGCAAGTCTCAGAGTGTCACCCAACACCCTTGACATAGTACCTGGGTACCACTGCTGGTTATTCGGGGTCCAAGGACTCTTCGGTTAGCAGGTGATGCATCCTGCCAGAACTGGGTACTTCCCTTCAAGGAAGTGCATTCCCTTCTGGCCCTGGGTGTTTCTAGCAAGGTCATCAGGGAGCTAGGGACTGAAAAGTGGGCTGCACAATTCTGACAGGTGTCCTATCTTGCTGTGGCTGAGTGTTATTCGGTATGCAAGAAAAAGTCCTCCCCACTCTTTCCTCTCTTCTCCTCAAGTGGAAGGAAGGAGTCTCTTTTGGAGCTGTGAACTGTGTAGTTTGGGGTTAGTGGAGGGGTTATGCCAGCACTCCCTTAGCCATCCTGGCTGGAGTCTCGGTACGTCATGTGCCGTCTAGCCCACTGGCTCAGTTCAGCACTAGAACTTGCCTAGAAGTTGCAGTCTCTGTTGCCTAGACTGCCTTTCATGTTTATTTAGTGCCCCCAGAGCACTTTCGTCTTTGGTGCTGAGGTTTGCAATAACTCAAGTTTTGATCGCTGGGATAAAAAATCCTGTGGCTGGGGCTGGTTTAAATGCCCCCTCTGTGGTGTGCATCAGCTGAGGTTTGATCCATTTTTGCTTTCTGTTATGACAAAGCAGCACTAAGTTGAATGCCTCACAATTGCTGCACTTTCCCTCTTCCCAGTGCACAGCAACTCTCTCCCCACCACAATGCTGCTGCTGGGGTTTTGGGGAGAGGTGGCATCCATGATTCAAGATTCTTTCTGTTTTGAGCCACCTGGAACTGGAAGAGGAGTGACCCAAGCACCTCTATGGCCACCACCACTAGGATTGTGTCAGATCAGACCTGAAGCCAACAGACAAAAACCTGCTGTTATCATTCCCTGGATATGACTTATGTTCGCTCAAGGCTCTAGAACTTGAGCTGCACTCCCAGTTTTTCCTAACTCTTCAGTGCCTCTTTCAGTGATATGAAATTAAAATCAGGAACCCTGTGTGCTCACCTGGTTTTTTGGTTTGCATGAAGGTGCCTTATTGTGTAAATAGCTGTTAAATGAATGTCCTTTGTTGGGAGGATGATTGGTAGAGCCTTCTATTCCTCAGTCTTACTCTACCACCTACCTGGAAATATAATTTTATATGAAGACTTTAGAATTATTACCTACTACTAATTTACCTATGTTGTATATTTCTTTTTAATAATATTTTAATGACTGCATAATGACTTATTTCCTTATTGTTTTATATGTTTATCTTTTCCCCAACAGTTTGCTTTCATGAAAAATTTAATATCATTATTGTGCATAAAAATTTTTCTGGATTTTAAATTATTTTTCTCTCAGCATAGATTCCTAGAACTAGCTCTGCCATTGAGCAGAGACTGACTTCATGGCATGATTATTTGAAGCATGGAATTTTACTCTGTGTTCTTAATGGGTTTCAATACACTTGATTAAATTATGTGATCTCCACCTAGATGTTGGGCAATTCTCTTTCCAGTCCTACAGTTAAGCTTTTGTATTTTTCTTAAACTTGTCCCGAAACATCAGCTTTCACATCCTAGTGACAAGACCACCAATTTAGTAATAAATAGTATATGTAATATATATAATTAATACTAGCTTTTATTGGATAATACTATGCATCTAGAATCATGCTAAAAACTGTATGTGGATTATTGAATTCAATAACTTTTAAGCTTTCTTAATCATAAGAAGCAATTGGAGGACTAAAAATGCAGAGTCTCAGGTCCAGGAAGACATTTAATGAGTCTGTTCTTTAGTTACCTTTATAAAGTAGGGAAAAGTAGTTCTTTCCCAACTACAGGACTGTTGAGTGGTCATAAGGAGATAAATAATACTAATAACTTGCTTAACATAGCTTTTCATAAAAGTTACTTTATATAAAAGTTATGTAAAGCAAGTTATTAGTATTATTTTTATTGATACTAGGAAATGTACTTGTCTACACCTTCCACAGTGTTGAGAGTCTTTGGTAGTTTAAATAAACAAATGTAAGTTAATCTGGGCCTGAGAACATTGCAATTTTATATTTCCCTATTGTTGAAAGTGATGACTAAGTCTTGTATGGATGAAAAAATATAATTCTTACTTTCTTAATTGTACAATAATTCTTACTGGTAAAGAAAAACAGATTGATGAGTATACAAAAATCATGGAATATTACCCTATTGCATTGAAGATTCTATGTAGAAGTTGTTTGAGAGCATTTAAAGTTTACTGTGGTCTTTGGGATCTCACCTTTCTTTTTTTTACTGTTCAAATGTATACAAGCTGAAAAGGAAACATAGCTCTTGTTACACGTGGGGGTAAGTAGTTGAATGTACCTTCTTACATGGCATACTTACAATGAAATCAGCTATTTATAATTATGTTTAAATAGGTTCAATGGTGGTTAACTATTGAAATCTATTGGGTAACTGAAATGTAAGAAAAGGGAGATAAAAGTCAGGTAGATATTTGGGAAGAGGCTAAAGATAACTAAACTCTCATTGGCCCTCTAACTGTGAAATCTAGGGCAAAATTTGACTTATCTTAAAGCTGGTCTAATCATTATTGGATTGTCATAATCTTTCACTTTTGCTAGCTACATTCTTTTTTTATTTCTGAAATATTTTGCTGGCTTTTCCTTTCTTATATATATTTTTTATAATAATCCTCACCATCCTCCCTCCCTCCACCCTTAAGTAGGCCTTGGTGTCTTTTGTTCCATTTTTGTGTCTATATGTACTCAGTTTTTTGCTCGCACTTATAAATGAGAACATGTAGTATTTGGTTTCCTGTTTCTACACTAATTTGCTTAGGATAATGGCCTCCAATTCCATCCACGTTGCTGCAAAGCACATAATCTTGTACTTTTTATGAATGTGTAGTATTCCATCCTGTACACGTACCACATTTTCTTTATCTAGTTTACCAGTGATAGGCATTTAGATTGTTTTTATTTCTTTGCTAGTGCAAATAGTGCTGCAGTGAACATACCTGTGCATGTGTCTTTATGGTAGAATGATTTATATTCCTTTTGATATATACTCAGTAATGAGATTCTTGGATGGAATGGTAATTTTGTTTTAAGTTTTTTTTAGAAACCACCAAACTGCTTTCCACAATGGCCAAACTAATTTACACTCCCACCAACAGTGTATAAGTATTCCCTTTTCTTCACAACCTCACCAGCATCTGTTATTTTTTGACTTTTTAATACTCAGCTTGGAATTTTTGAATGTAATACAGCACTAAGCCCAGTTGGAAGGCAAAAACAGGAAAACTTTGGCAGGGATGTTTAATTTAAAGGAGAAATGTGAAAGTATGTAAGACGTGACTCTCACTATTGTCTCAGTCGCCTTTCAAATGGGCCTTGTGCCATTTTGTAGAGTGTGGTGTATGAAGTTCCCAGAGATCAGGACCAAATGACAGAACATCATAAATCCTAGTAGTGCATGTTTCTATAGTCAAACTAATATGTTACAAAATATTTTAAATACTTTGTTACTAAACAAGGGTTTGAATACTCAACAAAGTTTAAGTCCTGAGCCTTGCACCTTATAGAGAGAAGATTGTTTCTTTAGATGGAAGTGGGAGTCAATTCATACCAAGCATAAATCACTGAGACTTGAAAGGGAAGGAATACACAAATTTCATAACAACTGATCATACAGAAAGACAATCCAACCCAAAGAGCTTCATAATTGTTTGAAAACAACTTGAAGTGACAGAATTTGCTAATAAGCTGAAGCAACAGTAAAAATAAATAAACATCACAATTAAAAGAACTAGAAAAGCAAGAGCAAACACATTCAAAAGCTAGCAGAAGGCAAGAAATAACTAAAATCAGAGCAGAACTGAAGGAAATAGAGACACAAAAAACCCTTCAAAAAATTAATGAATCCAGGAGCTGGTTTTTTGAAAGGATCAACAAAATTGATAGACCGCTAGCAAGACTAATAAAGAAGAAAAGAGAGAAGAACAAAATAGATGCAATAAAAAATGACAAAGGGGATATCACCACCAATCCCACAGAAATACAAACTACCATCAGATAATACTACAAACACCTCTACACAAATAAACTAGAAAATCTAGAAGAAATGGATAAATTCCTCGACACATACACTCTCCCAAGACTAAAAACCAGGAAGAAGTTGAATCTCTGAATAGACCAATAACAGGATCTGAAATTGTGGCAATAATCAATAGCTTACCAACCAAAAAGAATCCAGGACCAGATGGATTCACAGCCGAATTCTACCAGAGGTACAAGGAGTAACTGGTACCATTCCTTCTGAAATTATTCCAATCAATAGAAAAAGAGGGAATCCTCCCTAACTCATTTGACGAGGCCAGCATCATCCTGATACCAAAGCCGGGGAGAGACACAACCAAAAAAGAGAATTTTAGACCAATATCCTTGATGAACATTGATGCAAAAATCCTCAATAAAATACTGGCAAACCGAATCCAGCAGCACATCAAAAAGCTTATCCACCATGATCAAGTGGGCTTCATCCCTGGGATGCAAGGCTGGTTCAATATATGCAAATCAATAAATGTAACCCAGCATATAAACAGAACCAAAGACAAAAACCACATCATTATCTCAATAGATGCAGAAAAGGCCTTTGACAAAATTCAACAACCTTCATGCTAAAAACTCTCAATAAATTAGGTATTGATGGGACGTATCTCAAAATAATAAGAGCTATCTATGACAAACCCACAGCCAATATCATACTGAATGGGCAAAAACTGGAAGCATTCCCTTTGAAAACTGGAACAAGACAGGGATGCCCTCTCTCACCACTCCTATTCAACATAGTGTTGGAAGTTCTGGCCAGGGCAATTAGGCAGGAGAAGGAAATAAATGGTATTCAATTAGGAAAAGAGGAAGTCAAATTGTCCCTGCTTGCAGATGACATGACTGTATATCTAGAAAACCCCTGTCTCAGCCCCAAATCTCCTTAAGCTGATAAGCAACTTCAGCAAAGTCTCAGGATACAAAATCAATGTACAAAAATCGCAAGCATTCTTATACACCAATAACAGACAAACAGAGAGCCAAATCATGAGTGAACTCCCATTCACAATTGCTTCAAAGAGAATAAAATACCTAGGAATCCAACTTACAAGGGATGTGAAGGACCTCTTCAAGGAGAACTACAAACCACTGCTCAAGGAAATAAAAGAGGATACAAACAAATGGAAGAACATTCCATGCTCATGGGTAGGAAGAATCAATATCGTGAAAACGGCCATACTGCCCAAGGTAATTTATAGATTCAATGCCATCCCCATCAAGCTACCAATGACTTTCTTCACAGAATTGGAAAAAACTACTTTAAAGTTCATATGGAACTAAAAAAGAGCCCGCATTGCCATGTCAATCCTAAGCCAAAAGAACAAAGCTGGAGGCATCATGCCACCTGACTTCAAACTATACTACAAGGCTACAGTAACCAAAACAGCATGGTACTGGTACCAAAACAGAGATATAGATCTATGGAACAGAACAGAGCCCTCAGAAATAACACCTCATATCTACAACTATCTGATCTTTGACAAACCTGAGAAAAACAAGCAATGGGGAAAGGATTCCCTATTTAATAAATGGTGCTGGGAAAACTGGCTAGCCATATGTAGAAAGCTGAAACTGGATCCCTTCCTTATACCTTATACAAAAATCAATTCAAGATGGATTAAAGACTTAAACTTTAGACCTAAAACCATAAAAACCCTGGAAGAAAACCTAGGCATTACCATTCAGGACATAGGCATGGGCAAGGACTTCATGTCTAAAACACCCAAAGCAGTGGCAACAAAAGCCAAAATTGACAAATGGGATCTAATTCAACTAAAGAGCTTCTGTACAGCAAAAGAAACTACCATCAGAGTGAACAGGCAACCTACAAAATGGGAGAAAATTTTCACAACCTACTCATCTGACAAAGGGCTAATATCCAGAATCTACAATGAACTCAAACAAATTTACAAGAAAAAAACAAACAACCCCATCAAAAAGTGGGCGAAGGACATGAACAGACACTTCTCAAAAGAAGACATTTATGCAGCCAAAAAACACATGAAAAAATGCTCATCATCACTGGCCATCAGAGAAAGGCAAATCAAAACCACAATGAGATACCATCTGACACCAGTTAGAATGGCAATCATTAAAAAGTCAGGAAACAACAGGTGCTGGAGAGGATGTGGAGAAATAGGAACACTTTTACACTGTTGGTGGGACTGTAAACTAGTTCAACCATTCTGAAAGTCAGTGTGGCGATTCCTCAGGGATGTAGAACTAGAAATATCATTTGACCCAGCCATCCCATTACTGGGTATATACCCAAAGGACTGTAAATCATGTTGCTATAAAGACACATGCACACGTATGTTTATTGCAGCACTATTCACAATAGCAAAGACTTGGAACCAACCCAAATGTCTAACAATGATAGACTGGATTAAGAAAATGTGGCACATATACGCCATGGAATACTATGCAGCCATAAAAAATGATGAGTTCATGTCCTTTGTAGGGACATGGATGAAATTGGAAATCATCATTCTCAGTAAACTAGCGCAAGAATAAAAAACCAAACACCACATATTCTCACTCATAGGTGGGAATTGAACAATGAGAACACATGGACACAGGAAGGGGAACATCACACTCTGGGGACTGTTGTGGGGTGGGGGGATGGGGGAGGGATAGCATTAGGAGATATACCTAATGCTAAATGATGAGTTAATGGGTGCAGCACACCAGCATGGCACATGTATACATATGTAACTAACGTGCACATTGTGTACATGTACCCTAAAACTTAAAGTATAATAATAATAAAATAAAATAAATAAATAAATAAATATGCCATAGGTAGATTATTGCTTTTTCTATTATAATTTTGTCTTTTCTCTTTTGTAGGGACATCAAGGTGATTTAATCTTGTTTACAAAAATGTCGTAGCACTTTGCATTCACTGGATATTATTTTAATATATTTTTAAAACAAGCATTGACAATACTCTTAAATTCTTAGTATTTTCTTCAAATTTATGCTATTAATAAATACAAAATGTAATGCATCCATGTACCTTTCTATGAAATTTCTTTTCTTTGTGTTTTTGCTTGGTTTGCCCCTTGTGCTTATCTTCTCTTGCCTTCCTGGTAAACTTCTGTTTACCCTTTTCAGATTAAAATATACTTCAGAAAGTCTTCTACGACCTTTACAGAGGGATAATTGCTCCCTCTTCTGTGTTTCTATAGTATTTCTCTTATGTCTCTATCAAAGCAGTTATCACGTTCCTATAATTATTTGTTTCCTCACCGCCTACTCCACTAGTATATGTGCTCTGGAGGAAAAGGACTATATTCAAATTTTCTTTGACTAGTTAGAAAAGAGTAAGTACTTGTTACATGTTTGTTGAATAAATAAATAAATATCTTATATCTAATTGAATCTTGGTGGCATCTGAGTTTACTGAGTTCCATGGAACCACTGAAGGCAGTGTTGCCTGGTACCAGGAGAGGGTAATAGAGCAGTTCCCTAAGTAGACTTTATAGTTATTTTGGATGGAAACAGAAGCTAGAATGATAGTTTTCAAACCTGGCTGCAGATTAGAGTGACCTGTGGAGCTCTTTAAAACTACCAATACCTATCCCCATCTCAGTCCACTTAAATTAGAATACTGGGGATAGGGTCTGGTTATTCACAGATTTTTTAAATCTTTGTAGATAGGTCTAATGTCCAGTGTTGGACACTGCTGTGCTTGAAGCTGAGGAACCCAGGATTGTCAGATGGTGTTCATGCTGAAATTAAAACAGGAGAGGAGATGATGTACAACTGTGATGTCAAGAACTTGAACACATGAATTAAATTCAAGTTGATATGAATCCATGAAGCAGAAAGGAGCCCAGATCGGCAGACAAGTGATAGCACATGGAGTAAAAGGCTGAGTAATGTGAAGTTCAGTAATAATTGCTGGATAAGAGTCAGAAGTCAGAAATACAGAGATCAGAGATGTTAGAGAGAAACTTTTCTAATGACAATCAGTTGCTAGACATTATACATTTTTTGAGGCATAATTTGTACCCTCTATCTTGACAGATTTACAGTATCTCACCTTTGCAGTCAAGATGCTCCAAAAAGTTTGGTTTCTTATAAAAACAGTGGTTTTATATGTCCATAGAGTCCTTCTTTTTCACATTATTTCCCTCACAGGCATTGCAAGGTTTTAAGAAGATACTTAGGAAAATACAGCTTTCCACTGTAAGAAAAAAAATTCTCTTTTGCTCCTACTATTTTTGTGTGTAGTAGTCATGTCAGGCCAAAGTTAAGTGAAAGAATCATTGGAAATAAAAATCCAATGGCTCTAATCTAATAGATTACAAATATAAGCAGATTGACAATTGAAGTGAAAACCAGAGATCTGAAAAACAAGTTAAATAATGTGTGCCAAATTCTTTGTTATATATAACATTTCCTTTGGCAAGTTTTATTACCTAATTTCACACGTATTTGTGTGAAATATTATTTAGTTATGGCCAAGCAGACATATCCAAAGTATCTATCTCTGCATTCATTTCACAAGAAAAATTATTATGACATACATTATTGAGTCAAAATGTGTCTCTTAAAAGCAAACCTTTTTAGATTTGCATTCAAAATACAAAATCCCTGAAGTAAGATTATCTCCTTTAATATCCAACTACTTACTTGGCATGTTTATTTAGTTTTTACCATAGTGTATTCCATGGCAATAATTTATACTTAATAAGTACTACAAGGACAAATAAGTGATTGAATTTGGGAATAAGAAAGTCACTGGTGACATAGAAGAAGGTAGTTTTAATAGTAATTGGAGTCTTAGCTAGATTACAAAGTGCAAAGGAGAAAGTGGGTGGTAACAAAATGCAGGCAATAGAAAATAAATTTTTGGTTTTTGACAAGTTTAGAAGTAAGAAAAGATGTAAATTTGGATGGTAGCTGGAGAAAGGAATAATGTGGAAGTAAATTTTTATTTTAGGATATTTATAGGCTTAGTTGGAAGAACCAGAAGAAAATTATAGACTAAAGATAAATATCAAAAGGGGGGGTGCCATGGAAACTGCTAATCATGCCTCAATATCTCTCTCTTCCTTCCTTAGTAATAGAAACATCAAATTTTGTCTAAGCTCATGCAAAGGTACATTACCCAATCACCTTGGAAGCTAGGTTTGGCTATTTGACTAACCTCTGGTCCATGGGATGTAAGCAGAAGGAAATATGTGCACTTCTAGAAAGTGATCTGAAAAGGAAGGAGTACCCTTTTCTTGTCCTTTTTTCTGCTTCCTGTTTTCTGGACTGTGTACCTACTGGATAGAATTGTAGTTCTTGGTTTATGAGACAGACATTGTGGTGAAAGTGTTATGTTGGGAATAGGAACAAGATATAAGGGATTTGGGACCTCATGATTATGGAGCTAATATACCAGTCCAGGAATGCTTAGGTTTATCTTAATGGAAATCAATCTTGGTCAAACCACTGTTGTTTTGGGCTTTCTATCAGCTGTAGTTGAACCTAACCCTAACTAATACAGTGGGTAATTGATGTAGGGTTGGGACTAAAGTTAAAGTGTCATAGGTTTTATTTGGCAAGAAGGAAGGATAAATCCATTACCTGAGATGAGATATAAGGAAAAGAGAATGATTATGATTCTAGAATGCTTTTGAGATTGAAATCTTTTCTCATGTTATATGGCTTCAATATTGCAGTAACAAAGGTAGCAATCATCTGAAGGTGGAGATGAAATTAGGTGTTAGGAGAGGTTTAAAAAAATAAAAAAAACTTCAGAGAGGGGGTGGAGCAAAGTGGTAAAATAGAAAGCCCCACCATTAGCCCACTCACAGGCACACCAAATTCAACTATCGACACAAAAAAAGCTAGATTACAAAGTGTGAAGGAGAAAGTGGGTGCTAACAAAATGCAAGTAATAGAAAATAAACTTTTGGTTTTTGACAAGTTTAGAAGTAAAGAGAAATGTAAATTTGAATGGTAGCTGGATAAAGTAATAATGTGGAGGTAAATTTTTATTTTAGGCTATTTATAGGCTTAGTTGGAAGAACCAGAAGAAAACCTTCATAAGAAGTAAAAATCAGGTGAACCCTCGCAATACCTGCTTTTAACTTCATAGTGCTGAAAGAGACACTGCAGTGGGTAGAAAAGACCGTCTTAAATTGCCAATGCCACCCATCTCTCATACCCCCACAGTGGCAATGGGGTCTGGAAAAATCTGTGTGATTGGGAGAGGGAGAACCCAGCAATTGTGAGACTTTTCATTGAACTCAGCGCTGACCTGTCACAGCAGCAACAGGGCTGAAATCAGCTGATGCCCTCACAGAGGGATCATTCAGACCAGCCCTAGCCAAAAGGGAATTGCTCACTCCAAGGGTTAGAACTTGAGTTCTGGAAAGCCTCACGACTGCAGGCTGAAATGCTTTAGGGCTCAAATTAAACTTGACAGGCAGTCTAGGCCACAAAGACTGCAAGTCTTAGTGCTGAGCTGGGCTCAGAGCCAGTAGACTTGAGGACTTGGGGAGCACGTGACTTACTGAGACACCAGCTGGGGCAGCTAATGGATTGCTTGTGTCACCCCTCCCCCAGGCCCAGACAAAACAGCTTGTGGCTCCAGAAGAAACCCATTCTTTCTGTTTGAGGAGAGGGGAGGGAAGCATAAAGAGGAATTTTGTCTTTCATCTTGGATAGCAGCTCAGCCAGAGTACTATAGGGCACCAGCACCAGTGAGAATCCTGAGGCCTTCATTCCATTCCCTAGCTCCTGAATGATATTTCTAGACATACCCAGGTCCAGAAGAAAACCTGCTGCCTTAAAGGGAAGGACCAAGTCCTGGCAGGATCCATTACCTGTAAGCTAAAGAGTTCTTGGGCCCTAAAGAACAAGGAGCAGTAGCCAGGTAGTAAGTCATAGGAATTGGGCAAAACTCTCAGACGTGCTGGCTTCAGGTGAGACCCAGAATATTCCAAGCTGTGCTGTCTATGGTGAGAAAATCCTTCTGCTTGAGAAAAGCAGACAGAAAAGTAAAGGGGACTTTGTCTTGCACCTTAGGTACGAGCTTGGCCACAGTGAGGTAGAGCACTAAGCAGACTCTTGGGGTCCCCAAGTATAGGCCTTTACTCTTGAATGACATTTGTAGACCTGCCCTGGGCTGGAGGGGAGCACATTGACCTGAAGGATGGTCAAGCAGCATTCACCACAAGCTGAGTGAAAAGCCCTTGGGCTCTTGGGCTTTAAGGGAACACTGGTGGTAGCCTGTCAGTACTCCCTGTGAACCTGTGGGAGTGGTGGCCATGGGGAAAGGCTCCTCTGCCTGTAGAAAGGGGAGGAAAGAGTGAGAAAGACTGTTTCTCATGGTTACAGGGCCAGCTCGGCCATGGTAGAATAGAACACCAGATAGACTTATAAAGTTTTTGACTCCAGTTTTTAACTCCAAGATGGCATCTCTAGACCTACCTGGGGCCTGGGAAAAATCACTCTCCTGAAGAAAAGGACAAAAGCCTGGCTGGCTTCACCACCTGGTGACTGTAGAGCCCTAGGGCCTTGATCAAACATAGGTGGTAGCCAGATAGTGGTTACACTAAGCATTGGGCGAGACCCAGTGCTGAGCTGGCTTCAAGTCTGACCTAATGCAGTATCAGTGGTAGAGGCCACAGTGGTGCTTGTGTCACTCCCTCTTCCCCAGAATCAAGTGGCTCAGCACAGAGTGAGAGACACCTTTTGTTAGGGAGAAAGTAAGGGAAAAGAAAGAGAATCTCTGCCTGTAAATCCAGAGAAATCTTCTGGATCTTATCCAAGGCCACCAGGAGGGTACCTCCATGAGTCTGCAAGAAGCACAACATTAATGGGCTTGGTGTGACT
The DNA here is from genome assembly GCF_000001405.40 of Homo sapiens. Classification (NCBI taxonomy): domain Eukaryota; kingdom Metazoa; phylum Chordata; class Mammalia; order Primates; family Hominidae; genus Homo; species Homo sapiens. The sequence goes on from NC_000023.11 coordinate 116,319,006, forward strand.
CATAATACAAATACAGCTTAGATCACAACACCCAAGTCTTTTCAAATACCTGCAAAGACTTCCCAAGAAGTATGGGTACAAATAAGCCAAGACTATGAAGACTACAATAAATACAGAGCTCTTTAAGGCCAAAAGAAAGACATCTACAAGTATCAGTACCATTCAGGAAAACATGATTTCACCAAATGAACTAAATAAGGCACCAGGAACCAATCCTGGAGAAGCAGAGGTATGTGAACCTTCAGACAGATAATTCAAAAGAGCTGAATTGAAGAAATTCAAGATAACACAGAGAAAGAATTCATAATTCTATCAGATGCATTTTACAGAGATTGAAATAATTAAAAAGAACCAAGAAAAAATTCTAGAGTTGAAAAAATGCAACTGACATACTCAAGAATGCATCAGAATCTGTTAATAGAAAAACTGATCAAGCAGAAGAAAGAATAAGTGAGCTTGAAGACAGGCTATTTGAAAATACTAGTATACCCAGGTAAAATATCCTTCAAACACGAAGGAGAAATAAAGACTTTCCCAGATAAACAAAAGCTGAGGAATTTCAAAAAGGTACAAAATTTACTGACAATAGTTATGTGCACAGAAAAACAGAATATTATAACATTGTATTTGTGGTGTGTACACCATTATTATTCTAAGTAGAAAGAGTGAAAGATGAACCAATCAAAAATAACTGCAACAACTTTTGAAGACACAGACAATACAATAGGATATAAATAGAAACAAAAAAAATTTAAAAGTGAGAGGATGAAGTTAAAGTGTAGAGATTTCAACAGTTTTCTTCTTGCTTGTTAGTTAGCTTGTTTATTTAAGCAGTGTTAAGTTATCAGCTCAAAATTATGCATCATGTGAGAGTATTTGCAAGCTTCATGGTAACCGAAAATCAAAAAATATACAATGGATACACAAACAAATAAAAAGGAAGAAATAAAATTATACAATCACAGAAAATCACATTCACTAAAAGAAAGACAGGAAGGAAGGAGAAAACCAGAAACAACCAGAAAACAAATAACAAAATAGCAGAAGTAAGTCCAAACATATCAATAATAACATTGAATGTAAATTGAATAAACTCTTCAATCAGAAGACAGAATTTCTGAACAGATAAAGAAATAAGACTCAATGACCCATTGATTACAGGAAACACACTTCACATATAAATATACACATAGACTGAAAATAAAAAGATGGAAAAAGATATTCCATGGCAATGGGAACCAAAAATGAACAGCAGTAGCTAAACTCATATTAGACAAAATAGATTTCAAGACAAAAACTATAAGAAGAGACAAAGGAGGTCATTATATAATGATAAAGGGATCAATTCAGCAAGGCAATATAATAATTGTAAATAGACATGCACCCAACACTGGAGCACCGAGATAAATGAAGCAAATATTATTAGAGCTAAAGAGAGAAATAGGTCCCAGTAAAATAATACCTAGAAAAGTCAACATCCCACGTTCAGCATTGAACAGATTATTTTAGACAGAAAATCAACAAAGAAACATTGGATTTAATCTGCACTATAGACCAAATGGATCTAATAGATATTTACAGACCATTTCATCTAATGGCTGCAGAATACACATTCTTTTTCTTAAGACATGGATCATTTTCAAGGACAGACCATGTATTAGGCTACAATACAGGTCTTAAAACTTTCAAAAAAATTAAAATAACATCAAGCATCTTCTCCGACCCCAGTGGAATAAAACTAGAAATCGATAACAAGAGAAATTTCGGAAACTATATGAACACATGAAAATTAAACAATATGATCCTGAAAGACCAGTGGGTCAATGAAGAAATTAAGAAGGAAATTGAAAAAAATTTTTAAACTGATCTATGAAAATCTCCGTGGAGGAGCCAATAGAGAATTGATTAGTAATGTATGAAGTACATCTTTTGAGGTATGAATATTATCCTTGAAATTCTACTGTGAAGACAATAATGTTGTTGATGATAAAGATTCATAGAAGCTAAGTTGAAAAAATTCCCACAGGTTAAAAGATTTCTTTATGACCAAAGCCAACTTTGCAGCACATTTTAACTCCCCACTCCAAAACAAGACAGAGGAACAGCACAAGCTGAGTTGGCTTTGTTCTTCAAATTACTGTAACTAATTGACCTATCTGGGCTGCCTAACCTTATATGATAACCTTTTTGAGGGCACAGATCCTGAATTATTTCCATTAAGTTTCAAGATACTTGTGTCTGGCTACTCAAGTCTATTTCGACAACATATGAAGTAGAACTGTTAGTACTGTAATTCCATCCAATTTTCTATTCTCATATTTTTGGTTGGTTGTGGGAAAACATTGAGAGTTAGAATAAAAAATTGATTCCCCTTTTCTGAAACAATCTTATTTATAGCTAAGATTGAAATTTATTGGTCCACAGTCCTAAACTTATGCGTATTTTGATCTTTTTCTTTCTTTGTAATTGAATGCTTTGTGTTGAGCTACAGTCAACATTTCAAGGAAGCTTTTTTATCATTGTAAATTGACAAATTATAATTATATACATTTATTTGCAAAAAGCTTTAAAAACATCATCAGGGATGTAAAATATGTATAGAATTATTTACATTTACACTGATATCCCCTTCTGTAATGTTTAAAAATGAGATGGCTTACATAAATATTCTACTACACTAATTTAAATAAACTCCCCAAACACCTTACATTTCCAACCACTACAAAATGCATGAAAGTAAAATTATACCAAGATGCCTCCAAGTAAAAAAAAAAAAAAAAAAAAAAAAAGAATGCAAAAATAAACTCACATCGCCAAACCTTTAAAAGTTCAGTTTGTCTTTGGCAAGGGATTTGGGTGAAAAGTCAGCTATTTAATCTGAATTAGCTCACTCATCTCATTTTGCCATAAACAGTATATGGGGGCATGCCAAATATGTATTAATATAGCAAAAGGAACAGGAAGATAAGGAAGAATAATTATTTTGTTTACATGAAACTATTCTGGCCCCAAGACCAAAAACACAAAGAAAGGAACGGAAGTCTGACCTATGGCTAATAACTATTTATTTGTGATCATAATCAGCTTCTTGTCCTCTTGTTTCTATGAATATAGTACTTAAGCTGTTATACAATTACTGTGATGCTCATTAAGATACCATTTACTTTTATTACTATTTTAAATCAATCCTTTGCTAATTTAAGTAAAGGGCTTTGGTAGCCAAATGAACTTAAATTAAAATCTATACATCATGGGAAATGCATGACTTAAAGAAAGACTCCAAATGTGTTACTAATGGCCTCTCCAGACCCAAGAACTATTGCTCCTCACCAAGCACTCATATGTGACATGATCATTGATCATTGAGCCATACAAAAAATAGTATAAGGTTTACCGTGGTCAGCAATGTAACAGTCGTCTACAAATATTTGTTCCAACACTGCTTTTCCTTTCAGTAGCTTGTCTAATGATGCTGTTGAAATATTTCACATGGGCCGGGTGTGGTGTCTCACACCTGTAATCTCAACACTTTGGGAGGCCGAGGTGGGTGGATCACAAGGTCAGGAGTTCAAGACCAGCCTGGCCAACATGGTGAAACCCTATCTCTACTAAAAATACAAAAATTAGCCAGGCACGGTGGCAGGCACCTGTAATCCCAGCTACTTGAGAGGCTGAGGCAGGAGAATTGCTTGAAACCGGGTGGCAGAGATTGCAGTGAGCCGAATCGCACCACCGCACTCCAGCCTGGGCGACAGAGTGAGACTTTGTCAAAAAAAAAAAAAAAAAAAAAAAAAAAAAAAAAAAGATAAAGAAAAAAAGAATATTTCACATGTTGCACTATAGATGGAAATATTTTTAGTAACGTAATGAGGCTTTAATAGAAAAAGTGACATTTTCAACTTGTGACTCTAAACACTGACTGGAACTCATATATTCAGAGAATTTGCAATTAACTAGAACAACAACACTTAATACTGAATGTTACTTTGTTCTAGGCAGAGCTACAAGCTTTACACAAATGATTAAGCCTCACAGTACTTCTATGAGATAGATACTATTATTATTCCTACTTTGAGATAAGGAAACTGAAGCCCAAGAACCCAGGTCTTCAGAACTTCCCAGTTGCAAACTCTCAATTGGAATAGGCCTTTTTTCCCCCACTAGAGCCCTTGACTTTTAATCACAACTTCACTAAACTGGTTAATTGTGAAAATCAAGTGGCAGTGAGGGCATTTGTAACTTAAGTTTTACTGTTTTTTATACATATTCTTGTATACAACATGAAATGAATACAAGATTTATTCACAAAGTGACAGGCAGATACTTGGATATGTCCACTGAACAGGACAGTCAATTCAGTCACAGTAGCCGATCTAGCAACTGGTGGAAAGAAGAATTCTAAGACTTCACAGAAATGTTACTATAATTATTCAATAGCTTTTGAGTGGTAAAAATACTGTACTGATTAGCTTTTCATGAGGCAAAATTGCTATTTCTTTTTTGCGTAAAATACTCATGCCACCATTTGGGGTAGGGGGCGTGTCGTACTTAGGTAAGCACTACAGATAGGTCTCAGCAGAGAAAATCTTTTTGAGGACAACTATCGTAATTTCAGTATGAGAATCAAATATGATAAAGAATGTGCTCATCTGGATGTTTTGCTTTCAAGTATTTATCTGGAAAAAAATGTTGATTACTCTATAATCATGTAGTGCCCTCTGTGTTTGCTTTCTAATTACCCTGTATTTCTGCTACTACATGACTCATCCTTATCTTGTATTTAATTGCCTATGAATTTGCCCATTCTATCATGGTACAATGCAAACTTCATGGAAGCAGAGCATTGTCATTCGTGCTTACAATGCTATTTTCGGAAGCTGTCATGGTGCCTTGAACAGAGTAATCACTTAGTACTTTCTAAACGAATAAATGAGATCGCAAACACATAGTTGAGTTGCTTTTGAGTAGAGAGTGTTTTTCACCTAGAGTTGACACCAAAAGGGTAGAAAATGGAGTGACATGAGCAAAACCCCGTAGTAATTCTCAACCCTAGATGCACCTTAGAATTACCTGAGAGGCTTTTGAAAATATTTTGAAAATAATGCCTGTTCTCCCCCAGACCAACTGAGACTGAATATCTGGGTTGATTATAATTTGTTGAGGTTTGGCAACTTCTGTTGTTGTGCATATGAATCACCTGGGTATCTTGTTAAAATCCAGGTTCTGGCCTGGCAGGGTGGCTCACGCATGTAATCCCAGCACTTTGGGAGGCCAAGGCGGGTGGATCACGAGGTCAGGAGATCGAGACCATCCTGGCAAACATGGTGAAACCCCGTCTCTACTAAAAATACAAAAAAATTAGCCAGTCGTGGTGGCGGGCACCTGTAGTCCCAGCTACTCAGGAGGCTGAGGCAGGAGAATGGCGTGAACCCGGGAGGCGGAGATTGCAGTGAGCCAAGATGGCGCCACTGCACTCCAACCTGGGCGACAGAGCGAGACTCTGTCTAAAAAAAAGAGAAAAAGAAAAATCCAGGTTCTGATTCAGTAGGTTTAGAGTGGAGCCTGAGATTCTGCATTTCTTAAAGTCATCTCAGTGATGCCCATGCTACTGATTCACAAACCATACATTAGAAAGCAAAGCACTAGAGGACAGATCATCAAAAGGTTTAGACTCTTTATAGGCCTGAGGGTCAAATGATATGTTTAGAGTCAGAAAGATGAGCTGGGCAAATGATCACTTAGTATGTGTTAGGCACTGAACTAAGAGATTACATGCATTATCTCATGTCTAAGAAGAGCAGCTGTGGGATGCTACTTATGATGAGGCAGTCATGTAGGGATGGAAAGCAGAGCATCGGCCTAGGTTCAGTGTGGTACCTTTTGAGTTCCTCAAATATCACCTTTTCAATTTCTTTTGTATTCCCAGTCTGACTCAGCCTGTGGTTCTGGTGCTCAGTAAAAGTACGAGTTCTGTATCTACACTAAGCATTTGAGGGAATATTGGAAAATATTTGCATACTTCGATATTTTCAAATATTGAGATTTGGCAAGCATAGACACAGCCAGAGGCTCAAGATCTGTCAAGATTTAGGGCCTTGGTAAGCATTTACTGTACAATTAGAACTTATTTGCTCAAATGCTGACATCTATTCTTAAGAAAATTCTCTATGTAGGAAAGAGAACAGATGAAAAAGCAGGCAACATAGCTTTTCTCTGAATTTTATAGGTTACTACTTGCTTAGAATAATGATTAATTCAGGACAATAGAATTATACATTATATCTAGGATTCACACTTTTCTCTATGTGTAAAATTTTGCAGCATGGAACTTCACGGCAAGGGAAATAAAACTCCAAACTACAAGACACATACATAAAATCAGGTTTTAATACAATATTCACTACTGCTCTGGGGTTGTGTCATCAGCCCACTATCTGTGTCTTTGTCATCTTTTCTTTCTTGTTCTGCACAAGGTCACATATTAGATCACACTCTCATGTTCTTTCTGTATGTTGTACATCCATCTTTGTAACTCTAAGTTCACATATGAGTCTGTCTATAGGATAAACTCCAATTCCAAGCAGAATTGCTGGGCCATTGAGTACATGCAACTTGTAGGGATATTTGCCTTCTTGCCCCTTTTACCCAGGTGAGTAGACATCTTCTGTTTTATTTCTAAATGTGCAAACCCCTAAATTCTCATGGGAAACATTCCGTGGGGCTTACATAAAGCCTTTGTTTCCATTTCTTATCATGTTTAAAAGTTATGTAATTATTTTATTTACTTTCATTATACAGTCATATGTACTTTTACTGAATTGTATAATGGTGATTGTATACATGCTGTGGTTATGCAGTCCTCTTGTTTGTTCTCTTTTGATTTTCTTCTGCTGCTTTCATTGCCATCATTAATAACTCCCTCTTTCAGCATCCCCTTTAACACATCCTACTGTCTTCACAATTTACTTTGTAGTGTGTGTTTTTTCCTTCTTTTCATTATTTTTTTCCTCATCCCTACTCACTTCCCCATATTCCTCCTCCTTCTCTGCTAGAACAAAACATCTTCCAAAGGAGTGTTGCCTCTTGCTACTATAGTTTGTCCCAGGCCCTGCTTCCAGTTAAGTATGCTCTTCTTTATCAACCATTGCATATATATTATGTATCTCTTATGTATCTTGCACCATGCTAACCATTGTGAAATACACATGTAACTTGTTTCAGCAGTCTTCACAGAGTGGGGTGCAAATGTCAAACATTTTTGTTACTTTCCTATCCATGATTTCGTTATATTCAGTGGGAAGTTCCTTTTCTACAAAGTAATTTATTGCAAATTATATAAAATTTTATGTGCATTTTTGTTGATTAACAAAATTCAGCCCAGCCCAATTCAGTTTAACTCCCCAATCTCATGTCTCCATAAAATTTTCCCCTCACCCATTACTGGTTAACCTTGTGCTTGGGAGATATAAAGAGGGAAAAGAAACGATATGGTTGAGAGGAGAGCAGAGATGAGGTGGGATTCCCATAAGGCCTAAACTTGTCTAGTCTGGGTCTGAGAGGGAAATAGGAAAGATAGTGGGTTTCTTCATACACAACTGGTCATCTATTGTTGATAAAGAGTCCTCTCTGGATTTGCTCTGGCTTTATATGTTCTTATCTCCTACTGGCAGCCTTCAATAATGCAGTGGTTCACATAGAGGATTGGTGTCATTTTCTTGGGGTAATGTTTAGCCTTATTTTAGCTTCTTTCATTAATGAGGAGCCTCTTAAAAAATATCCTGTTTATGGTGCACACCATTAACTTCTTCTCTGGCCACAGCATTGCATCTCTTGTCTCTCTGTCTCCTTCTATAATCTTGGTTTCCCTCACGATGAGCCTTGGGAACTGCTGAAGTCCTCTTCCATTTCCTCAAGGATTGAAGGGCTAGCCTCTTTTCTGGCAGACTTCATGGTGTTTTACTATTTATCTGCTGCCAACTACTTATGAAAACCTATCACTTTCAGAAATCTCTGGAAGATAAGCAGACAACACGTATGTATTTATGTATACTTCAATTCATAGAGAAATATATCAAGCTCTCCCAAGAATTATCTCACCAAGGTCCACCAATTTTCATGGATGCGTAGAGATGGGTCTGTAGTTTATAGCTTGACAAGTATCCAGCTAGGAAATGAAACACCAACCTTACTTTCTTTCAGGGAGATCCTATTCTCCTGGTTCTTCCCTCCACTTAACTTTGGGAAGGGGTGTCCCCTACCCTTTCCTACATAGGGAGGGAAAAAAGTCTTCTCGTTGTAAACTGGCAGTTTTGACAATAATAATAATTTACTATCCTCTCCCTTCCCCTTAACTCCATAAATTGGGCAGGGAGTCAGGGCTTGGGGCAGTGGCTAGTGCTTTCACTGTCAGTTCTTCCACCTTTTGTAGGTCTTTATAAAAGTTTCTAGGGGAGATGCCAAGATGGTTGACTAGAAGCAACTAGTGTGTGCTGCTCTCACAGAGAGGAGCTAGAGTGAACAGTAAACCATAGCGCTTCAAATAGATTATCCAGGGGGACATATTGGGATTCATTAAGGAAGTAACACAACCCACAGGAAGTAGAGAGGAGCCAAGGGAAGCTCCCACCATGGGGAAATGGTGAGCAAGCAAGATCTCCCAGGGATGTACACTTCTGCCATAGACCTTTGTGATCCTGGGGATAGGAGATCCTCCCTGGCCCGTTTCCCCTGGGTCTCCAGACTGACATGGAGAGTGGTGTGGTGTCTAGGCAGAGCTGTCACTCACACTAATGTGTGGCCCCAAGTGTCCTAGACCCCTGAGCACCCTACGCCAGTTTCTGTAGCTTCACCAACAAGAGAGGCCACAATCTCTCATACACTCTCAGGATAGGTGCTGCATCTATGGTGCTGAGATGCAGATGAACAGCTGGCCTTGCCTCCATTATACCTCACCAGGCAAAGCCAAATGGCCTGGGAGGACTCCAGTGCAGCCATCCCAGCCCTGTATGAGCAGTCAGGCCAGTCATAACTCTGCATTTCTCTAGGATAGAGCTCCCAGAGGTTACTGACTGGCCTGCAGCTTTTGCTGCTGCCACAGCTCCCACCCCTTCTGCCTTCAGTCTGGGGTGAAGAGCCCAATATCTATCACAGGCCTCCAGCACATCACAGCTGCCTTGTGGAAAGGTGGCCAGACTGTTTCCACGTGCGTACCGGCCCCGGCTATTCCTCACTGGGCAGGTCCTCCTAACTTGGGCCCCCAGCATGGCTACTCTGCTCCCACCTGATCACTTCAGTCAGTGGTGACTCTGCAATTTTCTGGGCAGAAAAATCCAAGAGACAACCCAGAGGCTTTTCTGCCATTGCCACTGCAGTGGTATTGCCCATATTGCCTTTGGGCTGGGGAAAGAATAAGGACACCGATTGCTTTGTTGAACCTCCATCATGCTTCAGCCATATGGAGAGGAGCCCAGTCTCTCTTCTCTGTGACCCTAATGTGGTTTGGATTTGTGTCCCTGCTGAAATCTCATGTTGAATTGTAATTTCTATTGTTGGAGCTGGGGCCTGGTTGGAGGTAAATGGATCATAGGGGCAAATTTCCCCCTTTGGTACTGTTCTCATGATAGAGTTTTCATGAGATCTGGTTGTTTAAAAGTGTGTGGCACCTCCCCCTTCTCTTTCTTGCTCCTGCTCCTGGCCATGTGAAGTTCCAGCTACCACTTCACCTTCCACCATAATTGTGAGTTTCCTGAGGCCTCCCCAGCCATGCTTCCTGTACAGCCTGCAGAACCGTGAACCAATTAAACCTCTTTCTTTATAAAGTATCCAGTTTCAGTTATTTCTTTATAGCAGTGTGAGAATGGACTAATACAGACCCTCTTACCCCTTGCTTTTCATCAGGCAGGGCCCCTGGCATGGGAAAAGTGCAGCCATCCTACTCCCAGTAGAACTTTGTATTGGCAGTGGCTCTGTGTCTTTCCAGGATGAACTTCCCAGAAGCAACTGACAGCCCCTTTGTCACTGCCACTACAGTGGTACCACCCCTGCTGCCCTTGGATTAGGGAAGGGACAAACAGCCTGAGTACTTTACTTGCACCCTCAGCACACAACAACCACAACCACCATTTGGAGAGGAGGCCAGTCTCTCTTCATTGTGAGCCCCAGATCCCCTGCTCTTCACCAGGCATGTCCCCTGGTTTGGGCCCACAGTGCAGCTGCCCCACCTGAAGCTGAAAATTCCCATTGGCAGTGGCCCTGTATTTCTCTGGGGTGGAGTTCCAAGAGACAACTGACAGCCCATCTGCCACTGCAACTGCGGCAGTGCCATTCTTGTTGCCTTTGGGCTGGCAAAAAACAAACAAACAAAAAACCACAAAGGCACTGATCACTTTGCTGGCACCTCCAGTACTCCAGTACACTGCAGTCACTGTACAGAGAAGAGGACAGATGATCTTCTCCTTTAGCTCCCCACCCCTCCACTCTTCACCAGGCAGCTGCCCCCTCCCTCCATCTTGAGCCTGCAATGCAGCCAACTCACACCTGGCTTGTTGTTCTGATTGGCGGTGGCTCTGTGTTTCTCTGGGGTAGAGCCCCAAAACACAAGTGAAAGGCACTATGCCATTGCCACTGCCAAGGGTCTCCCTCCCATGCTGCCTCAAAGCTGAAGAGGAAACAAAAAGCCTGAATTCCCACCAGGGCTGCACTGTGCAACCCAGGAATGTCAAGTTGATATCTGTGGCCAGCACTTGAGTGGGAGAGATGCCCACACTCTCACAGCAATGAGAAGGAGCATGGCTGCAAACGTGAGGAAATACAGAGGAGCCGTGTGGCCGAGTAAGAGCCTATCTGCCAGCCATTATGCTTAAGTACAATCTACTGGATGACAACCCAAACTTCAACACCAAAAATACTTTGCTAATATACCCCTCTGTGAAACCAAGGACAAGAATTCAGCCACAAATAAAGATGCTGCACAAAGTCTCAGCCTTCTGAAAACATGCAGAAACAAAGCTGACTATACTCAAATTACATATACCACAGTTAAAGGTACATCAGCCCACACGGATGAGAAAGAACCAGTGCAAAAATTCTGGCAACTCTAAAAGCCAGAGCGTCTCCTTGCATCCAAAGGACCATACTAGCTCCCCAGCAATAGTTGTTAACAAGAAAAAAATAGGCCAGACATCATGGCTGGTAATCCCAGCACTTTGGGAGGCCGAGGCAGATGGATCGCAAAATCACAAAGTTAGGAGTTCAAGACCAGCCTGGCCAACATGGTGAAACCCTGTCTTGACTGAAAATATAAAAATTAGCCGGGCATGGTGGTTCATGCCTGTAATCCCAGCTTGAACCTGGGAGGCAGAAGCTGCAATGAGCCAAGATTGCACCACTGTTCTCCAGCCTGGGTGACAGAGCAAGATTCCATCTCGGAAAAAAAAAAAAAAGAAGACAAAATAAAATGACTGACATAGAAGTCAGAATCTGGATGGCAACAAAGATAATTCAGATTCAGGAGGAAGTTGAAACCTATTTCAAGGAATATAAGGAATCCAGTAAAACTAATCAAGAGATAAAAGACAAAATAGATATTTTAAGAAAGAGCAAAACCAATCTGCTAGAGCTGAAAAACTCACTACAAGAATTTCCTAGCACAAGTAGAAATATCAAGAGCAGAATAGGCCATGATGAGGAATGAATCTCAGAGCCTGAAGACCAGTTCTTCAAATTAAAAGGCAGATGAAATTTTAAAAAAATTAAACAAATAACAAAACCTTGAATAAGTAAGGGATTACGTAAAGAGTTAAAACCTACAACTCATAAGCATTCCAGAGAGGGAGAGACAGCAAGCAACTTGGAAAATATTTGAGGATATTGTCTACAAAATTTGTCCAACCTTGCTAGTGAGGTTGATATTCAAATTCAGAAAATTCAGAGAATCCCTGCAACATACTATACAAGATAACCATCCCCAAAGCAAATAGTCATTAAATTCTCTATGGTCAATGTGAAAGAAAAAATACAAAAGGAAGCTAGAGAGAAGGGCCAGATCACCTAAAAAAGGGATCCCCAACAGGCTAACGGTGGAACTTTTAGCAGAAACCCTACAAGCCAAAAGAGACTGGGGCCTATAGTCAGCATCCTCAGGGAAAAGAAACTGCAATAATGAACTTTATATCCACCCAAACTAAGCTTCATAAGTGAAGGAGAAATAAGATCCTTTTTAGACAAGCAAATGGTAAGATAATTTATTGCTAACAGACCTGCCTTACAAGAGGTCCTTAAAGGAGTGCTAAACATGGGAAAAAAAATACTGTTACTAGACACCAAAAAAACACACTTAAGTACATTGACTATTGATACTATAAAGCATCTGGACAATCAAGTCTACATAACAGCTACCTAACAACACATGACAGGATGAAATCTGCACATATAAATATTAACCTTGATTGTAAACAGGCTAAATGCCCCACTTAAAAGGCACAGAGTAGCAAGTTGGATAAAGAAGGAAGACCTAACTGTATGCTATCTTTGAGAGACCCATCTCACATGCAAGGATACCCATCAGCTCAAAGTAAAGGGATGGAGAAAGATCTATAAAGCAAATGGAAAGCAAAAAATAAAAAAGAAGGAGTTGATGTTCTTATTTCAGACAAAACAGACTTTAAACTAAACTGATCCAATAGGACAAAGCATAATATTATATGATAATAAAGGGTTCAATTTAACAAGAAGACTTCACTATCCTAAATATGTATGTACTCAACACTGGAGTACCAAGATTCATAAAAGAAGTTCTTAGAGGCCTATGAAGAGACTTAGATAAGCACAAAATAATAGTAGGAGAGTTCAACACTCTACTGACATTTTTTGGACAGACTACCAATGCAGAAAACTAATAAAGATATTCAGGACCTGAACTCAACACTTGGCCACATGAACCTAACAGATATCTATAGAACCCTCCACCAAACAAGAACATAATATACATTATTCTCATCCGTGTCAGGCCTCTGAGCCCAAGCTAAGCCATATCCTCTGTGACCTGCACAGATACATCCAGATGGCCTGAAGGAACTGAAGCATGATAAAAGAAGTGAAAATGGCCTGTTCCTGCCTTAACTGATGACATTACCTTGTGAAATTCCTTTTCCTGGCTCATCCTGGCTCAAAAGCTACCCGACTGAGCACCTTGTGACCCCCACCCCTGCCCGCTGAGAGCAACCCCCTTTGACTGCAATTTTCCTTTACCTACCCAAATCTTATAAGACGGCCCCACCCCTATCGCCCTTTGCTGACTCTCTCTTCAGGCTCAGCCCACCTGCACCCAAGTGAAATAAACAGCCTTGTTGCTCACACAAAGCCTGTTTGGTGGTCTCTTCACACGGATGCGAGTGGCGCTGAGTCTTTCTAATCTTCCTTTTCTACAGACCCATCTGACCTCTCCCCTCCTCCCCAGGCTGCTCCTCGCCAGGCCGAGCCAGGTCCCAATTCTTCCTCAGCCTCTGCTCCTCCACCCTATAAACCTTTTATCACCTCCCCTCCTCACACCCAGTCCAGCTTACAGTTTTGTTCAACGACTAGCCCTCCCCCACCTGCCCAGCAATTTCCTCTTAAAAAGGTGGCTGGAGCTAAAGGCATAGTCAAGGTTAATGCTCCTTTTTCTTTATCCAACCTCTCCCAAAATCAGTTAGCGTTTAGGCTCTTTTTCATCGAATATAAAAACCCAGACAAGTTCATGGCTCATTTGGCAGCAACTTTGAGACGCTTTACAGCCCTAGACCCTGAAAGGTCAGAAGGCCATCTTATTCTCAATATGCATTTTATTACCCAATCTGCTCCCAACATTAAATAAAGCTCCAAAAATTAAATTCTGGCCCTCAAACCCCACAACAGGACTTAATTAACCTCGCCTTCAAGGTATACAATAATAGATTAGAGACAGCCAAGTAGCAATGTATTTCTGAGTTGCAATTCCTTGCCTCCACTGTGAGACAAACCCCAGCCACATCTCCAGCACACAAGAACTTCCAAACACCTAAACTGCAGTGGCCAGGCATTCCTCCAGGCCCGCCTCCCCCAGGAGCTTGCTACAAGTGCCGGAAATCTGGCCACTGGGCCAAGGAATGCCCGCAGCCCGGGATTCCTCCTAAGCAATGTCCCATCTGTGCAGGACCCCACTGAAAATCGGACTGTTCAACTCACCTGGCAGCCACTCCCGGAGCCCCTGGAACTCTGGCCCAAGGCTCTCTGACTGACTCCTTCTCAGATCTTCTTGGCTTAGTGGCTGAAGACTGATGCTGCCCGATTGCCTCAGAAGCCCCCTAGACCATCACGGATGCTGATCTTCAGGTAACTCTCACAGTGGAGGGTAAGTCCATCCCTTTCTTAATCAATACAGAGGCTACCCACTCCACATTACCTTCTTTTCAAGGGCCTGTTTCCCTTGCGTCCATAACTGTTGTAGGTATTGACGGCCAGGCTTCTAAACCTCTTAAAACTCCCCAACTCTGGTGCCAACTTAGACAATACTGTTTTAAGCAATCCTTTTAATTATCCCCACCTGCCCAGCTCCCTTATTAGGTCGAGACATTTTAATTAAATTATCTGCTTCCCTGACTATTCCTGGGCTACAGCTGCACCTCATTGCTGCCTTTTCCCCCAGTTCAAAGCCTCCTTCACATCCTCTCCTTGTATCTCCCCACCTTAAACCACGAGTATAGGACACCTCTACTCCCTCCTTAGTGATGGATCATGCACCCCTTACCATCTCATTAAAACCTAATCACCCTTACCCTGCTCAACACCAATATCCCATCCCACAGCACGCTTTAAAAGGATTAAACCCTGTTATCACTCACCTGTTACAGCATGGCCTTTTAAAGCCTATAAACTCTCCTTACAATTCCCCCATTTTACCTGTCCTAAAACCAGACAAGCCTTACAGGTTAGTTCAGGATCTGCGCCTTATCAACCAAATTGTTTTGCCTATCCACCCCATGGTGCCAAACCCATAGACTCTCCTATCCTAAATACCTCCCTCCACAAACCTATTATTCTATTCTGGATCTCAGACATGTTTTCTTTACTATTCCTTTGCACCCTTCACCCAAGCCTCTCTTCACTTTCACTTGGACTGACCGTGACACCCATCAGGCTCAGCAAATTACCTAGGCTGTACTGCCTCAAGTCTTCACAGACAGCTGCCATTACTTCCGTCAAGCCCAAATTTCTTCCTCATCTGTTACCTATCTCGATACAATTCTCAGGAAAACACACGTGCTCTCCCTGCTGATTGTGTCCGGCTAATCTCCCAAACCCCAATCCCTTCTACAAAATAACAACTCCTTTCCTTCCTAGGCATAGTTAGTGAGGTCAAAATTCATACACAAGAGCCAGGACCGCACCCTGTAGCCTTTCTGTCCAAACAACTTGACCTTACTGTTTTAGCCTAGCCCTCATGTCTGCATGCAGTGGCTGCCACTGCCTTAATAATTTTAGAGGCCCTCAAAATCACAAACTATGCTCAACTCACCCTCTACAGTTCTCATAACTTCCAAAATCTATTTTCTTCCTCACACCTGACGCATATACTTTCTGCCCCCCTCCACTACCTCTCAGCAAGCCGAACTCAGTGCCTTAACTCGAGCCCTCACTCTTGCAAAAGGACTACGCATCAATATTTGTACTGACTAAATATGCCTTCCATATCTTGCACCACCATGCTGTTATATAGGCTGAAAGAGATTTCCTCACTATGCAAAGGTCCTCCATCATTAATGCCTCTTTAATAAAAATGCTTCTCAAAGCCGCTAGTCATTCACTGCAAAGGCCATCAAAAGGCATTAGATCCCATCGCTCAGGACAACACTTATGCTGATAAGGTAGCTAAAAAAGCAGCCATCAAAAGGCATCAGATCCCATCGCTCAGGACAATGCTTATGCTGATAAAATAGCTAAAAAAAGCAGCTGGTGTTCCAACTTCTATCCCTCAAGGCAGTTTTTCGCCTTCTCATCTGGCCACTCCCACCTACTCCCCCGCTGAAACTTCCACCTATCAATCTCTTCCCACACAAGGCAAATGGTTTAAAAGGAAAATATCTCCTTCCAGCCTCACAGGCCCATTCTATTCTGTCGTCATTTCATAACCTCTTCCATGTAGGTTACAAGCCGCTAGCCTGCCTCTTAGATCCTCTCATTTCCTTTCCATCGTGGAAATCTATCCTCAAGGAAATCACTTCTCAGTGTTCCATCTGCTATTCTACTACTCCTCAGGCATTTCTCAGGCCCCCTCCCTTCCCTACACATCAAGCTCGGGGATTTGCCCCCGCCCAGAACTGGCAAATTGACTTTACTCACCTGCCTCGAGTCAGGAAACTAAAATACCCCTTGGTCTGGGTAGACGCTTTCATTCGATAAGTAGAAGCCTTTCCCACAGGGTCTGAGAAGGCCACCGCGGTCATTTCTTCCCTTCTGTCAGACATAATTCCTTGGTTTGGCCTTCCCACCTCTATACAGTCCGATAACGGACTGGCCTTTGTTAGTCAAATCACCCAAGCAGTTTTTCAGGCTCTTGGTATTCAGCGAAACCTTTATATCCCTTACCATCCTCAATCTTCAGGAAAGGTAGGAGAGACTAAAGGTCTTTTAAAAACACACCTCACAAAGCTCAGCCACCAACTTAAAAAGGACTGGACAATACTTTTACCACTTGCCCTTCTCAGAATTCAGGCCTGTCCTCAGAATGCTACAAGGTACAGCCCATTTGAGCTCTTGTATAGATGCTCCTTTTTATTAGGCCCCAGTCTCATTCCAGACACCAGACCAACTTGGACTGAGCCCCAAAAACCTTGTCATCCCTACTGTCTTCTGTCTAGTCATACTCCTATTCACTGTTCTCAACTACTCCTAAATGCTCGTGTTTATACTGCTGGTAAACTGTTTCTCCAAGCCATCACAGCTGATATCTCCTGGTACTATCCCCAAACCACCACTCTTAACTCCCTCTTAAAGTAAATAAATAATCTTTGCTGGCAGGGCTATGCTGAACCTCCTTAGGCACTCTCTAATTGGATGTCCTAGGCACTCTCTAATTGGATGTCCTAGGTCCTCCCAATTCTTAGTCCTTTAATACCTGTTTTTCTCCTTGTCTTATTCCATTTAGTTTTTCAATTCGTACAAAACCGTATCCAGGCCATCACCAATAATTCTATATGACAAATGTTTCTTCTAACAACCCCACAATATCACCCCTTACCACAAAATCTTCCTTCAGCTTAATCTCTCCCACTGTAGGTTCCCACACCACCCCTAATCACGCTGGAAGCAGCCCTGAGAAACATCGCCCATTATCTCTCCACACCAACCCCCAAAATTTTTGCCACCCGAACACTTTACCACTATGTTGTTTTATTTTTCTTATTAATATAAGAAGACAGGAATGTCAGGCCTCTGAGTCCAAGCTAAGCCATCATATCCTCTGTGACCTGCAAATATACACCCAGATGGCCCGAAGGAACTGAAGAATGACAAAAGAAGCGAAAATGGCCTGTTCCTGCCTTAACTGATGACATTACCTTGTGAAATTCCTTTTCCTGGCTCATCCTGGCTCAAAAGCTCCCCAACTGAGCACCTTGTGACCCCCAACCCTGCCCGCTGAGAACAACCCCCTTTGACTGTAATTTTCCTTTACCTACCCAAATCTTATAAAATGGCCCCACCCCTATCGCCCTTTGCTGACTCTCTTTTCAGACTCAGCCCACCTGCACCCAGGTGAAATAAACAGCCTTGTTGCTCACACAAAGCCTGTGTGGTGGTCTCTTCACATGGACTCGAGTGAAAATCTGCACATGGAAAATATTCTAAAATCAACCACATGCTCAGCCATGAAGCAATTTTCAACAAATTTAAAAAACCCACACAATCATATCAACTACTCTCTCAGACTACAGTGCAACAAAACCAGAAATCAATTTTATTAAGAAGATCTCTCAAAACCATACAATTAAATGGAAATTAAGCAATCTGCTCCTGAATGACTTTTAGGCAAACAATGAAATTAAGGCAAAAATCAATAATTGTTTTGAAATTAATAAAAACAATGATACAATATGCCAGAATCTCTGGCACATATCTAAAACAGTGTTAAGGGGAAAGTTTATAGTTCTAAATGCCCACATCAAAAAGTTAGAAATATCTCAAAGAAATAATCTAACATCACATCTAGAGGAACTAGAAAAGCAAGAGCAAAGCAACTCCAAACCTAGTAGAAGAAAAGAAATAACCAAAATCAGAGCTGAATTTAATGAAATGAAGATGATAAAAAACATACAGATATCAACAAAAGCAAAAGTTAGTTCTTCAAAAGAATGAATAAGATTGATAGATTGTTAGCTAAACTAATATAGAAAAAAGAGAAAAGATCCATATAAACACAATCAGAAATGACAAAGGAGACATTACCACCAATCCCACAGAAATATGAAAAGCCCTCAGAGACTATTATTCATACCTCTATGCACACAAACTAGAAAACCTAGAATAAATGGATAAATTATTAGAAACATACAACCTTCCAAGATTGAACCAGGAAGAAATTAAAAACCTGAATAGATCCATAATGAGTTCTGAAATTGAATCTGTAATAAAAAGCCTACCAACCAGAAAGAAACCCTAGATCAAACGGACTCACAGCTAAATTCGACTATATATATAAAGGAGAGCTGGTATCAGTCTTACTGAAACTATTCCAAAAAGTCATGGAGGAGGGAATCCTCCCTAAATCATTCTATGAGGCCAGCATCATTCTGATACCAAAACCTAGCAGAGACACAAGAAAAAAATTTCAGGCCAATATCTCTGATAAACATGGATGCAAAAATCCTCAACAAAATACTAGCAAATCAAATCCAGCAGCACGTGATAAAGCCCATTCACCACCATCAAGTAGGCTTGATCTCTGGGAGGCAAGGTTGGTTTAACGTATGCAAATCAATAATGTGATTCATCACATAAACAGAACTAAAACACAAAACCACATGATCATTGCAATAGATGCAGAAAATAATTTTAATAAAATCCAACATCCTTTTCTGTTAAAAACCCTCAATGAACCAGGCATCTAAGAAACATACCTCAGAACTGTAAAAGTCCTTTATGACAAATCTGTAGCCAACATCATATTGAACAGGCAAAAGCTGGAAGCATTCCCCTTGAAAACCAGAGCAAAACAAGGATGCCCACTTTCACCACCCTTATTCAACATAGTACTGGAAGTCCTAACCACACCAATCAGATAACAGAAAGAAACAAAGGCATCACAATAGGATTAGAAAAAGTCAAACAATCCCTGTTTGCAGACAATATTATTCTATATTTGGAAATCACCATCGTCTCTGCTCAAAGTCTTCTGGATATGATAAACATCTTCAGCAAAGTTTCAGGATTCGAAATCAATATACACGTATCAGTAACATTTCTATACACCAATAACATCCAAGTGGAGAGCCAAATCAAGAATGCAATCCCATTCACAAAAGCCACAAAAAGAATAAAATACCTAAGAATACAGCCAATTAGTGATGTGAAAGATCTCTACAATGAGAATTACAAAACACTGATGAAAGACAGCACACACAAATGGAAGAAGAGTTCATGCTCATGGATAGGTACAATCAATATCATGAAAATGACCATGCTACCTAAAGCAATTTAAAGATTAAATGCTATTCCTATCAAAGTACCAATCATATTTTTCACAGAATTATAAAAAAAAACTATTCTAAAATTTATTTGGAACCAGAAAAGAGCTCATATAGCCAAAGCAATCCTAAGCAAAAGACAAAAAAAAAAATGACAACAACAAAAACACAGTCACAAGCATCAAACTATCTGACTTCAAAGTGTACTACAAAGTTACCATAATTAAAACAGCATAGTACTGGAACAAAAGCAAACACATAGATCAATGGAACAGAGTAAACAACCCAGAAATAAAGCCAAACACCTGCAGCCATCTGATCTTCAACAAATTTGACAATAACAAGCTATGAAGAAAGGACCCTCTATTCAATAAATGCTGCTAGAATAACTAGCTAGCCATATGCAAATTACTGAAATTGGACCCCTTTCTTTTACCATATAGAAAAATTAACTCAAGATGAAGTAAAGACTTATATGTAAATCCTAGCACTGTAAAAACCCTAGAAGAAAATGTAGGAAATACAATTCTGGACATCAGCCCTGGCAAAAACTTGATGACAAGGACTCCAAAAGTAATTGCAAAGAAAACAAAAATTAACAAATGAAACTTAATTAAACTAAAGAGCATCTAGACAGCAAAGGAAACTATCTATAGAGTAAACAGACAGCCTACAGAATGGGAGAAAATATTTGCAAACTATGCACCAGACTAAGATTTAATATACAGAATCTATAAGGAACTTAAATAAGTCAACTAGCAAAAAACAAACCAACCTATTAAACAATGGGCAAAGAACATGAGCAGATACTTCTCAAAAGGAGTCATATATGCAGCCAGCAAGCATATGAAAAAATGCTCAATATCCCTAATGGAAATGCAAATCAAATGGAAATGCAAATCCAAACCACAGTGAGATGCTATCTCACACCAGTCAGAATGACCATTATTAAAAAGTCAATAAATAGCCGATGTTGGCAAGGTTGCAATGAAAAGGGAATGTTTGTGCACTGTTGGTGGGAATGTAAATTATTTCAGTCATTGTGGAAAGCAGCCTGGAGATTTCTCAAATAACTTAAAACAGAACTACCCTTAGACACAGCAATTCCATTCCTGGGTATATATCCAAAGGAAAATAAATTGTTCTACCATAAAGACACATGAATGCGTATGTTAATCACAGCACAATTCACAATAGCAAAGAATCAACCTAGATGTCCATCAACAGTGGACTGGATCAATAAATGTGGAATTTATACACTATGGAATACTACACAGCCATAAAAAATGAAATCACGTCCTTTGCAGCAACATGAATGGAACTGGAGGCCATTATTCTAAGGAAATTAATGAAGAATCAGAAAACCAAATACCATATATTCTCACTTATAAGTGGAAGCTAAATATTGAGTACACATGAACTCAAAGAAGGGAACAATACACACTGGGGCATACTTAAGGGTACAGAGTGAGAGGAGAGTGTGGATTGTAAAACAATCTATAATTTATTATGCCTATTACCTGGATGACAAAATTACGCATACATCAAACCCCTGTGACACACAATTTGCCCATCTAACAAACTTGTGTATGTACTCCTTGAACCTCAAATAAAACTCGGAAGGAAAAAAAATAAATAAAAGTTTCTGGACCCAATCGTTGTTGGCTTTCCTAAGAATGTATACTTATTTGGAGAATATTATATTCATTTTTGAAGCCTCATTGCCATTTCCAAGGTAACATGAAAAGTCCCACCAAACCTTGTTATGTATATAAGATACCTATGCTAAAATTTAGTGGAATTTAAGCAAACTACTCCTCATTTTAAACATACTTATCCAGACTTGTATAAGCTATACATATTAATGTATTTCCTTGACCAACCTCCAGGCTTGCTAGTTTTTCAACAGAGCAAACATCATATCTGTAACTTTTCTATATGCCTCTGGTCCAGTCTGTTTTTCCCAGTCTATGAAAATTTATTGTTTTTACAGTGTAATGCAGAGATCCTCCCCCATGTATCACACATGATTGATAAATTCACTTATAAGACAAAGTTTCATGGACTTACTCAGGGGTATAAACAATTTCCAATGGGCTAATAATAATTTCCTCTTTTTCTTTCACTCAAGACAGCATATTAGATCATAAAGAGTGAGCAATATTATTAAATAAGATATCTTAAAATTGCTCTTATTTACTAAAAATAATTTTCAAATGTTGATACTTTTTATTAGTACTAAATTATTTGTGACATATGTCACTACTCATCACAACACACAGTTCAGAAACTGCTGGTCTAAACCAAGAAACTTAGTGCTTTACATTCTCTGGTTTTGTTTCTCAACAAAATTGCAGGTTTTCCTACAGGCAGGATTTGTAGTTGATATATATTTGGTCTTTCATAAATTGTATTTTAGATAGCTAAATAGATAGATAGGTAGAGATATATATATTGAGAGAAATAGTATTTCCAACGACATACATAGTGAAGTGCTCAGTACTTTAGTTAAAATTGGAGCCTAGTCTTAAGCCAAGAGTGACTAGAAAAGAGTTGTGTATGGGGTCTAAGCAAAGGTAATAGCATATGCAGAGGCCCAGAGGCATTTTAGAGCATGTCACATTCAAGAAGCAAAAGATGCGCAGTGGATCTGGGGTAATGGGTATTAATTCAAGAGTAACTAGAGAGGTTAAATCATAAAAGGCCTTGTTTTTATAGCCTCAAAATATTATTCTTGTTAAGGAAAGATAGGGATTTGACATTGATTTGGCTTTAGTCACACCTTCCAAATTACTGTTTTAGGATAAGGAAATGCTCAGGAGCTTTATATTTTTTCATACATTTATTCATATTTATTGAGTACCTACTATGTGTTAGTCACAGTTGCATAGGCACCATGAGTAAGATATAGTCCCTATAGTCCCTGGCATTGATAAATTTACATTCTATCAGAAGGGGGAATATTATTAAACAATTACATTATGCATCATGCTATGTTAGGGGAAGAATAGGGTGATATAAAAGCACATGACAGGGGATCTAAATGCTGACTTGATGAGGCTGGCCATGGAAAGCTTCCTGAAGGAAGTGACACTCAAGCTGGGGCCTAAAAGATGAAAGAGTGGGAGTGGTGGGTGGGGTCTAAGCAAAGGTAATAGCATATGCAGAGGCCCAGAGGCATTTTAGAGCGTGTCATATTCAAGGAGCAAAAGATGCACAGTAGATCTGGGGTAATGGGTATTAATTCAAGAGTGACTAGAGAGGTTAAATCATAAAGGACCTTATAAGTCAAGCTAATAAATTTGGAAGCAATGCATGCAATTGTAAGATTTTAATTAGAGATATGACAATATTATATTTACACTAAAGACATCACTGTGGCTGCTAGGGGTGAATTGATTGAAAGAGGGTAGGATTGGAGGAAGGAAAACCAGTTAAGAGGTCCCTTCAGTTCTTACAGGGAATCTTGGCAGTGCATCACAGCATCCACTACCAGTGTCTTTCTTGAAATAATTATTCTATGAGATATTAATCAGTGTTTCAAGAAGAAAAATGACTTCTGTGGTCAACTAAGTTTAGCAAATCCTAGGCTAAACAAGTTTTTTTTTAACTGGAAGAATTTTCAGAAATTTAAATATGCTGTTTTAAATGGTGAATTGTGATTCTCCAAGGGTGGGATAGAATAGGTAGAAGATAGCAACCACAAGTGACCAGAAGGCACATGTTTTGAGGAATATCCCTTATGCATAGTAGTACTGAACATCAGTTTAAACAATGCTGTTTCAGAGGCAACGGCAATTAAGATAATAATGATGCAGACATAATTTTTCATAGGCTTTTAAAACTTTTATCTCTTCAGTGTGTCCAGATTATTTTCACTCCTTCAAAACCAGCTGCCTTTATAGATTCCTCATGTAGCCTATTGCTTTTCAGCTGGCACTCCAATTCCATGATAACTAAAGTAAGTGGAGATTCATTGTTCACTCTGTGTTTTCTATTAAGCTTCCTTCAAAATTTGGCATGTTTTCTTTCCACATGTGATTTGTTGTATATTACCTTTTTTTTTTTTTTGCATCAATTGTCTTCATTACACCTAAGTGTCCTAAAATGTTTTGTAGGTTGAGTTCTTTCAAAAGTAAACTGAGCTTGAACTAAGCATTCAGGAAATTTATCATGCAATATTCTCAGGATCAGCAACTGTTCAAGAAAAGAGAAAGGAAGGGAAAAAAATAAAAAAGAAAAGAAAACAAAAGTGGGCAGAGAGAAAAGTTGAGCTGTGGCATAGCCTCAGTGAAGGCATCGGCTAACACCATTTGAGTTGTGAAACTGAGATATCTTTTTACGGTTGTCTCACATTGTGGTGAATAGTCAGGGCATTTTACTTCAGTCTCGATCAGTCCTTGAATGCAGGCTGTCCCTGGGAAGGGGTTATGAACTTAAGAGAGGCAGTTCTCTCTAGCTATTGGCAATTTTTAGAGAGAGCTGGCAGCTGAGTGCAGTCAGCCAGAAGTATTCCCAGAAACTGGGGGAACGAGCCCTTCAGTTCTTACAGGGAATCTTGGCAGTGCATCACAGCATCCACTACAAGTGTCTTTCTTGAAATAATTATTATATGAGATATTAATCAGTGTTTCAAGAAGAAAAATGACTTCTATGGTCAACTCAGTTTAGCAAATCCTAGGCTAAACAAGTTTTTTTTTTTAAGTGGAAGAATTTTCAGAAATTTAAATATGCTGTTTTAAATGGTGAATTGTCACTCTCCAAGGGTGGGATAGAATAGGTAGAAGATAGCAACCACAAGTGACCAGAAGGCACATGTTTTGAGGAATATCCCTTATGCATAGTACTACTGAACATCAGTTTAAACAATGCTGTTTCAGAGGCAACGGTAACAGGAAAAGTACTATGGGGATCATTGGGATGGGGATCTGGAGCTCTAGTATCTCAGATTTTGTCTCAACCAACATGACAAAGCACTTGTCATGGTTCAATTATTAGCAAGATCTATTACCTGTGATTAGATTGCTGTAGACTATTAAATCTGATCCGTGACTAAATCAAACAGGACTTATCTATTAATGAAAGTCTAACTTAGTATGAAGACAAAGTATTTGCTTTATTGTTGACTACACTTCTTCTCATTCTGATGAGTTTATAGGGTAAATATTTCATGTTTTGAAAATCGACACTGATGACAAAAAAATACAATGTTGTTTTCTTTTTTTTATTTATTTATTATTATTATACTTTAAGTTTTAGGGTACATGTGCACAATGTGCAAGTTAGTTACATATGTATACATGTGCCATGCTGGTGCGCTGTACCCACTAACTCGTCATACAATGTTGTTTTCAAGAAAAACCTGTCATGCAATGGTATTATTGTATGACACAAGGAGGCCTTGTAAAGAATTCAGAATAAACTGTAACTTTTCTCAGTGTAACTCCATGTCAGCTTTTGCATCTCTGTGATTATCGATTCAGTTGATAGATCTATTTTCTCACTGACCTCCACTTGAAATAGTTCTCACTTTAAGATGTCTGCTTATCTGACTTCTACATAAATCAATTCAGATTGTGTTAGGATCAGATAAAAGGCAGTTTCAGGAAGGAAAAAGAAACTCTCCATTGAAATATGCTACCTGTGCTTAAGAAAGTTCATGGATAGAAAGATATAAGACTCCAAGTATACATACTGTTGGCTCTCCATATCTGTGGGTTCTACAATCATGAGTTCAACCAAGCATGGACTGAAAATATTTGAAAAACAACAATAAAAAATAATGTAAATGAAAATACAGTACAACAACTAGTTATATAGCATTTACATCGTATTAAGTATTATAAGTAATATAAAGATGATTTAATATATACAGGAGGAGGCACATAGGTTATATGCAAATACTATGCCATTTTATATAAGGAATTGTTCATACAGGGATTTTGGTATCCACGGGGAGTCCTGGAACAAATCTCCCACAGATACTGAGGGACGATAGTACCTTTAAAAGTTAGAGATAAGTATTTAACCTTAGAAATGGCAAAATGGCCTGAATGCCAACTATCTGACACTACATTTGTTCTACGCATCCTAATATTAAGCTTTCTCAACATAAGTAGAAAGTGACATATGACTTTGAACAGAAATTTTCAGTATCACACAGATGTGTGTGTGTGTGTGTGTGTGTGTGTGTAGAGGGAAAGAGACACACAAAAAAGAGAGAGGTGAAGAGGTGGAAAAAGAGAGAACCATGCATAATGGTAACTTAGGTTACTGCTACAGGAGTTTATGAATGGCTTAAAGCTTGGCTGGCAAAATCATTGTATTATATTTTGAAATTTAACTGCATTGCTCTAAGGGCCTAATATGCTGATATTTGGTTTGTCAGAGGTTATTCCACGTTTTCTGTCAACCTGAGTTTGTTAATCTTGAGCAGTAGGATTTTCTTTTATTTGGTTGTTTTTTTCAGTGTCAGTGTCTTTTCCTGACCATTTTCATTTTAAAAAATAGTGCCTAAAAATGGACTTTCTTCAGGCTATATTTTATTATTGCAGGAACCACCTGGAAAAAAGAACTTAATTGATTAGGACTCCGCTAAGTTGAAATACAAATGAAGTTATACATTCATAAGTACACAGGCTCTTTTTGAAGCTATCCAAGACAAGATAAACTACAGTTTAGGAAAGTACAAAAAAGGTTTTTAACAATAAATGAATTATTCATGTTTTTTTGGGATGTGCTGTGCAGAGGTCTGGCAACCAACTCTTTTCCAGTCAAAAACGACTTTTGATTGATGATGTGCTGTCTGCATAATCCTGATCCTTTCATCTTTTTCATAGCAGTCATTGAGTGGGACCAGCACATTTATAAGAAATAGCAATAGGAAAAATCTAGAATATCAGAAATCTGGGGAGGGGCATCAATAAAGTCATAAGTTGCCTTGCAGAAAGCAACCGTGGCTTTAGCCCCCTTGACCACTATTTTCCTTTCCAAAGAAATAAACTGCTGTTTATATCAAAATATCATCACTCTCCTTTTATTCCCACTCTCAATCCCACCCAGAAAGAATAAAGGAATTGGTTAAGATAGTTTCCCTGCATTGTAAACATTCTTTTTATTTTCTACTTTTATTTTTTAAATTTTTATAGGTAAATAAGGTGTATATATTTATGAAGTACATGAGATGTTTTGATACAGGCAAGCAATGTGAAATAAGCACATCATGGAGAAGAAAGTATTCATCCCCTCAAGCATTTATCCTTTGAGTTACAAACAATTGTGCTGGTACCTAAGATGCAAGTCAAAGTCCCCTTTACTTTTCCCTCTGCTTTTCTCAAGCTGAAGGAGTTTTGCCCCATAGCCACTGCAACTGGTAGTGTGCTGAGTCTCACCTGAAGCCAGGAAGTATCAGAGGCTTACCCAAGGCCCTTGGGGCAGTATCTGGGTATCGCTGCTGGTTATTCAGGGCCAAAGGGCTCTTCAGTTAGCAGGTGATAAATGCTGCTGGGACTGGGTGCTTTCCTTCAAGACAGCAGGTTACTTTCTGCCCCAGGGTGTGTCTAGTAATGTTTTCTGGGAGCTACACCCTGTAACAGGGGCCTCACCGAATCTGACTTATCGTGCTGTGGCTGAAATGGTAACCAAGATCTGTAACAGGGGCCTCACCGAATCTGACTTATCGTGCTGTGGCTGAAATGGTAACCAAGATCCAACACACAGTGCCCCCTACTCTTCCCCCTTCTCTGCTCAGGTGGATGGAAGGGGTCTCTTTTGGAGCTGTGAGCTGTGCAGCCTAGAATTAGGGCAGTGGTGATGCCAGCACTCCCTTGGCTGCCCCATCTGGTGTCTCAGTAAGTTGTGTGTTCCCCCAGTCCAGTGTCTCTCAACCTAGTTCAGCACTAGGACTCACCTAAGATTTGCAGTCCTTATGGCCTAGACTGCCTTTCAAGTTTACTCAGAGACACAAAGCACCATAACTCTAGGTGATGAGGTTTGTGGAAATTCAAGTTCAGACCACTGGGACTGGTAATTCCCCTAAGGCCAGGGCTGGTTTAAATGAACCCTCAGCGAGCAGGAGTCATCTGAGTTTGATTCAGTTTTCCTTTCTGCTGTAACTGGACATCATAGAATTCAATACCTCACAATTGCTGTTCTCTCCCTCCCCCAGGGCCAAGAAATACTCTCCACACCACCAAGCACCCCTACTCAGGGTGGGGGAGGCATGGCATCTGCAATTTAGGACTGGTTTTTTTGTTTTTTAAAAATCTATTCAGTGCCTCTTTTAGTGATATAAAGTTAAAACCAAGTACTCTGAGTGTTCACCTGATTTTTGGTTCTTATGAAGGTGTTTATTCTGTGCAGATAGTTGTTAAATTGGTGACCTTGCTGGGGGAACAATTGGTGGAGCCTTGTATTCTGCCACCATGCTCTGCCCAGAGGTTCTTAATGTTTGTTTGTTTTAGCTTTACTAGAAATTCCCCTTTATGTAATGTATTAATTTTTTCTTTGAGACAGAGTGTCACTCTGTCGCCCAGGCTGGAATGCAGTGGCACGATCTCAGCTCACTGCAACCTCCACCTCATGGGTTCAAGTGTGAGCCACTGAGCCCGGCCTATGTATTGTATTAATTTGATCCATAAAACCTGGACAATAGAAAATCACAACATTCATTAGACCAAAGATGATCACCAAAATTTAAAAATAAAGAGATTTCTTAACACTAGTGCAGCAGCTCTTAGCACTAATGCAGGTGAGTCCAGACTTTCAAATAACCAACTTACACAAGACATACACAAACAGGATTCTGAGCCTTAATTTTTCTATTCTCAGTCTGAAGTCCTGATGTTACTTATTAATCAAGACATATGGTAAAAAAAATCTTAGAACTTTTAGAAATTATTCAGGTTCAGTTGTAGAAGAAAAGAAAGAACTGTTAATGGCAGACACAGTTTCAGAGAATAGATTTCAGGACAAATTCCCAGAAAAATCCAGCCTACCTGTGGTTGGTCGCCTGCCCTAGATTTTGCCTCCTCCTTCCTACTGCCTTTCTACTTTTATTTTAATTTGTCCTACTGCCTGAATTAGGGATTGGGGACATATATTTTGGAAATGAATGTAACTCTTGGAGAATTACACTTTGACATGAATTAATTCAATAATA
Source organism: Homo sapiens (assembly GCF_000001405.40). Lineage (NCBI taxonomy): Eukaryota > Metazoa > Chordata > Mammalia > Primates > Hominidae > Homo > Homo sapiens. The sequence continues at coordinate 116,347,863 of NC_000023.11, forward strand.
TACATTGCTCCCGATTAACTGTCTAAGATCAGCTGCTCTGTTTTATTGGGATAATAAAAAGTAATTAATTTTGGCACAATGCTGAAGGGGGAAATTCATGGCCACACAAAGTGAAGAACTTCTAAAAGGAGGAACAATAATAAATGTTTTAACAGGATATGAAGCAACCATTCTTTCCCCTTTTATCACCATTTCCCAATCAAATACCACATGATCCTTTACTTCCTACAACTCAAAATTCCATAAAATATGTTTAATATAGCTATATTGTTAGCTAAGTAATTATCTGCCATTTAGCCAAGTAAATTGATAATCACTGACAAAATTGTCTGTTAATTCGTGGTCATAAGTAATTATCATAGTTGTTAAAATACTCAAAGTCTGCATGTCCAGCACTTTCTCTCCCTATAAGCATTTACATGGAACCCAAGTCAGAAAGTTGGCAGGAGAGAGAGAGCAAATGTGAAGGAGGAACTGTCAAACACTTATAAAACCATCAGATCTCATGAGAACTCCTTCACTATCACAAGAACAGCATGGGGGAAACCGCCCCCATGATCCAATCACCACCCACCTGATCCCTCCCTCAACAGCTGGAGATTACAATTTGAGATGAGATTTGGATGGGGACATTACTGAAAATGGAATAAAACAAGGGTTTGAAGGGAGCTAAACAATTCTCTAATTCAGTCCTTTCTGATACCACTCAAATGTTTAAACCCTTATTTATGTATTTCTCTCCTGAAAAGAAGTCTCTGTCTGCACTCTCAAATAGGTTTTTATATGATTAAATGAGAATTCAAATAGCTAATTGCTGCTTTTAATCAGGTTTTCCTGACTTGTTTTGGACATAGGTGCAATTTTATTTATTTTTATGTTCAGCTGAATGATGAAATTAAACTTCAGCTCAGCTTCAATGCAAATATGAACTTCATATGATGTGCCCTATCCTGTGCTAAGTGCTACAACAGACCTAAAGCCATTGTATCAGAAAGGGTTAGTTCACCATTTAGTCACAATCCCTACTGCCCAGGTCAAATCTAAGTAGCTCCTTGGGCATGATTCCTGCTGGCCCTTCCTTGGACATGCCATGTAATTTGTAGTTTACCGTGCATTTTTGGTAGCTTGTGACAATCCAATGCTGTGGAATGGAAGAATTCATTGTCACCATCAGGAGACAAGCAGACTTAATGGGTCAGGTTCTTCAGCTAGCAGAGGACAATGTGAAATCAAAGCCATTTCAAAGCCTAGGAAAATTGAACTTTTTTTTCAACTTGACAGCTTCTAGACTCAGACCTGGTGTATATGAAATTAAAGCTAATAGATGTCTTCACTTAAAAAGTAAGGTTGAGATTTCTGATTAATCTATTGATGGGTGAGCAAAATTAGGACAAATCCTATCTATCCTAGGATAGCCCACTGGATGTAGCTATAAACGTTCTAGAACTGTACTCAAGGAGGTGTTCAGTGATCCAAGGAAATATTAAGACATCAAGCCACCAAATTAGTGCCTCAATTGAAGGCTGAGGTTTAGTTTTGGGACATACAGGGTCAGTTGGAATGAAAACCTGGGATGTGGATTGATTCAATGCTTTCCTGAGGGATGAGTTTCAGGAAGTAACTCATTCTGGGTTTAGACTCCCCAGGTGAAAGTATCTGCAAGCTTCTAAATTGAGGACTAACTGAATTTCTAATACAAAACCCTCTACCAAATGAACCACTATTTCTAATAACCCAACTATCTCTCCATACTGGCATATGCTTCCTCAAGTGACAATCAACTGATAGTCAGCTCATGCCATTTAACCCTGCTATCTACAACTATATTTATCTCTTTCTTTTCTTTGACAAACTCAATTATAGAGTCAATACATGCTGCCTGTCTCCATTTCTTCTCCACTTTTCTTCTTTTTTTTTTTAACAGATGACTTCTACCCTTGCCATTCCATTGAAATAGCCTTCTCTAAGGTTGCCAGATATTTTATGTATTTAACTCTTTTCCTCTGTCTTTTTTTTTCATTCTCATCACTGCACTATCCTTTTCCTTTACCTATCTCTGCTAATTTTTCTGTCTCCTTCACTATTACTTTCCTGTTCCCCTTCTTAACTATTGGAGACCTGCAGTCCTAATCTTTTTGTTTGTTGGCTTTTCACTCTCTGAGAAACTTAAGCCATTCTAATGGCTTCAATTATCAGTTTTATGCAACTGATTCTCATATCTTGATCTCTCTTTTTGATATTTCTCCCCAATTCCAATCTCATTAATGTAGCTAACGGGCAGTTCTATTTTTACATTTTGATGTCCACTTCACAAAGAGATTCACATAGAACCTGGATGAGAGAATAGAGAATCAAGGGAAGGACAATTGATACAATTTTTCAAGTAATAGGGAACCTAAGAGTTAAAACATATAATTTCTAAGTTGAATATCAAACTATGTTATTATTCTTGTGCTTATCCTTAAATGAACTTGAGTATTTTAATAAGGCTTCACTTTCTTTCAGTTTCTCTGTGAAAACAAAGCTATTCACATTCTGAGTCAGCCAAAGGTGGTTTCTTATAGACTATATATATATATGTGTATATATATATATATATATATATATATAGAGAGAGAGAGAGAGAGAGAGACTATATATATATAGAGAGAAAGACTATATATGTTATGGTTTTGCTCTGTGTTCCAACCCAAATCTTGTCTCGAATTGTAATCCCCACGTGTCAAGGGAGAGACCTGAGGGGAGGTGATTAGATCCTGGGGTGAGAACTCCTTCAGTATCACAAGAACAGCATGAGGGAAACCTCCCCCATGATCCAATCACATCCCACCTGATCCCCCCCTGGACACCTGAGGATTACAATTTGAGAAGAGATTTGGATGGGGACATGGAGGTAAACCATATCACCCTCCCATCACAGACCCAGAGGCCTATGGGGAAAAATGGTTTTGTGGGCTGAGCCCAGGGCCCTGCTGCTCTGTGCGGCCTTAGGACATTGTGCCCTGTGTCCCAGCTGCTCCAGCTGCAGCCATTGCTAAAGGGGGCCCATGAACAGCTCAGGCCATTGCTTCTGTAGTTGCAATCCCCAAGGCTTGGGAATTTCTACATGGTGTTGAGCCTCTGGGTGTGCAGACGGCAAGAATTGAGGGTTGGGAACCTCTGCCTAGGGAAACGTGGGGTTGGAGCTCCCACACAGTGCCCCACTGGCACAATGCCTGTGAGAAGAGGGCTGCTGTCCTCCAGACCCCAGGATGGTAAATCCACTGAGAGATTTCACTGTGCCTGGAAAAACCACAGGTACTCAATGCCAGCCCATGAAAGTAGCCATGGGGACTAAACCCTGCAGAGCCACAGGGGCAGAGCTGCCTTGGGAGCCCACCCTTTGCATCAGCATGCCCTGGATGTGAGACATGAAATCAAAGGAGATTATTTTGGAGCTTTAAGATTTAATGAGTGCCTTGCCAGGTTTCAGATGTGCATGCGGCCTGTGGCTCCTTTGTTTTGGCCAATTTCTCCCATTTGGAAAGGGATCACTTAACTAATGCCTGTATCCCCATTGTATCTTGGAAGTAACTAACTTGTTTTTGGTTTTGCAGGCTCATAGGCAGAAGGGATTTGCCTTGTCTCAGATGAGACTTTGGACTTAGGCTTTAGAGTTAATGCTGCAATGAGTTAAGGTTTTGGGGGACTGTTGGGAAGGCGTGATTGGTTTTGAAATATGAAAAGGACATGAGATTTTGGAGGGGCCAGGGATGGAATGATATTGTTTGGTTTTGTGTCCCCACCCAAATCTCATCTTGAATTGTAACCCCCATAATCCCCACGTCAGAGGGACCTGGTGGGAGGTGATTGGATCGTGGAGGCAGTTTCCTCCATACCCTTCTGGTGATATTAAGGGAGTTCTCATGAGATCAGATGGTTTAAAAGTGGCAGTTTTCCCTGTGTGCTCTGTCTCTCCTGCCACCTTGTGAAGAAGGTACTTTCTTCCCCTTCACCTTCCACCGTGATTGTAAGTTTCCTGAGGCTGACCCAGCCATGTAGAACTGTGAGTCAATTAAACCTCTTTTCTTTATAAATTACCCAGTCTCAGGTACTTCTTCACAGCAGGGTGAGAATGGGCTGGTACCCTAACCATGGTAGGAGGTATGGGAAATTCTGTCTAGGCAATCATGTGGTCCAAGGCCAGGAACATCAGAACTTAGTACTTTATAGGGGGTAGTTTTCTGATAATTATTTTTTGCTTCTCTTATTATTTTATATTCAGGTTTCTAAAAATTTGTTTTCAATTTATTTTAGCAGTTTAAATTGTGTTAAGAAAAATAATTAATTATGATATGATTTTAAAATTTATTGCACAGTACATTGGTGTCTCATCATATTGTGGAGGGGTTGGTTCCTATGTTCTAATGTCAGCACTTAAGGTAAAATTATATTTGGGCAAAATTATCCTTTAAAATCCCTTAAATTGCTGTGACCTGGGCCCCTGAAAGTTAAAATTACAGGAATTAATTAATTTTGTTTCTCTTTGCATTTTAGTTGTGGCTTCCCTTTTCCTGGAGCTAGAGAGGGCAAACTCAATTTTGGTCTAGTAAAGGGAAGTTGGGGAATTGAAATGCTGTAGTTTAAATTTGTTTATGGCAAGGCCTCACTTCTCTAGGATAAATTCCTAGAGTGAAATTTTTAGTGAAACTTCTGGGTCAAGGAATCTGTGAAGTTTAAATGTTGATATATAATGCCTGCCTTCCAAAGTAACAATTTCAAAATCCTAATAAGTTTTGTTAAAGTAAATTAAAATGGAGTCCAGGCCTAAAAAATCCCTACATAGACAAAGCTAGTTAGGTCTCATCAGTGATCCTAACCTTGCTTGATTCACAAATGTAAGAGGAACTTGGACAATTTCTTATGATGGCCTATATCAAAGAAAAATGAAACCTAAGCTCTACCAATCAGAAGTCTACAACAAACCTATCTAAGGGAACTTTACAGCAGTAGAGGCCAAATAAGGCAACTGTAAAACTAATGAATCAAATATTTTCTTTGCTTTAGTTTATGTTTATCTTTTAAAATTTTCCCTTTGTGTTCTCTCAGCAGAGACCCTGAAGCACTTCTGGTTTGGACCTGCCCAATAGCTGTTTTCTCTATAAACTCTGTAAAGTTGTATTGTGCCTCAGACAGATGGTATGAACATACTTGTTCCCTCACACCCTCACCAACACTATATTTCTCAAACATTTTAATCCTTGCAAATATGAAAAATTATTTATTTAAATTCACCTTTCTTTGATTGTGGGTGAAGCTTAATATCACTTAACAGTTATAAACCACGAGAAGCAATATAGTATGTTGGCTAAAAGCATATCATATCTTAACTCCCCGATGAAGCTGGAAAACATTACTTAACTTCTCCATCCATGCCTTAGTTTCTTCATCTTTACAATTGGAAAAATTATAATATACACCTCAAAGGGTAGTTTAAGAATAGAAGAAATTAATCATGCATATGTAAAATTCTTAGAAGATCCCTGACATGAGGCGAATGATCTTTAAATATTATTTATTATTTTAAAAAATCAACTACCTGTCCACATATATTCCCCTTTTTCTATTTTTTTAATTAAAATATTTTATCTGTCATGAATATCACTTATTTCCTCCATTCTGTAATTTGACCTTTATTTTTGATTATGGTATATACATTTTGAGTTTTACATTGACATTTACATTTTTGATCCATTTGGTATTTATTTTGGCGTAAGACACTTGTTAAATACATAGCTGTATTTTTTCTCACAAAGGCAGTCAGCTCTTCCAACATAATTTATTTGACATTCCACCATTTATCCACTGATTTTAATTAACATGTCCGAGACTAAATACCTATGCCATTTACATTTATTTCTGTACCCTCTCTTGTGTTTCACCACTGTGTCCGTCCCTTAATCACAGTATAAAAATGTTTTAATTACTGTAGCTTTATGATACATTTTAGATAAGGTAAGTTTAGCCTTTACTATCCTGGGTATTTTCTTGGGTATAATCATGTACTTTTTTTTAACCTGCAGAACCAGCTTACCTAGTTCCAAAAATATGCTCTCAGTATTTGTATTGAGATTCTTTTAGGAGATTTTATTTCCTGTTCATAAACAAGACATATCGTTAAATTTATTTATATTTATCCACAAACAAGGTATATATTGATTAAGTTATTTTTATGTTTTTAATAGGACTTAAACTTTTCTTCCTTGTGCACTTGTTATTTTTCCTAGAAGTTTTATCTTTTGCTTTTTAATTGCCTACATAGCTATGTGTATATTCCTTTTCTCATTCCTTACTTTGCATATTTGATATTTTTGTATAATATACTTGACTAGGCTAGCGAGAGCATTATACATTTTACTGGAATTTTCACAGAACTACATATTATAGTACTTATTGTTTTTTTCTGCTCTCTAAATCATATGTTTATGATTTAATCTTTTCTAAGTATTTCTGTTTTCCTTGGATCTGTTTTGTCTTTTGTTTGCTCTTTTGAGTTCGGGTCTAGGTAATATGTTGTTACTCTTAATAGTTAATACAAAGAGCATTTATAAATATAAATTATTGTAAGTATAGCTTGTAAGTAGTATTTTTTCTTTTCCCCTTTGAGCAATAAGTTATTTAAAAGTTTATTATTTTCATAATTCAATTTTCTAGAATTTTTGTTTATTTTCATTTTTATTGCTTTGTGGTCAGATAATGTGATCTGTATATTTTGTGTTTTAGGAAAATAGTCATAGTCTAATCAATCAGAAAGAAGTTGCACTTTTATTCTGTAAGGTACAATGTTCTATATCTAATAAATAATCTTATTAGTGTTCTTATTTATATTATTTACTCTTGTTTAATTCTTTTTTTTTATGAGACAGACTCTCACCATGTTGCCTAGGCTACAGTGCAGTTGTCATAGCTCATGGCAGCCTTGAGCCCCTGGACTCAAGTGATTCCCCAGCCTCAGCCTCATGAGTAGCTCAAACTACAGGCACAATACATCACACTGGCGAATTTTTAAAAATTTTTTGTAGAGACAGGGTCCCGCTGTGTTGCCAAGGCTGGACTCAAATTCCTGGCCTCAAGCAATCCTCTTTCCTTGGTCTCCCAAAGTGCCGAGATTACAGGCAAGAGCAACCACACCCAGCCTTGTTTATTTCTTGTGCATTTGAGAGACGTGATTTAAAAATCTGATTCTACCATGTACTGTTTTGTAGCATTGGGCAAATTACATAATCTTTTTCTAACTCATTATTAAATTGAGCCCAGCTCATGTTATGTTTGAAGGTTATGAAGGCCGCAGAGTTTAATGTACATTGTGTATACATCATATAAAGTGTTTTGCATGCTGCTTAAAACACAGTAAATAATTTTATCTAAAAATTATTTGCTCATCTTTTTTGTCACTGTCTTATTTTGATTTTTAACCCAATGTGAAGATCTTTGTTCTTTAATAGATTAATTTTTTTCAGTGTTATTTTCATTTTAATGGACTCCTCCTTCCTTCCTTCCTTCTTTCCTTCCTTCCTTCCTTCTGAAACTCATTTTCTCTTTATACTATTTTCTATATTTTACCACATAGAATATGTTGTGTATCTTGTCCAAGATCACACAGCACATGGTAGATTCAGGATTTCAATCCATGTCTTCCTGAATACAAATCCCACACTATTTCCAAAAGTCCAAATAGCTTCATAATAATAATGACTTCTTAGAGTTATAAGGAGGAACAAATAAAATTAGGTTTGCAAGTGGCCTAGCACAGTGCCGTGTTTGTTTCTTCTTTCTTCTCTTTTTTTACTATTGTGCCCTACAATGACAACCCATAGTTTTAAGAGCCTCTCTAAGGTATAGCATGGTGAACAATGCCACTGCTTTTCAATTCTCTTTCTTGACCCCAGAGTTTTCAGCGATAGCCTATCACTTAACAAATACAGATGGGAAATTAGTTCATCCCTGAATTATAAATTTCTTTGTTTTTATTGCCATATTTCATCAATTCTGAAATGCGTATTTTTTAGATTTTAATAGCTTTTATATTAGAATGGACCTTATAATTAGTGGTGTCTTACAACTACAATTGGAAGTGTTTTTCCTTTCTTTCTTAGTGGCACTTTGAATGATAATGTGTTTTAGAATCAATGTCTGTTTAGATTCAATGAAATATGATATGAACAAGTCAATACATTATAGATATGTAACATATTTTATGAAGTTTAGCCCCTCTCTAGAAGATATCTTAAAATTATATAAATAAAATTATGTGTGAAATCATTTTATTGGTGAGGAAACTGAGACCTTTTTTCTACGTTCATACAGTCTCTGACTGTCTCTTCTGAGCATTGCTGAATTTAATTATTTCCTGTCCCTACTTACTGACACTTTTTCATTCATTTCTCTCTATCTCATACATGAATTCAGTCCACCACTTACTTTTATATTATTTCCTGTCAATTCTATTAGTATATGGATTTCTAGTCTATCCCGAATGAATATTTACAAAGCTTCTTCATAAAGTACAAAGGGGCATACAAAATTAACATAATGACAGACAGAAAGTCATTAATCACATTTTTATTTTTTATGCTTCTGACCTTTTCAATCTCCTTAGCACATATTCAAAACTCTCTGAACATAGTAGGTGCTCAGTAAAATCTTGTCAATAAGAAGCCAGGATCTATAGCTACTTTTCTCTCTCCCTGCTAAACTAATGACAGAAAGCAGTACCAAGCATAGTGTGCGTAGCACACCTTAGTCATCCAATAAATGATAATTACTCTAGTTTCTCTTCATATCGCATAAATCTTTCACCTTTTACCAATAAATGATAATTCCTTTCTTTCATTTTCTAAGCAACTTTATCTATATAACAGTTTATAGCTATGGACTCAGGACTAATATTGGCTTCCACCTTAGTGGTGCATATAAAAAGAGTCCTTGGTCAGATACTTTATATATACATCAGATTTATAACTTCCTGACTTATAGAATATTAGAATAAGAAGAGAATATGAAAGATCATTTGGTCCAATGTCCTCACTGTATAGGTGCTTATATCTTGATCTAATTAGCCCATTTTTCTTAATTCCAGTTATTCAGCATTTAGAAATCCCACTTCTCCCAAACCACCTGAAATTCTATGGTACTCAATTTCCTAACCTCGAAAGCGTGACTTTTCTGTTTTACAAACATTGACTGAATACCTGTATCAGTGTGTTATAGAAGATAAAACAACAAGTTCTGGCCTTAAGAAGAACTGTATAACTTTTGGCAAGGAAGATAAACTCTCAGAGTATCCGTTCCCTACTCTGAAAAATTAGTATAACAACACCCCTCTCTTGTGGTTGTTACAAGCTCACATTTATAAAACAAATCACAGGCTGCTAGCAATAAATGCACATTTGCACTCTACTCCTCTTCCCCCTAAACTCCAGGCTTTTCTGAGCTCTAGTTAACTGTTTAATTTTTTTTTTTCTCTCCTTATATGTTAGTCAAAGTCTCTAACAACGACTGGTTTGGAGCACTGTCTTCTGCTTTCTATCAGGTAATCACAGAGGGCGATTGTACTGTGGGAGAAAAGCCTTGAAGTAATGCTACCAAGTGAGGTGTGCCAATATTAGTTTTGGAGTGACTGAGGAAGTGAGAGATAAGGATGCAGTTGGGAAATAACAGACTCCTTATAAGTAGCATTATTGTAGCCAAAACACTATTGCATTCAAAGCCACTTGTTTACTTATTCTTCCATTTGCCACTTCATAGGTTTAAAACAGCAGTTTTCACATTGTGTTCTGAGAAGGCATGGGGGTCTCTGAAGCCTTTTCAGGGGATCTGCAATGTCATTCCTTTTCCACATACATATCTATGTGAGGCTGAATTTTCTTCATATACTTCAACCAAACAACTGATTGAATGCAACAGCTGATACAAAAATCCAGCTGTCTATATAAAAAAGAGTAGCAAAAATGTGAAACAATGTCATTCTTTCCACTTTTTTCAGTTTTTAAAGTATAGTCACATTTCATGAAAAAGTAATTTATATTAATAGGTTTATTTTTTAAGTGAATTAAGAAATAAATATCTTTTGAAAATTTCCGAGTTTAAATTTCTAATATGGCAAATATTTATAGATATAAACCACATAAAACCAAAAGAGCATTTTAGAGTTCTCAATAATTTTTAAAGTATAAAGAGGTCCTGAGACCGAAATATTGACAACCACTTGTCTAGATGAAATAAATTAACTTATAACATTACAGATCTTTCACAAATTCCTCTATAACAGGGATCAGCAAACTACTGACCACAGGCCAAATACAGACTTCCCTTTGTTTTCGTAAATAAAGTCTAATTGAAACACAATCACAGCCATTTTTTATATATTGTTTATGGCTGCTTCAGTGCTATAATGGTAGAGTTGCATCATTGAGACAGACTATACTGACATAGAGATGAAAATATTTACTATCTGGCTCCTTACAGAAAAAGTTTGCTGATCCCTCTCTATAATATAGAATAGCTGTGTCCAATTATTTAAAGTAAGATGCATTTCTCTTATTTGATTCAAATATTCCTGTTACCAATACATCCCAAATCAATCCTGATAATCAGCGGAGAAATAGATGACATATCTGTATTGCACATAACTGCTCAGTAAATATTTATCAAAAATCCACCAAGTTCCAGGTATTATGCTTAGAAATGGGGATATAATGTTGAATAATACAGACATTGACTTATTTTTGTGGAAATTATATCATGTTTATTCAGGCTCAATTTTTCTTTGTTTCTTAAGATTAAACACCTCCTAACTTGAATACACCACGGATTTATAAAACTTATCTAGAATAGAGACATAGGCAACTGTCAGAAGTATGCAGCTTTTCTCATATTTGAGAATGCCCGTTCAAATAGAAGTCCAAAAGTTATTAAATTTGAATTTGAAGAACATATGACTTTTTTTAATTTTTAATTTTAATTTTTGTGAGTACATAGTAGATACATATATTTCTCAGATACATTACATGGTTTCATACAGGCATCCAATATGAAATAAGCACATCATGGAGAATGGGGTGTTAAGCCCCTCAAGCATTTATCCTTTGAGTTACAAACAATCCAGTTACACTCTTTAAGTTATTTAAAAATGTACAGTTAAGTTATTATTGACTATAGTAACCCTCTTGTGCTATTAATTACTAGGTCTTATTGATTATTTCTAAGTATCTTTTGTACCATTAACCATCCCCACGTCCCCCTCACACCTCCCCACTACCTTTCTCCAGTCTCTGGTAACCATCCTTCTACTCTTTATGTACATGAGTTCAATTGTTTTGATTTTTAGATCCCACAAATAAGTAAGAACATTCTGTACCTGGCTTATTTCACATAGCATAGTGACCTCCAGTTAAATTCATGTTGTTGCAAATGACAGTATCTCATTCTTTTTTATGGGTGAATAGTACTCCATTGTGTATAAGTACTATAATTTCTTTATTCATTAATCTGCACAACAAAGGAAACAATCCATAAAAGTGAAGAGACAGCCCACAGAATGGGAGAAAATATTTTCAAACTACACATCTGACAAGGGATTAACAATCAGAATATATAAGGAGCTCAAATGACTCTATAGGAAAACATCTATAATCCAGTCAATAAATGGGCAAAAGATTTGAATATATATTTCTCAAAAGAAGACATACAAATGGCAAACAGGTACATCAAAACGTGCTCAACATCACTGGTCATCTGAGAAATGCAAATCAAAACCACAATGTGATGTTATCTCACCCCAGTTAACATCCTTATATTCAAAAGACAGGTAATAACAAATGCTGGTGAGAAAAGGCAACACTTGTACACTGTTGGTGAGAATGTAAATTAGTACAACCACTATGAAGAACAGTCTGGAGGTTCCTCAAAATCTAAAAATTGAGCTGCCATATGATCAAGCAATCCCACTGCTGGGTATATACTCAAAAGAAAGGAAATCAGTATATTGGAGCGATATCGGCACTCCCATGTTTGTTGCAGCACTGTTTACAACAGCCAAAATTTGGAAGCAACATATAACATTTAGATCAATTGGGGATGAGAAGGAAACATGTGCTAGGAGGATTCAGTAATATCCATTTATTAGTTCAACAAGGATTTATTACAAAACTATTATGTACTGGACTGTGTCTTGATATATGACTCCCATCCTCTATGCCCACCAAGTAATTACTGTTCATCATGTCATGATTATAATAAGAGAGAAAGGATTATTTTTATTATTATATTGGGATGCTATTATTTCTGAATATTAGCTCTTCAATAAGCTGCGTAGATTGCCATGGAAAAAATATGGTTAGTTTTTTTACTTACTCAGTGGTCAGAATAAGAGGACAATGATTTCTTAAAAATTATTTTAGATTTGGGCATACATGTGATGATTTGTTACATATATAAACGTGTCATGGGGGTTTGTTATACATATTATTTTATCACCCAGGTACTAAGCTCATTACCTAATAATTATCTTTTCTGCTCCTCTCTCTCCTCCCATTCTCCCCCTTCAAATAGATCCCAGTTTCTGTGGTTTCCTTCTTTGTGTTCATAAGTTCTTAGCATTTAGGTCTCACTTATAAGTGAGAACATGCAGTATTTGGTTTTCTGTTCCTGAGGTAATTTGCTAAGGATAATAGCCTCCAGCTCCATCCACACTCCCGCAAAGGACATGATCTCATTCTTTTTTATGAAGGACAATTATTTTATTTTATATCTCATTTCTTGAATTTCAAAGCTGGGCTTCAGTTACAGAAAAACACCATATAGCCAGAGGTATTTAGAGTTAGAAGAGATTCAACTTATTCAAATCTGAAATTGAGGAGCTGAGAGGTTAAGTGGTTTCCCTAAGATGACATAGCTAGTTTGTGGAAGACTGGGAACTAGAACCCCAGACATTGGCTTTTTCCATTGAGCCACACTACTCTCTGTCTTTTCTAAAGTGTTTGCTGTGAAGGAGACACAAATATTACATGTTATCTACTGTCTTGCTAGGACAAAAACATGAAATTAAAATCCATTCATGATGAGATCATGTCTCTGAAGGATTCAGAATAATTATTTGGTATAGTCATTTATATGGTGTATTAGTCCATTCTCATGCTGCTATAAGGACATACTCAAGACTGGGTAATTTACAAAGGAAAGAGGTTTAATTGACTCACAGTTCCACGTGGCTAGGGAGGCTTCAGGAAACTTACAATCATGGTGGAAGGGGAAGCAAACACATCCTTCTTCACAAGGCAGCAGGAGAGAGAAGAATGAGTCCCCAGTGAAGGGCACTCATTTTATAAGGGGGAAGTCCCTTATAGAAACATCAGATCTTGTGAGAACTCACTCACTATCACAAGAACAGCATGGCAGAAACCACCCCCCTGATTCAATTTATCTGCACGTGGTCCCTCCCATGACACGTGGGGGTTATGGGAACTACAATTCAAGATGAGATTTGGGTGAAAACACTGTCAGACCATATCATATGGGAAGTTCATTCCCAGAGCAATGACAAGGAGAGGCAAAAGTAATAATTGTTTTATGGATTGGAATAATTGAAGGAAGAAAGGTGAGGCAAGCAGGAGCTATGTTACTAAAAAAAAAAAAAAGAACCGTGAGCAAATGACCAGTAAATCAGCTAGCTGTAACACTCTCTTTTTGTGTTTTTAACTAGTAAAGCAGTTTGAGTTGTGACTTTGGGGAAATGCCTTAATATCTCTAAGCTTCAGGTGTATGTAAAAATGAATCTAAGTAGATAATCCTACCCCACAGAACTATTGCAAGGATTAAATATGATAATTGCAAAACACTTAACATAGTTCCTGGCATAGAGTGAGTACTCATTTAAAGATGAATATTATAACTAGTGTGAATTAATTTTGTTGTGATCACTTTTAGTGATCCGTATATAATTAGGTTTATATATAAAGATATCTCAGCACTCTGGCACAATCCAGGTATTCTAAGATTGTCTGCATCTTTGTTTTTTTAATACAAAGCGACTGGAATCTACATGAAGTATTGCAAGGGATCCTGGGAAGAGGGCACACTGACAAATGGATTCGACCATGTGGTCTCAATCACAAGTTGATGCTAACTAATAAATCCAGCTTTTAGATTTTGCTTATATGGAAAAATAATAAATTATATAGGAATTTATAAATAAGCAGCATACGATCTCCATGATTTTTACTGCAAGAATAAAAGTTGCTTTGTAGTATAAGCATTTTTTTTTGTGCCCCTGGACACAGACAAAAAAATATGGTTATGGGTTGGGAATAATGATGTTGGAGTGGACTTTTATTGACTAGAATTTCTTGCCCAATTTGTGGACTTCTAGACATGCATATAAGACCTGTTCCACTGAGCAATAATTTTCTCACCTCCCCAAAAATCAATGAAGAGGCTTCAAGACACACATTTATGGTGACCTCTAACAACTGGATAACTAGGAAAATTATCCAACTGCTTCTTATTTCAAGGTCCATTGATATTCTAACAAACATTTATTAAGTCCTACCTATTAAGTGTCTACTACTGTGTTGAGCACTGGAGAATGATAAGACCCAGTTATTGTCCTGAAAGTCATCAAATAATTTATTTTTTCATTTCTATAATAGCTTTATTGAGATATAATTTATACACCATAAAATTCACCCTTTTAAAATGTACAATTCAGTAATTTTTAATTTATTCACATACTTGTACAACTATTACAACTCTCTAATTTTAGAACATCAACTTATAAAGAAACTCTATCCCTATTAGCAGTCACTCCCTACTTTCCTTTCCCCTTATACCTTGGCAACCACTAATATGCTTTCTAAGTCTTATAATCCATTAATTTATTCATTTAAAAATATGTGATGATTGTCTGCTTTGTGCTTCATGCAAGACATGATGATATAATACTGAACATGATGGAAAAGATTCAGCCCTCGAGGAGGTTGCAACCTAATGGGTGAGACAGACTTAGTTAAATAAGTGTATGGTTACAAACAGTGGTGCACATCATGAGTAAAGTGTGCTTTGGTGTCCTGAGAGCACACAGGAGAGAAACCTGACCTAATCTGAGAAGGCTTTGCTGAAGAATTGACATTTGGTTTAAGATCTAAAGGATAAGAGTTATCCAGAAAAAAGAAAGAAAGGGAATTATTCCATAGAGTAGGGACAACATGTGCAAAGCCCCATAACAGAATGAATACAGCAGATCTGAGGTGAAAAATAGGTCAATATGGTAGGAATGCAGAGATTAAGGGAGAACATGCTGTGAAATTAGGCTGGAAAGATAGGCATGAGTAGGGTCACATAGTCCCTTGTAGGCCACATAAAAGAATTTGTACTTTGTTTTCCAGGTGCAGAGGGAAGCCATTCTAGAGTTTCAAGCAGCAAAGGAGCATAATGTGATGTTTTCTTTTTAAAAATATGATTTGGGATCATGAATAAAGCATGGTTTGCTTGTGGCAAATGTGCAAGGAGGGATACCAGGTAGGAGGCTGCTTTTTAACTTAAGCAAGAAAGGATAGTGACATTGACTAGGGTGGTAGCAATGGAAGTGGAGAGCAAGAGATGTATTTACTACAAATAATTATTCCATCCCGCTATCTTACCAGGTCTTGTTCCTTCAAAATATTGCTAGAGTTTTCTCATCAAGGAATCCTCTGTTAAGCCTCCCTGGCTTAATAGTTCTCCCAGCCCTAGGAGGCATTGGCTGCTTCCTGAGGTTACCATATCTGTGATACCTCAGTGTCCTCTTTTGCCTTTTCACTTCTCTAACACATTTTTTTAATGGTAATTGTCTTCTGACTGGGCTCTGAGTAATTAATTCAATACACTAAACATTTGGCTTTGAATTTTAACAAGAAGTTTAAAAATGTAACCATGTATGTTGTTTGATAAGAATAGTAGCTCTAAGGTTGTCATTATAGATGTTCTGATCTTATTAATTGTAATTTAAGAGGAAAAAGTTTAAAAAACCAAAATGCCAAAGTCAGGTATAATACCATAGATTTCAGAGGTGGTAGAGAAATAATAATTTAATCCAATTCTCATTACTTTTCAGTGTTTTTTAGGGTAAAAAAAACCACAAAAAACCCTGAGGTCCAGAGATGTTAATTGACTTGTCAAAGATCACAGAACTAGGTAGTTAGCACAGAGTCAAAATTTTGTCTTTTTTTTTAATCTAATGTTTAGTGTAATACACTATGACATATTTAAATGATCTGTGTGGCTCTTTATGTGTTATTGGATAACAGAAAGTTAATCAAGAGTGAACAGAGCCAGTGATATTTAGATTTATTTAGACTTTCATTACCTGGAACATCAATAGTGCAAAAGGGAAGGGTAGAAACTCGTATCCTTAAAATTTGCAAAAAATGAGAGTGAACTGATAGAAATAGCTTCCTTAAACTATATTTTATAACTTGCTAACATCGTTATTTTTCAATACAATATATTGACGGTATATATTAGCATGTTCCAAAAATTTAATTTACATTGAACCATATATATTGACATATAACAAGTTCTAGTTAGTAGTTGAGAAGCTAAAAAGGAGAAGACAAGGGTGGGGACATAAAATTGAGCCTGGAAGGTGAGGCTGTGGAGAAATAGGAATGCTTTTACACTGTTGGTGGGAATGTAAATAAGTTCAACCATTCTGGAAGACAGTATGGCGATTCCTCAAAGACCTAGAACCAGAAATAACATTTGACCCAGCAATCTCATTACTGGGTATGTACCCAAAAGAATATAAATCATTCCATTATAAAGAAACAAGCACACATGTATGTTAATTGCAGCACTATTCACAATAGAAAGGCATAGAATCAACCCAAATGCTCATCAATGATAGACTGGATAAAGAAAACGCGGTACATACACACCGTGGAATTCTATGCAGCCATAAAAAGGAACGAGATCATGTCCTTTGTAGGGATATGGATGAAGCTGGAAGTCATTATCCTCAGCAAACTAACACAGGAACAGAAATCTAAACACCGCATGTTCTCACTTTTATAAGTGGGAGCTGAACAATAAAAACACATGGACACAGGGAGGGGAACAACTCACACTGGGGCCTGTTGGGGGTAGGGGGTGGGGAGGAAAAGAGCATCAGGATAAGTATAGCTAATGCTCGTGGGGCTTAACACATAAGTGATGGTTTGACAGGTGCAGCAAACCACCATGGCACACGTTTGCCTATGTAACAAACCTGCACGTCCTGCACATATGTCCTGGAACTTAAAATAAAATAAAATTAAATTAAAAAAATAAAAAATTGAGCCAGGAATGAAGTTAAAAATAATGCATACCACAAAGTCCTTACACACTGGTGATGGGCGGACCACAGCTTTGACACTAAGCATTCTCAGCATTTTTGCAAAGAAGGAATATCTAAACTTGATCAGCTGCATCAGTGGTAATCAACTCTGGTTGTGCATTAGAATTACCTGGGGAAACCTAAAATGTTGATTCCCATGCTCAAATTAGACAGAATGTATCAGAATCTTTGGGGGTATTTTTAAAAATCTCCCCAGGTAGTTCTAATATGTAGTCAACCATTTAGGTACTTGGTCCACAGTGCGTCACCATCACCCACTTGCCATAAAACAAAAATAAATACATAACATCTAACTAATATTACCTGGAGAAGCACCACTATTCCTGATAGTAAGATCAGGGAGAAATATCTCTTCAATCTCCTCTTACAAAAACAAAACATAATAAAACAACTTCAAAATCCCAATGCCTTTATAAAAAAGCACATCAACTTCCATAAATATATTTTCTCTCCACTGAGATTTTAATAGATGTTGGGTTTAATAGATGTTGGTTAATTGGTACCTATTCCAAATTACCAATTAAATAGATCTTTAAATGACAATTTACTGTTGGCATTCTGTTGTGAAATTTGGCAGCCAAAAGGACGTGCGCCCACTAAGAAGGCCATCATCAGGACCTGGCCTTAATTATTGTGTTTTTATCCTTGGGTGGTGATAGATTTGCTTTGGGTCACCCACATTCAGATCTTGTTATGGCTAATGCTACATATTTATAAGGCAGCTCACCATGGGCTATACTTCCAATCTGTGAATCAAAGAAAAACTATACATAATAGCTAAGCATGGGGACATTGAGGTCAGAGAAATCAACGTCAAATCCTGACTTTCCACTTATTCCCATTTGATCTTAGACAACTTATTTAACTTGTCTTATCCTTAGTTTCCTTACCTCTAAAATGCTGGTATAATAGTACACACCCAATGGGTTACTGTAGGGACCAAATGGGATAATGTACATCATTTTCCTGTCATATAATGTGTGCTCAATTAGTATCAACAACTTTAGGAAATCATTTATTAGGTAAGAATCAAGTCTGATATTAATCTCACTCTAGACAGTTGAGCTAATTGTATGGCTAGGTAGGCATGCTGGCCACAGCCCTTTTATCGTCTTAGAGTAGAAACTTCTCAGAAGGCATCTATCCCAAACTTTTATCTTTAAATAAGCAAATCTCACCAAGTGTCCTGTTTCAAATAGGTTTTATTTATTTATGTATTTATAATGGCTAAATTTTTTCCCAATTATCTTATCATCTTCCCAATTTTGATCTAGTCTTTTTGTGCCTGTTGATCCCTGGCATTTTCCCTAGTTCTCAGCCCTTTGAACTTAACAATCTTGAATGTCTCTAAGTTTGTTTCAGAGCTCCTGAAGAACTATGGTTCATAGTCACCTTATGTTTTTGTTTTTATTTTTCTACTACTGACCATCTCAAGTAAGATACCCTGATATGAGTCCAACCTTTTGGATGTGAAGCCTTAATAGCACCCCTCTAAGCTGGTGCTCCAATAGACCTATCCTAGATGGCCCATTCTAACTCCTTTCAACAGAAGGTTAAAACTGAAGCAAGGTAAGTAGCTGGGCTAAATGAGCATATCAACCTTGAACATGTTACAACATGGAAAATAGCTCCATCTTATTGTTTCACTGGGTATGTTTTCAAATAGTGGGTTTATATGAACAGTTCAGATGTTAGTTCATTTAAACTGAACTTTAAAAATAACTCAGTGCTGGCTAAGGACTCTGCTGATCTGAAATAGAGTTTTTTTTCTTTTCTTTCTTTTTTTTTTTAGAGGCTTGTATTTGTCTAAGAAGAATAATGTGTTTTTTCCTTAAGGTTTTTGATTACTGAAAGTGATTCCATTTCAATGGCCAGAGTTATCTCAATAAGTCTGTTTAATTTGAAACAATAGTAAAATATTTGACCAAGTATAAACAAGTAAGATAGGGCTATTTCTTCCCACTTTAATTTCCTTCTTGAAACGTTTACCACATTGCTGATTCAAAATCGTTTATGGCTACCATTAACTGAGCTTCTGCTATGTGTTAGGTACTGTTTGTGGGTCTTTGAGTATTTTGCTTTAAACCTTCACAACGATTTTATCAGATAGATGTCACTATCACCTCCCTTTTTTTTTACTGAGAGGAAACTGTGGCTCAGAGAAGTCATGTACATTTTCCAAGTTCATGCATATAGAAGTGGCTGTAGTCTCTGTAAGTACACATTACTGTGCCCTTAATCACTACATTGCACTGCCTTTCAATGCTTGAGGAACCTGCACACCAAATGAGGAACATCATACTGTGCAAAATAGTCACAACTCCTATCTCAAGTGAGGGCCTATGTATCTATGGATGTAATGAGTTTTTAACGAGATTCAATTCAAGTAACAATTTTGCCTCATTTTAGAGTTGCCACTGTTATGGAAATTAAAATGGATTCCTTAGACACAAAGGGCTTAGCCTCACTACACTAGCCTACACTAATTTTCAAATTGGCCTCAGAGAAGCCAACTTGCAATACAGCAGGCAGGAGTAAGTGGCTCTTTAAAACCTGTTTACCACATGTGGAAATGCCTAGTTACTGCTTGAATGTTCATCCTTTTGTCTGTATCTGTGTTCAGATGCAGTCTTGGTTCAAGGACACTTTAGACCTGTATCAAAACAATAACTCAACACATAAAATCTAGGGTACAGTAAATGTCAATGATTACCACATATCTGCAGCACTGCTACAGAGAAGAGGGAGCTAGGGAAGTGTTAGGCTGGTGTGTATTGAATAAGCTAGAGCTGCAGAATTTTTAGCCAGTCTTATGTACATTTTCACAGAATAGCCACTATGAGCTGTAATCTGATTAGGAAAATCAAATTTATTTTTCTAATTGATTAGGAAAATAGAAAATGATGTACTATCCTTATATATTAAAACTTTATTATAGAAAATTGCTTACCTAATGCTAAATGACGAGTTAATGGGTGCAGCACACCAACATGGCACATGTATACATATGTAACAAACCTGCACGTTGTGCACATGTACCCTAAAACTTAAAGTATAATAATAATAAAATTTAAAAAAAAAGAAAAAAAAAAGAAAATTGCTGGTAGACCGAGAAAAGACATTGAAATCTTGCCTAGGACAAGTTTTTTGTTTAATCTAGGAAAACCAAAAGAAGTACTTCCAGGAAGTTAAACATCCAAATTCAAGATATGTTTAAAAATACATATAAAACATCATGAATCTTAAGAAGGCAAATTTTTAAAAAGTTCACATCTAATGTTTCTAGTAAAGACAGTTTTATTACAATGTTTGACATTCAACTTCACTAGGGGTTTCATCTCTGGGAAAAAAACTTGTAGGCCAAACTAAATTAGGCATTGCCAAATACTACCTGTGATTCCAAACCAATATGTATTGAAACAGTTTAAAAAAAAAAACAGAAGATAGACGTGCTCAGTGTCCTCTATCTTATTCTCTGGTGATTGTTAGTCTCTGTTTTTAGAAATATTCTGCATAACTCTCATCTAGCCAAATTCGTACTGGAAACGCCGGTGAGACATTGACTCCAATCCTTTATTGCTAAATATAGGTAAATCTCAAAGTTTGGGAATGATTTGCTTAAGAACTGATTTATAGCAGGTTCAAGACTGCTCTTTTAATACCATTCCTTTTTTCACTCGTATTTTTTTCATTTTGGTAAGAAACACATAACATAAAATTTAGCATCTTAATTATTTTTAAAGTTCAGTAGTGTTAACATATACACATTGTTTTGCAACAGATCTTTATAACTTTTTCATCTTGCAAAACTGAAACTCTATACCTATTGAATAGAAACTCTCCATTTGCCTCTTCCTCCATCCCTGGGCAAAGACCATTCTACGTTCTGGTTCTAAGAGGTTGACTACTTTAAATACCTTGTATAAGAAGAATAATGCAATATTCGTCTTTCTGTGTCTGGCTTATTTCACCTAGCATAACCTTCTCAAGATTCATCCATGTTAAAGCATATTACAGTGCATTCTTCTTTATAAAGGCTGAATAATATTACTTTGTATGTATGTACCACATTTTCTTTATTCATCGATCTATGGACATTTGGATTGTTTCCACCTTTTGGCTGTTGTGCATAATGTTGCAAGTAACAGATGTGTAGACATCCCTTTGAGATCTTATTTTCAATTATTTCAGATATATACCCAGAAGTGACATTACTAAATCATATGGTAGTTTTATGTTTAGTTTTTTGAGGAAACTTCATACTGTTTTACATAATGACTATACCAATTTACATTCCCACCAACAGTGCAAGGGCTCACATTTTTTCACATCCTTGCCAACACTTGTTCAACATTTTTGTTTTGATAGTAGCCATCTTAAAGGTTGCAAGGTGTTATCTTCTTGTGGTTTTCATTTGCATTTTTCTGACGATTAATGATGTTGATCATCTTTTCATATGCTTATTGGCCATTTGTATATCTTCTTTGGAGAAAGGTCTATTTAAGTCCCTTGCCTATGTTTAAATTGAATTATTTTGTTGTTGTCTTTGTTTAGATGTAATTCTTTATATGTTATGGATCTTAACCCTTTATAAAATATAAGGTTTGCCAATATTTTCTCCCATTCCATAGGTTGCCTTTTCACTCTGTTGATTGATTCCTTTGCTGTGCCTCCATCACTTCTATTTTCATATACTTTCTCGAGCAGATGAGAAAGGAATGGAGTGTCAGTTAGGTAACTGGGTACTGCCTATGAGAAATGTTGCTCATCGGATAAATGTGTTCTGGTAGAGAGAAGAATGGGACCTGCTGATTTACAGTGTTGGGACATGATAATTACCACTATACAGACAGCTTATCCCCCTATTCTGCCATTGATTATAAGCTATTTTTCTATTTTTGACTATTTTTTCTATTTTTGACTATTAGCTAATTTTCATTATTTCTTCTTGCTCCTATGGCATTTCATTTATCCATGCATGCATTCATTCATTCATTCATTCATTCATTCATTCAAGGGACATGTATTAAGCATCTTTGTTGTTCCAAGCACTGTTCAAGGTACTTGAGAGATAATAGTGAACAAAAGAGACAAAAATTATTGCCATTATGGATCTTATGCCCTATAATTTGGATATAGTAAATAAATGATGATGAAGAGTGCTATAAAGAAAAATAAAGTAGGATAAGGCAATAAAAATTACTCTTTTGGAAGGTTTCTATTTTAGGTAGATGATTTGATAAGGCCTCTCTGATGCAGTGGCATTTCAACACAGAAGACAGTAAAAATCATTAGCTGAATGATTTTAGTGGCTTGTAGCATCTAACTAGAAATGTGTATCTCTATTGCTACTGTAGGGATAGGACTGACAAGAGGTCCCAGGCACTTGAGTCTTCCGATTTGGACTCTGTCTATTCTGAACGATGCTAGAGATCTCTGTTTGGCTTCCCCTTCCTAGATCTCATGCACATGATCTTTTCTGCTAACTTAGTCTTTCTTAATATATATTAGAAGCATTGCTTTCCAGGTGGCAGATGGCCACTTAGCCAGGAAGATTGTTTTTGAGGGAGAAAAAAGTAGTTCAATTATCTGTGCTCAAAATCAAACAAATATTTGAGACTTATCTGTCTTTTCTTCACACATCCTTTAAGAAACATGTTGCCCTGTGTGACTAATTTACACATTCAAATGCTTTTAAATATGCCTAATCATGTTTCTGGCCTAGGAAGGAGGAAAATGTCAGTATTATTTGTTCCAAGACTCCTCCTAGAAATATCTCTACGAGTTGATTTCTTCAATTTTTCTGTGGGTTTCTCATTCCTGTCTTTGATCTGTCCTTGATCTCTGATCCTTTTTGGCAAGAATCTTGACTCCACGTCTGCTTCTAGACCCACCTACTCCTCACTTATCTCAATGTCTTTCTATAGCCCATTCCTCCAGCTCTGGATCTACCTGATAATGCCATAGATTTTCACAAAAAATAAGATAGTTGTCTGCCTTATGTCATCTTCAGAAACTAGCTGTTATGGACCAGTCACTCATGGATATATTTATTTTCTTTGTGTGTGTGTGTATCCTCTTATTTGTATATGCATACTATCTATGGTGTAAAGAATTACTTCCTCTTGTTTGCCATAAAACCAGCTAGTTTAAGCTACAAGGAGTGTCCCCTAGATCTGGTGTTAATATGTGCTTAATGACATTAAGGTCACAGTTTTTAATGTCTGTTTACATTAACTTCACACTGCTATCCCTCAAATCCTATTTTGTTGCCACAGATACCACTGATGCCTTAGGTCACAAAGGATCATGAGGGAAAATTATTTTTTATTCTCCCAAACAATTCCACCCAAATTAGACTCAAACTCTCCAGCCAGGTTTTCAAGGCTCTCCACAATAGAATCCCCACCTATTCTCTGAAATGATTTTCTGTTACTCCCTTATGTGTGTACCTTTCTTTCCAGCCAAACAGGATTATTTTTTCCTCCTCAAACAGGCCACATTTGTTTTTGGATTACGTGTCTTTGTCATTCCCTCTCTCCGGAGGAAACACATACCACCTATTAAACTATGATTGTGGAAAACTACTGATTATCAAAGTTTTGTTCAAAGCTTTAGTGGGGGTGCTGACCTGAATTTCTTGCAAACATTCTTCTTTATTCCTTAGCAGAAAGCCTCTGCTCTAGCCCAAATGATCTATTCCTCTTTCCACAACCATTCAATACATATGTTCAGTGCTGTGATTTTGCTCATGATATTCCTTGTGCTGAAATCTTGTGGGGAAATTAAAGAGAGCCTACCAATAATTATAAATCAAACTAAAGAGAAGTGTTTGGGTACTTTGAAGTAACTTGTAGTTGGGAGGATTAGGAGAGCATTTCAGATAACTTTGAAGTATAAATAACATTTAAATGGGCAGATACAGATAGGTTTCCTTGTGGGAGGGTATCACAATGAATCTAGCACATGGTAGGCACTTAATATATATTTGTCAAATGAATGAATACATGAAGAATGAATGGATCAGTGTGCTAGCCTGTATCTGTATCAGTGTGAATGAGTTAATCACATCTGCTCTTTCTTGATTAGGACATATTTGGAACAACATAAGGGCATTAGGTGCCTAACAGGAGAAGAGGTATATACGTTAATAGAGGTATATCAGTAGAAGATAAGAAATGCCTGCCTCACAATTTTTCTAAACGCTGGTCCAGTTGAAATAATAATCTAAGGGTCTGTGGTAGCTGTTCAAGGCTGTGGAGTACATTTTTAGGCTTATAGGCTTTGTCATGCCCTTATCTTCCAAGGTAGACCTCACTGCAGAAGGATACCACCCATTTGTACCTACCTGTGGGAATTTTCTCCTTGATCATTTTGGGTTTGTTTCATTCATACCTCACAGGAGAACTTTACAGTTTTATTATGATGGCTATATCTGGAGTTCTTGCAATAATTCCCTTAGCTGAAAACTTCCCATTCCAGTCCCATTCCAGTGATAACCTGAGCTTCCATTTGAAGTTTTCAAAGGGCTTTAATATAAATCATATCTAGTGCTACCCTGATGTCAGCTTTATTATAGAAATAATCAGTGACTCAAATTAGGTAAGAGAGGGCCAGGCGTGGTGGCTCACACCTGTAATCCCAGCACTTTGGAAGGCTGAGGCTAGAAGATTGTTAGAAACCAGGAGTTCAAGACCAGCCTGGACAACATGGCAAGATCCTGTCTCTACAAAATGTAAAAATAAATTTAAAAAACTAGCTGGGTGTGGTGGTGCACACCTGTAGTCCTAGTTACTCAGGGGGCTGAAGTGGAAGGACCACTTAAGCCCAGGAGTTTGAGGCTGCAATGAGCTATGATGGCACTACATCACTTCAGCCTGGGTGACAGAGCAAGAGCCTGTCTCTGAAAAATAAATACAAATAGGTAAGGGTGGTAAGTAGTACATGCGGGGGATGTCCTGATATCATCTTAAGTAACAGTGAATAGGCCTGAAAAAATGCTATGGGTCATGGAAAGTGGGTCTCCACCCTTTAGACCTTAGTCATTAATAGTCACAAAAACAGAATAGAAAATTCAATTGGCCAATAAACATATGAAATTATGTTCTGCCAAATGCTAATCAAAGAAATGAAAATTAAAACCCTAATAAGATACTATTCATCAAAATTTCAAAAATAAAAAAAATCAGATAGTACCAAAGGCTGGTAAGAATGTGAGGTACAGGGAATACTGGTGGGAGCATAAATTGATATAACCTCTATGGTGAATAATTAGGCAGCAGCACTTAATGCAACTCAAGTTGCATACAACCTACCATTTTACCCTTAGCATGTACGAATATGTATTGTATTTTATCTTGGTATATACCAGAGAGAAGTACTCACCCATAAACTTCAGGAAGAATGTACAATAATGTTAGCATGTACAATAATTGTGTCATTCATTCAATACACATTTATCAAATATCTGCTTTATTCCTGGCACTGTTTGGAGCTGGGATTACATCATTAAACAAAGCAGACAAATATCCCTGTTCTTGTGTTTTCATTCAAGTAAAGTAAAGCACTCTTTGTTATGAAGAAAAAATGAAAATTGCCTAAGTCACCATCAAGAGGAAAATGAGAAATAATGTGTTTTCTTAAACAACATAATACCATAAAACAGTACCTCATAGAACTAGATATTTCTCATTGATTTTTGTGAAAAAAGCAAGTTGCAGGATGATGTTGTATATAGCATTTATGTTAATGTTTTAAACAAAAAAATGCTAAATACTTTGTAGGTAGATGTATGTGCATATAAATGTGTTACAATAAAAAAGAAATGGAAGGATACTCATTATGCTGGTTGCCCCTAGAGAGTATATGTGTGTGGATGGAGAAAATAAAATGGAATTTTGGATGAGGATAAAGATTACTTCAATTTTACCTGTAATATTTGATTTCCTTTATTTTTTAAAAAAGAATGGCAAAATGTTAAAGTCATAGTCTGTTTAGTGTTATAAAGGAATACTTAAGGCTGGGTAATTTATAAAGAGCAGAGATTTATTTGGCTCATTATTCTGATGTCTGGAAAAGTTTTAGATTGGCCATTGTATTTGGTAGGGGCCACAGGCTGCTTTCTCTCATGGCGGAAGGTAAAAAGAAGCTGGCATGTATAAATATCACATGGCAAGAGAGGATGCAAGGGGTGAGGCGTACCACGCTCTTTTTAACAACCAGCTTTCTTGGAAACTAATAATCGTGAGAATTCACTCACCCCTAAGAAAGGATATTATTCTATTCATGAGGAATCTGCCCCCATGAGCCAAACTCCTGCTACTATACCCACCTTCCAACACTGCCACACGGAGTATTAAATTTCAACATGAGATTTACAGGGGACAAACATCCAAAGTACAGCAGTTAATAATTTCCTATTCTGGGTAGTAGGCTTTTTTTTTTTTAATAAAAATGTTTTTATTTTTGCTTTTATATTGAGTACTCAAAAAAAAAAAAAAAGGAAAAGAAAGGTAATTAACCAAAACAAGAACAAGTCAATGCATGATAAATGCTGAATGGGTGATATGCAATTTGCTCCTTCCCTCCCTTGTTTCTTTCTTTCTTAGCTTCCTTTATGTCTTTCAATAATACCAGCCCACTCTACCAGAACTTATTTTTTTCATGATGACATGAATTCCTGTCCAAATTTCAACTCAATTGTTCGGAGCAACTGCAATGTGAATACCTGTTGTCACAAATAAAATGACCATGAGACCTACCAATTCATGGTTACAGATGGAAACTATATCATCACTTTTGCCCATTTCAGCTTTTGGACTAACTTTTCCATATTTCAGCCCCAATCGTGTATGCATAATTGTGATTACTTCAAAGATAATGCTCAGTTTATGGCATGGAATCAAGTGAGGTGATTTTATATGATGAACTTACTAGAAATATAAAATTGTCTATAAAATGTTGACATACATATATTGTTGATAATTTTATAGTAATAACCATGTTAAAGATTTTAATATGGATTTGTAGAAGTTACCCATTGTATACATAAGAATATTCATTACCAATTTAACATGAAATGAGGAGGGGGACACAGAGAGAGGAAATGATTAGGTGAGAGTTTTTCAATGCAATAATCACCAACCACTTCAGATTTTGTCTAATAAATACCATGTAATGACAGCATATGTGTTCACGTGATAGGCTTGTTTAACGGAGTTAAGGTTATAGACTGTAGAATAAAGTGATTTATTGGGAATCGAGTTCTGTTACTCACCACAGCAGTGTGCAGGATGTGAGTGATGTCCTGTAGATTAACAACTCACAAAGAGAGCTCTCAATAACTACTGCTGGTGGTGATGATTACTTGCAACCACTTTGTTTGGGAGAAAGCCTTTCAAGTGATGAAAAGAAAACAAATCTTCATCCTCATCTACATTATCAACAGGGGTCCATTTAACCAGAAAAGAATTTGGCATTCAAGATAGATTCTAATATAAGCTGTTAATTCATAGAGAGCAGGAGCATTTTTTAAAAGTCCCACATTTCTAAAAGTTATATGACCAACCAGTTAGTCTTTTAATGGTATAAGCTCAAAAGCGAATGTATGTGGTGGGTCCCTACGTCAAAGGCAATGCTTCCACAAACCGTATGAGAAAAATCTGTCTCCACATCTTGAGGTTACACCTTGGCCTTCTCAAGTCATTTTTGCACAGTGAGATCCTGTAGACTCAGCTTTGCTACCCTGGGGCCCAGAAACTCACTAACAAATTAAAAAGCTGAGTATAGAATGGGGACATAGGACAAACTGAAGAATTGAGACTAAGCAGTAGATAGGATAGTGTTAAAGCCACAAAGTTTTGCACGGCCAATGCAGAATGTGACAAGTTGGCCACCTCTTGGAGTCAGTGCTTTAACTGCTGCTTATAATGGGATGAATTCAACTTGAAACTGGCCACATTGGTATGCACTCACACATGCTGTTGGTTTTTTAAATGTAAAGATGTTATGTTGCTGTCTGTTTGAATTGCCCTGACAGGTGGTGGTTATTCAAGCAATAACTCAATTTTGGCCATGGAGTGATTTCATTTGAAGAAGGGTGTTTAGTTTGTATGGAGGCTTTGGAATGCTAAGATCTAGTTATCTTACCTCTAAAATGTAGACCAAGCATTTCAGGCTTCTTCTTGACTCTTGATGTCTGAAGGGGTCTTCATGTTACAACATGGGGTTAATTTACTTCTGTTCTGTTCTGACCCATGTAACCAGACAAAGTGATGAAAACATCTTAATGAACTGGAAAACCTCATGCCGGTGACTTGGGGAAAAGAAAGTCTTACTTCAAACATCCTAGAAGCATTAGAAAGCTACAGGTATGTTAAAACTGTAGCCTCTGACTCCTACTGTGGGAAATGCACAATCTTATTTATTAACGGCCATCTGGGCTGCACTGCAAAGCATTGCAATGTTACTTAAAGCCTACCTGTGATCAGCTATACAACTCAAAAGTAACAGAAAAGTTCTGGCACTCTTAGCACTAATAAGCCAAACACAACACTGACGTAAATGGATACTGTAGCCATGTACAAACAGAAAAATTTTAATATTTACCTGCATTCCACAAACTAGGCACACAATATAAAAATAAACAGTTAAATAAATATTTTACTTTTTCTATTCCTACAGCAAAACCTTATAACTACCATGAATATAACTCAATTAGTGATTGGCTCAAATACCCCACCATGCCCCATTCTCAAGTAGTAGTGGGTTATCTTTCTGAGATAGCTACAGGGGTTCCAAGAATAAAGGTATTAAGTGGAGTGGACAGCTGCTACTAAGAGGTGCCAAGCTACATCTGGAAGCCAAATGGATTATATTAGTACAGCTGGACTCTTGAAAATGGAGGCCTGCTAGCTGTCGGAGATCACCTGGTCATTATATTTAACCTTGTAATGCTTCAACGCTACATTTTTCAATTGAATTTTGGAACTTTTCTGGCAAACATAATTCAAAAAAAAAACATTGCAATTTGGATCTTACTTGTTGACTTATGGCAGAAATTTTTACTATACTACTATTACTGTCTTACTTTAACTAGTACTAATGTTAATATTACTACTGTTATATTAGCAAGATCTACCCTACATTGAACACTTGAGTGTTGTCATGAACTGTGCTTTACATAACTATCTCATCTAATTCTTACAGTAACCTTAAGAGATAGGTGCTGTTATTATCCCCATCTTAAAGAAACAGAGGGTCAGAGAGGATAGATAACTTCCCCAGAGTCACGGATTGATAGAGTGAGATTCAGGCCCAAAGTTTTTGACATCAAAGCCCCAGTGGCTAACAAGTACTATACCACATTGTATGCTTCCTTTTATTGGACTTTCTTCTTCTATGGTTTATTAGAGATCTAATAAAAACCAGAGATGTAGCCAGGGTGGACCCCACCCACTTGCCCTATTTCTTCTTTCTCCTCTCCTAACCAAAGAGAGTTGAAATGTTGACCAAGAAGACAGCATTTCTGGGAAGCTAGGAAAGGAAGAAGTCTGTCCATTAAGCATCTGTTTACATTTTTAATTAACAAAGTATAATGAGACCCTTTCTGATGAGTTGCAGGACCCAGAATGGAAATTTATACCACTACATGCTTTTAATGAAAATGTGTTCTTTGCTAATAACTTCAAAATGAAACACGTTATTGATGCAATATGGACCAAAAGTGTGGCCAAGCACTCAACTGGAAGAAAAAACAAAATGAAAAATTGTCCCAAATGACCAAAGTAGACTAAAATTAGTTATAAAATAAATTGGCAAATCCAAGGAGAGCTTCTAACTTTCTTTCTCAATCAAATTAAATACACATATGTAGCTTGTTAAAGACTTAATGCCTAAATTTTAACAAAAATATCATTATCACTTGTATATTGGTGACTGGCACTGAAGTCATGCTCAATTGGAATACAATTTGGTTATCTATAATGCAGGCAATTAATAGGCCCAGAATTATATAAATGCACCTACTGGCATTCTAGTATATAAAGTCTTTTCATTTTACTCTCCAAACCTTATAACCTAAGCTTTATCCAAAAGGAACAATAAAATATCTCTTGCACTATTTCTTTCCCAGAGTGAGAGTCAGAAAGAGGCTGTTTTGTTTCATTTACATTTGTTTTGTTGGACTTAAAAGGCTGAGGGTTGACTTCATCATACGAAGTTACAGCACACCATCACCACTAGTTTGTGCAAGTCCCTGCTATCTATCCTATCTATCTATCATCTATCTATCTAATTTTTATCCCCATTTCCCACTTCTGTTATTCTCCCCTTATAATAGGCAGTCATTCTAATGCACATGACATGCATTATTTCATTTATGGTTTTTGTAAAATGTTTATTATTATTTTGTGTGCACATATTTTTAGTTTACATAATTAGCAGGGTGCTTATTCATGTTACATATATAAATATATATATATTTTTATATTCAAAGCATATAATTACAAGATAAGACTTTTTTCTTTTTTCCCAGTTAGTTTTATCCACTCTGGGAGAATAGGCATATCAACTGTAAATTGTAGAAAGTAAAGTATGGCCAGATCCATACAGTGATTTTAGTTTGCAAACTGTAGCACTACTTTTAATGGAGGTACACACATCTTGAATTAGATTCTCTTTAATTCTTCCAAAATATTATCTTGAATTAGATTCTCTTTAATTCTTCCAAAACATTCATGCTTCACAGTTCTTTTTTGCTAGTTGACTAATCTTAATAAACCTCAGGACAAAGTATAGGTTACTTGCAATTATGGGTTTTAATTGTGTTGTGACGTCCATGTTTGTACAGCTATCTGATTACCCAAACTTGTCTCAGCCTGTTTAAATGAACAGCACTGAAACAATCAGTAAAAGGTACTAAAAATGAAGTATTATTTACAAAGATGAGCTGGACAAAATGTAAATATACTTTTGATGTGTTAGGAACCCCGAATTCCAGTCCTGGCTCAATTTCAATCTCACTGTGTCAATCTGAGCAAGTCTTCTCTAGGCCTCCATATATAAAAATGAAGAGTGTGAAATAGGTACATTCTAAGGTTCCTCGTAGCATTATTATTCCAGGCTAAAATGATTTGCAGTTGTTGTCTCAATAAATACTCTATTTCTTCTCCTCCTGACCTGTCACCCAATTATATCAGGAAAACATGTACAAGCAAAAGATTAGGCTGCCTTTTATCTTTTCCATTAGAGTTAGAAGATGAGAGGCCCAGGGGCAGGAACAGGTAGCAATAGATATATCTTTGAAGAGCCATGCCGGAAATCTAGAGGCAGCCATACACAGAAGTAAGAGTTGGTTTAGAGAAAGCTATTGATTGTTCACAGAACGAAGAAACAAAAGTATGTACTGTTCCACAGATAACAAAAATGATCCTGGAGGAGAAACATGAGTCTACCAAGCAGAACTA
Organism: Homo sapiens; assembly: GCF_000001405.40. NCBI lineage: Eukaryota > Metazoa > Chordata > Mammalia > Primates > Hominidae > Homo > Homo sapiens. The sequence goes on from NC_000023.11 coordinate 116,379,738, forward strand.
ATGATTTTTCAAAATATTGTGTTTGAACTGACCTTTCTGTGGAAAAACCTTTAAAACACTTTCTCTGTGTCTGTGCTAAAGGCAGACATGTAGTCAGGTGAATAAATATGCCAATGTTTTTTCTACACATATCTAGAAAATACTCAAATAGTCCAAGTCAGATGCAGTAATATGATTTCTAGACTGTTATTAAATGTGTAGCTGAATTTTCTCCATGGATATTGCGACATCCTCAGTTTAATTCTCAAATGCCTGTTGGGACTGGAGGGGATTGAGAGATCATTGATCCAAGTCTGAGACTGGCTCCGAGTCAGGAAATGAACAGCAAATGCGTCATCGTCCTGGCTAGAGAAGGCCTGCTGCATGGCAGGATTTAACATTGCCCCAGTACAACCTTAGGAAGGCATTTTCCAAGACCATAAACCTTGCCTTTTCCAATTTCATCTCCAGATCCCTGCATCCCTCCAGGGATTCATTAGCCCCACCCCATCTCTCAGTGCACTGGATTCCTAAGAACCTCTTACACAGTACAGTCTAATGCACACAGTCTTGTTGATATTTGGTGCCAAGTCTTGTGCTGTTGGGGATGTAGGTCTTAGACCAGAGTTAAATTCTGGCTATGGCGATGACTGTTTATGTGTTCTTGGGAAAGATATGATCCAAGATCCTAATTCAATGGGAGGAATCACTGAGGCACATGGAGGTTAAAATAATACAGTCATATTTATACAGAGAATCAGGAGCAAAGCCAAAAGAGGAATGCAAGTCTCTCCTCTTACCTCTAATTAAATGTTCTCCGGATGGTGGTAGTGGGTGATTCTTTTCTTGAGAATGTTCAACTGTGAGTCTCCAAGAAACAGTTAACAAAAGGTACCCTAATATAATATGATGCTAAAAGGATCTCTGAAATAAGACAGATCAGGGTTCGAATCCTGGGTAGAATACCATAAGGTGTGTGATCTTGAGTAAATAAATTAAGTGCTCAGTTCTGGAAGTTACGCTGCTGATATTAATATAGCTACTCTAGTTTTCTTTTAAACAGTATGAGCATGGAATATCTTTTTCAATCCTTTTTCTTTTAACCTACTTGTGTTTTTATATTTAAGGTGTGTTTCTTGTAAGCAGCATATAGTTAGATGATCCTTTTAAATCTAGTCTCACCATCTCTGCCTTTAAATTGGAGTGTTTAAATTACTTACATTTAATGTGACTATTGATATGATTAAAGTACATCATCTTATTTGTTTTTCATTTGTCCCATCTTTTTTTATCTTTTCCCTGCCTTCCTCTTTTGATCAATTGAGTAATTTTTATGTTTCCTTTTCATCTCCTTTTTTTGGCTTATGAAGTCTTTGTTCTGTTATTCTAGTGATGAATTTGCCTTCAAGTGATGTTTAACTATTGCACATGTATTAATAATAATCTTAAAACAGTATAACTTCATTTCTCCTTTTTTGGCCTTTATGCTATTGTTATGAATTTTATGTATGTTTCAAACTCCACAGCACATTGTTATTACTTTTGTTTAAACAGTCAATTTTCTTTTTCAGATCTATTCTATTTGTCTATCTATCTATCTATCTATCTATCTATCTATCTATCTATCTATCTGTCTATCTATCTATCATCTGTCTGTCTATATCTTTTCACCCATGTTGTTGCCAATTCTTCATTCTTTGGTTTAGATACAGATTTTAATCTGGTATCACTTCTCTTCTGCCTAAAGAAGTTTCTTTAACTGTTCTTGAACAGAGGGGCTGCTGGTGATTAATTATTTCAGCTTTTGTATGGCCTAAAGTATCTTAATTTGTCTTAATTTTTGAAAATATTTTGCTAGGTGTAGAATTATACATAGACAGTTTTTTTTCTTACAATACTTTAAAGACGCTGCTCCACAGTTTCTTTTTTGCCTCATTTCCCATGAGAAATATGTTGTCAGCATTATATTTGCTTCTCTGAATATAAAGGTATTTTTTTCTGTGGCTGCTTTTAAGATTTTCTCTTTATTATTGCTTTTAAAGCAATTTGATCGTAACATGTTTTGGTGAAGTTTTCTTCGTTTTTATTTTATTTTATTTTTATTTTTTTGTTTACTGTGGCTTGAATGTCCCTTCCAAAACCTCATGATGAAACTTAATCTTAAATGTGGGAGTGTTGAGAAGTGAGACCTTTTTTGAGATGGAGTCTCGCTTTGTCACCCAGGCTGGAGTGCAGTGGTACGATCTTGGCTCACTACAACCTCTGCCTCCCAGGTTCAAGTGATTCTCCTGCCTCAGCCTCCCAAGTAGCTGGGATTGCAGGCACGCGCCACCACGTCCAGCTAATTTTTGTGTTTTTAGTAGAGATGGGGTTTCACCACGTTGGCCAGGCTGATCTCAAACTCCTGACCTCAAGTTATCCACCCACCTCGGCCTCCCAAATTGCTGGGATTACAGGCATGAGCCACCGTGCCCATGAAGAAGTGAGGCCTTTAAGAGGTGACTGGATAATGAGGGCTCTGCCCTCATGGATAGTATAATCTGTTCATGGATTAATGGAATAATGGGTTGATGGATTAATGAGTTATTATGCAAGTCAAACTCGTGATTTTAAAAGAAAAAGAGACCTGATGTTAGCATGCTTAGCTCCTTCACCATGTAATACCCTGTCCTGACTTGAGACTGTGTAGAACCCACACCAGCAAGAAGACTCACCAGATGCTTGTCCTCAACCTTGGACTTCTCAGCCTAAGTGGGAAGTGTAATAAATAACTTTCATTTTTAATTACTCAGTTTCAGGTATTCTGTTGCAAGCAACAGAAAACAGACTAAAACAGTGGGCTTGGAATTTATTGAATTTCTTTTATCTGTGCATTAGTAGATTTTATCAAATTTAGAATTTTTTCAGCCAATATTTCTTCAAAATGTTTCTCCCATTTTTTTCTCTCCTCTTTTTGTGACTCCAAACATGTATATTATGCCTATTAAAGTTGTCCTATAGCTGTTTTTTCTCTTTTTTTATTTGTCTCTGCATTTCCTTTTGGATAGCTTCTATCACTATAACTTTAATTCAATGAGTCTTTCTTCCACAACATACGATGTGTTGCTAATCCTATTAAGTGCAGTTTTTATTAAACACATTGAAGTTTTATCTCTAGGAGTTTGATGTGGGTCGTTTTAACATCTATGTCTCTACTTTTTGAACATATCAAATCTAGTTATAAGCATTCTAATGTCTCTCAGCTAATTCTAACATCTGTGTCATTTCTGGTTCAATTTATTTCCTGCCTCTTTACATGTCTGTTAATCTTTGATTTGATGCCAAAGATTGTAATCTCACCTTGTTAGCTGCTGGAAATTTTTATTTTTATAAATATTCCTGAGCTCTGTACTATAACACAGTAAATTTACTTGGAACCATTTTTATCTTTTTGGTTCTTGTTTTTATGATTTGTTGGATGGTTCTGGAGCAGTGCTCAGTCTAATATATTCCACTATTGAGAAGTGACGCTTTTGTGTAGTCTATCCAATGCCCCATGAATTATGAGTCTTTCCAGTCTGGATGGTGGGAACAGGTACTATTTTCCGCTCTTTTCTTCTCATTTTTAAAATGTTTCTTTCCCAGTCTTGGTTAGCTTCCTCATGCATATATTAATATGTACTCTGCTGAATACTTAAGGTAGGCCTTCTGAAAACTTCCGGGGTTGTCTCTCTGCACAGCTCTCTCCTCTTTGGTCATCTGTCCTATGAACTCCAGCTGCATTAGATTCCCTGGACTTTGAGCTGCATCTGCTCAATCCAGGGAGTCCACTGTCCTTTGTCTTAATCGCCACTCTCTATGCCATATTTTGGAAAATATCTTAATATAGTAAGTTGGGATAATCATAGAACTCACCTTATTTGTTTCTCATCTCTTGGCTATCACTGTTCTTCACTGACTGATTCCCAGCATCTTAAAAACTTTTTTTCATGTATTTTGTCTGTTTTTGTTTTTGTGGTTTGTTTTAGGTAAGAAGATAAATCCCATCCTTGTTCCTCCGTCTTGGTTGGAAATGGAAGTCCCAAATGAACTTTTCTAAACATCAGTTTCCTGATTTGTAAAATGGAAATAACAGTAGTCCCTATGGGATTGGGTATTTGAGAAGATTAAGTTATATATACACATGAAACTTTCTCATAACTGCTCAATAAATACATATTATGCTCTCTTCCTCTTTATTACACTCTAGTATACCTCTCCACATCATGCCTAGCAGGTGACTGCTTCCTTAATGGCCTGCAATGCCTACAGAGGTGGTTTAAGCAATATTTGTAACCACTGCAAAATGTCAGTCCCTTAATATTTGAATTTATTCCAAAAACTTATTTGATGTAGGAAAAGAAAGAGAATCATACCTGATTTGTTTTAAGAAAACAAATTGAAAGAAGTAAATTTATATTTCCCCCAGTGCTGAAAGTAAATTAAAAAAATGTAACTCTATCACTGCTTCTAAGGACAGTAATTTTTTTCGTGTGTGTGTGTGTGTGTGTGTGTGTGTGTGTGTGTGTGTTTCTGAGAGAGAGAGAGAGAGAGAGAGAGAGGAGAGATTCATCATTATAACACAGACAAGCATTTAAAAAGCTATGTGTTATTTCAAATTTGGTATTCCCTGGTCTTAAGGACAACTCTAGTATTTACACTTTCCTAGCTTAGTTAAGTCTATGGATCAGTTATAATATAGTTCTTTGTGTCTTTTCCAGGAAACAAGATGCCTTCTAGTAAGGAAGTCACACACCCTTCTAGAAAACTTGATAGAAAGATTGAGAGAGGTTCAGCTGGAAAAGGAGGGCAGACACCCAAAGATGATGTAGGCCAAGGAGTGCGTCACAGCTAGCATACGGTGTCCAAATATACTACAGAGCATAACTTGACCTTTAAAGAAGGAAAAATCTTGCCAAAGATTGAGTCAACTTATACTCTGCATCTCCTCCATGAACATTTTAGAGTATTGCCTCTGCTGAACAGCATTCCATTCATTGAATTATTTATTCAATTAGCAAATGTTTATTCAGCATATACTATGTGCACAGCATAGTGCCAGGGGCAGTGATGAATAAAATATAGTATATCACCCTATGGAAGTTTTATAGTTAAATTGCTGCCAAAGCAAGGAGTGACTTCAATTCGTGTACTTAACTTCAACAGAATTTCACACTGTCAATCCACTGTGAGAGCTGGGAGAGAAATGACTCTTTTAAAATTATGCTGGCTCTTTTTGGTCCTGACCCTGTAACTTTAATTCAGTCCTACTCACTCATATCACATATTTAATCATCAATAAAGTTAAGCCACAGATAATGCATTTTTAGCATTCACATAGGAACTACCATGTATCTCTCTGGACCTTCCCACTATCCCATTCTTATGCTACTACTACTGATTCTTGACTTTATTTTCTATATTCGATTGTGTTCTTGTCCTTTGGATTTGTCAGCTTTAACTGACCGTTGTTTATCAAGCTTGATCCTCTGAGGATTTTAGTATAGCTTACCTCTCTGAATCCTTTGTGTTCCTAGATACCTCAGGTAGGGCAACCTGGCCTAGCTCTGGTGTCCAGAACTCAGATTCTGGCTAGGCTTTTCCTGGTTCTTGGGAGGTGAAAATAGGACATTTCAGAGTTTAGGCAGAGGAAATAGCAAGTAAAAAAAAAGTCCTATGGTATGAGAGGAACACAGTAGAGTCCACAGGGTCTGGAGAATTGTGAGCAAGAGAAGAGTGACATGAGATAAAGTTGGAGATATGGGCAGAGACCAGATCTTCAGTTTAACCTTGCGACCATTGACTATTGGAAGCTTTTTCACTGTGTGTTGTTGGTCTCCAACCCCCTAGCAAGAGCCTCAGATCAAATGTCAGGAAGCCCGTGTTCTGGCATTATTCTACCATAAATTTATGTATCTCTTTTAATGAGCTACTTATCTTTTCCTTCCCTAAGTTTTCTCATCTGAAAAATAAGAGGATTAACCTGGACTTTCTGTAAGGTCCCATCAAGCTCCAATATTCTATGATTTATAAAAATAACTTTCATAATTCTGACTAAAATCTCTGATCTGTGGGTTAATTTCAGCTGAACTACTTCAAAATCTTATCACTTACTTCTGGGAATATAAATCATAAGTAATCTCTTCCTAAATAGATTTTAAATTCTAAAAAGTTTTCTCAAAGTTCATTTCAACATATTTCAATTATCTCTGAAATTATCTATAGATGATAAGATATGACATTTTTATCCTCAATTACTTTCAAAATATGGCTTAGGAAAACACTTCCCTTTTTAAAAAGATTGAAATTTTGGCACTGTATATACATGATTAAAGATGTTTGAATAACAGTTTTTATGGATACAAATTTTTATAAATAACAGCTTTACTGATATACAATTCACACACTGCACAATTCACCCATCTAAAGTGTATCATTTCAATGGATTTTAGTATATTTAAGAGTTGTGCAATGAGCACCATAATGAATTTTAGACAATTTTCATTACTTCCCCCCAAAACCCCAAACCTATTTGTATAAGTCACAATTTTTAAAAGCTCACAGACATCTTTAAATTTTAGGAAGAGTCATGAAATAACATTCAAGGGGGTTATCTTTTCTCTTTGAGCTCTGTGACAGTTTTCTCATGGCACTGTGGGCTACAGTATATGAGTACAGTTGACCCTTGAACAATGTGGAGGTTGTGGGCATGGATGCCTCGCACGGTTGAAAATCCATGTGTGACATTAGACTCCCAATAAACTTAACTAATAGCTCACTGTTGACTAGAAACCTTACTTATAACATAAATTCAATTAACACATATTTTGTATGTTGTATGTATTGTATACTGTATTCCCACAATAAAGCAAGCAAAAGAAAATGTTATGAAGCAAATTATAAGACAAAATATATTTCCTATTTATTAAGTGGAAGTGGATCATCATAAAGGTCTCCATCCTCATTGCCTTTATGTTGAATAGACTGATGAGGAGGAGGAAAAGGAGGGGTTAGTCTTGCTGTCTCAGGGATGGCAGAGGTGGAAGAAAATCCTTGCACGAGTGGAGCTATGAAGTTCAAACCCATGTTGTTCAAGCATCAACTGTAAAGAGTATAACAACAATAGCAGTATAATCAAGAATGCATTCATCTTGGAAATGGTAAGATTTTTAGCTATTTACATAGGCACGCTGCATAGATGTATATTTGTTTTGCCCTAATGGATGGCAAAAAGCTAGCTCATGAAGTGATGTTGCTTGCTGAAGGCTGTTTAGGTTGCAGGGAGACATTTAGGAATATTGCTAGCCTTAGTTATCTAACATCAATACAACGTGAACCAAATTTAAGCCTCTCTTGCCAACTACAGGAATCTTTGGATTACAGCCAGGGCTCGTTTTGTTATTGACCTCTGATCTACCCAGTGTGAATGTGGCCTGTCTGAGTGGGGAGAAAATCTAATTGTTAATTTTGGAAAGTTGGGTCTCAATTTCTTGTGCAGTTGGCATTTTATCCATATAACGTATTTTATGTTTTTCCTTCATGCCCAGTGTTCTTAAATATTTTTGGAACTCTTCCAAGAATGTTTATGATAAACACAATGAAAAGGGCAAACCTGGACTATGATAAAAGTTGTGAAAATTTTAAGGGTTTGAGCTCCAGTAAGTGATCCTTTAGCTAATTAAACTTTGGTCTGCCTAAGCATCTAGGTCAGATTATTTTTCCCTGCTGGGCCCTAGCATTCCTATTGGTCAAACTACAAATAAATTAATTAAATAGGGAATTGTACCATGCTTGGGGTATTTTAGAGGAGTCCGAAATTACACCTATTTGTCTTTTTATCAGTCCAAATTTAGTCACAAAGAGTGCTAACTGAGAGGTTTCCTGGGCGCTTTTCCTAAGCACATTTCAGCAGCAAGCTCGCTCCAGGAATAAAGAAAAGTCAATTCTCAGAGAGGCAGAAAAGTGAAGATGCTTCTACTCTAAAATGTCAGGGAATATGCACAATTTTCTTGAATATGTAATAGTGCTCTTTTGGGAGATGTCAGTCGTTATCCCAGACCTACTGAATCAGTATCTGAATTTTTAGAAGATACCCAGGTAATTCATATACACATTAAAGTTTGAGAAGTGCTGCAGCAGATGCTCTCTAAAGGTATCCATTGGACTAGATAGTAGTTCTGGATATTTTTAATATAGTAGTTCTAGGGGTGGGGTCTGTGATTCTTAATTTAAATCAAGCTCCAAGATTACCTCTACAGACCACATTTGAGTAGTATTGAGCTGGTCTTTGACTTTCTGTAATGCTGTTACAAGAATAGGTTCCAGAAACCTATCTGAACACATATTTACCCAAATTATTTTCTGGGTTGACTTATAACTTATCTAATATAAGTATGTGCCAGAGACCAAATCTTGAGGGTCATTTAGAAAAATTTGTGTGTCTACTACAGAAATAAATTACTTTGTAATGTACTTTATACTTCTGGAAATAGATTTCAATACATTATCTTATTTGATCCCAGGATGCCTGCCCTTGGTTTCTCTGTACAGGCATTCTGGGGCTGGTCTGGGTCATGAAGCTGTGGCAATGAGAAGGCAGGTGTGTCTGGTCTTAGGCCCAAACTCCAAAAAACTAAACAACTGAAATGTTGCACTGTTGACCAATGGGCTGGCTGTCACCAGGGGTTTCCCAGCATACCCATACCTTGTGAGGAAAGAAAGCTCAAAGCCAGGGCTGGTCTCTTAAGAAATAAATGGGGTTATCAGAAAATCCATGGGTTGTTGGGATTTATTCTTAAGCTATTGGGATTTAATATTTATGTCCTTTTGCTGTATCTCAATAAAGACAGAGGAGAGACAGGGACACTGATTTGGTAACTATCAAAGCCTGAAATGTACTGGAAGAGCTTCCCTAGTTGGTTTTGGATGTGTGATCAGTTATTAGTTTCAACTCCCCACAGCTTTTTCACTTCTTAACTATAGTTCCCTAATCCAAAAGCAAACAGTAATGAAGTGTAAAACTTTCTCTGAGGTTTTTTGTTGACAATTAAGTAGAAACCAGATGGCAAAGTTGAATACTAGGCTGAGTAGAGGGACAAAAGGAGCTAAATTATTGACTTCCAATGCCTGTGAAATGTATTTACTTTGTTGCTTTGCTATGTGCTGGGCCCATGGAGAGTTTAGAAAAGTCTATAATCTTCAATACTCCTTACTTGTAATGGTAGTCAAAGCACCTTTGGAAACCATTTACTCAGAACAAACACTGGTACATAGCAAATAGCCCAACTGAAGGTTTATTTCCTAAGTATTCCAAAGATTATAATTCTGTGAAGTTAGTAAATATGTTGAGGAGCAAGTCTTTGATGAAAATATATCACCGTTCTCATCATGGTTAGCAGAAAATATCTATTGATACTTTATTGACTGAGTCTTTGTCAAAAAGCTAGTCCGAGGAAGAACTGAGGATGGATACCATTAGTTACAAAGGCTAATCAGAAGACCAGATATTGGTCCAATAATTCAACAAATATTTACTGAGCACTACAGTGCACTGCAGATAAAATAGAAAACAAGGTTGTCATGGTCTCTCCGTCTTCAGGGAAGCTGACATTTAATGATGGAGATGGACTAAAAAAAAAAATAAACCAACCAAAATATGGATGAATAACCTAATTACAGAATGTGATTGCAGCTAAAAAGTAAATTTAAAAGTGTGTTTTGAAAGAGAGTGATTAAGCGCATCTGATTTAGATAATAGCATCAGAGACGCTCGCTCTGAGATGGTTACTCCTAATCTAAGACCTGAAAATTAGAATGAGAAACAAGTGAAGAGTTTAAGGAAAAGCCTTTTAGTCAGAAAGATTAAGTTGTAAGGCCTTTGAAGTGGTGAAGAACTTGGCATGCTCTAGAAATAGAAAAAAGGTCAGTGTGACACTAGGTTACTTATTATCACTTTATTACTTTATCAACTAGTGAACCGCTTGAGATTGGGGGAAGAGGTTAGTTGCAGATATTATTTTAATAGCTATCTATGTATTGACATTCTCTTAGAGACCATGAGGACCCCTGATTGTTACAGACACCCTCCCGTGACCACGCTCCACAGCCCTGTGAGGGCATGCCTTTTAAACCCAAAATGGGAAAAAGTATCTTCAGTGTGTCCTGAGAGGTGTGGCGCTTCCAGTTCTGGGTGTTTCTGCACTTGACCACATATCAGCAAAGCAAGAAGAGTGCTGTGGGGTTGGCTGCAATGTTGGCTATACACACTTGAGCATAACACATTGCAATAGAAACTAAGGAGACTAAATTATGTGAGTCAGGGAGTTGAGGAATGCCACTGCCACCACTGTGACTCAAGGAAGGTGAAGTCTGGGGAGGACATATTCTCATCCTGAACTTCTCTTTTCTCCATTACTTGCTACCACTGTCCTTGAGATTAGATAAATCCTCATTACATCTTACCTGGATTATTGCAGTGTTCCTAGAGTTGGTCTCTCCTCCTTGGATCTGGTCCATTCTTCACACTAGCTGCTCTGTATTCTGATGATTTATGTATATTTCTTTTTTCATTACTATATTGTAAGCAGCCAGAGGAGCATGGCCAATGTCTGATTATCATTCTCCCACAGTAAAAGCCAACTCTTTATTGATTCCATAAATGTATATCAATAGAAATCCCTATGTAAACAGTTTTTCCACCTGATACTGAAGGGCTGCACAATTCACTTGCTAAAACAATTCACATTAATGTTTGCAAAATCAAAATCTCCCTTCTAAAGACCCAAGGCTTGAAGTGAGTTGCAATGAAATTTTGAATTCATTGACAGGTTCTTGGACCTGCAAAACTGAAAGTAATTAATGAGCATGTGAAATCTATAAGCTTCAATCTAGGTGGAAGAAAAGTATCCAAAAGGCACTGGATGGTTATAAACACAGATAACCAAATATACTTGGTAAAAAAATCTAGGTTCTCAGTCAAATTTGATTTTGACGATGTTATTTAAAATTTTATTATAGAGGATTTTAAATTCACAAAAGTGGAGATAATAGTATTAGAATCCCCCAGGTATCCATCACTCAGTTTCAACAATTAACAACACGTGGCTAATCTTGTATCATCAATACTCTCACCTGATGTCCTCCTTTCCTACTGATTTGAATCAAATCACAAACATAATGTCATTTCATCTGCAAATATTTCAGTATGATTTTCTAAGAGATAAAAATTTATGTATTTAAATTGAAAATACAAATTGTATATATTTATTTTGTATAATATATTTTGAAATATGTATACATTGTGGAATGACTAAATCAAACTAATTAACATATGCATTACCTCACACACATCACTTTTGTGAGGATTTTTTAAGAAATATAAACACAATTATCACACTTAAAAAGAGAACATCTGAAAAATTAACAATAATTCTTTAATATCATCCAACATCCAATAAGCATGCAAATGGTTGCTAAATTCTATCATGAACATCATTCGTTTCTTTGATCATGATCAAAATAAGATCCATATATTATGATTGATATATTTTCTTAAGCCTCTTTTAGTCTCTGGGTTCTGCTTTTAATTTTATTTTCTCTGAAAATACATCTGTTAAAAGAACTGGTTTGTCTTTTTTATTTTTATTTTTATTTTTAATTTTTTTTATTTTTTGGATATCACTCTGTCACCCAGGCTGGAGTGCAGTGGCACAATCATAGCTCATTGCAGCCTTGAACTTCTGGGCTCAAGCAGTCCTCCCTCCTCAGCCTTCCGAGTAGCTTAGACTACAGGCACGTGTCATTACACCCAGCTAATTTTTAATTTTTTTTTTGTAGAGAAACAGTCTCAGTATGTTGCCCAGGCTGTGATTTGTCTGTTCTTTAGAGTTTCGCAGAATCTGGGTTTTGCTGATCCCATCATAATGCAGTTTGACATGCATCTCTGTTTTCTGTATTTTCTATACATTTATACTTAGAGGTAGAAGCATATTCAATCACATTCAAGTTGAGTTTTGTTTATTTTCAAGAATACTTCGTAAGTTTTCTGAGCATAAACTCACTCATCTGTAAAAGCGGCCTAATGATAGAACCTACCTCACAGAGTCATTGAGAGGATTAAACCCAACAATCCTATAAAGTGCATAGCACAATGCTTCCACATAGACATTAATGGCACATGTATACATACGTAACAAACCTGCACGTTGTGCACATGTACCCTAGAACGTAAAGTATAATAAAAAAAATATATATATATAAAAGAAAAGTTGGGCGGGGCACGATGACTCACGCCTGTAATCCTAGCACTTTGGGAGGCCTAGGCGGGCGCATTGCCTGAGCTCAGGAGTTAGAGAGCAGCCTGAGCAACACGGTGAAATCCCGTCTCTACTAAAATACAAAAAAAAATTAGCTGGGCATGGTGATGGGCACCTGTAGTCCCAGCTACTCGGGAGGCTGAGGCAGGAGAATTGCTTGAACCTGGGAGGCGAAGTTGCAGTGAGCCGAGATCCAGCAGCTGCACTCCAACCTGGGCAACAGAGCGAGACTCTGTCTCAAAAAAAAAAAAAAAAAGAAAAAAAGAAAAAAAAAGAAAAGAAAGAAAAGGAAAGAAAAGAAAAGTTGAAAGCATGGCATTTAGGAAAGAGGGCCATGTGATAGGTGTCTTGGGGTAGCAGGGACACAATAAGCATTTATTAAATATCTATTACGTTTCAGGCACTAGCTTAGATCCAGGGAGTAAAGTCTGCGTCCTGTTTAATATACCTCAGCCTAATCCAAGGTCATGGGTACTTGACCTATGGATAGGATACTTTCCTATATATTCTTCAAGAGGACTTATTGTTTTTGATTTCATATTTAAATCTATTCATCTCAAATTAATTTTTTGTGTATGGTATGAAATAGAGGCCAAGATTAATCATTTTACAAACAAATATCAAATTGTTCCAACACTTTAAAAAATATTAGAATGTGTATTTATATGTTTTTGCATTTCTGATGCTGATAATTAGAGCTTCTCTAATTTTTTTCATGGTCAGTCTTGCGAAGAGTTTATCAATTATATTATTCCTTACAAAAATGCAGCTTTAAAAAAACTTCTATTGTTTCTTTTCTATTTGATTAATTTATGCTGTCACATCTCACTTTTTCGTTCCACTGCCTTTCATTTTCATTTACTATAACTTTTTGAGAATGATTTTTGATCATTGACTTTTAGGCTTTCTTATTTTCAAATACATGCATTTAGGTAGGGCTATAGATTTTTCTCTAAGCATTAATTTAATTGCATCCATAAGTTGTAATAGAAGCATTTCCATCATCATTTACTTAAATGTATATTCTGATTTCTACCAGAATGTTTTTGGCTTACAGTTTATATAAAGGCATATTGCTTAATTTGTAATTATTTGGGGATTTTATAGTCTATTTTTAATTTATTTTGAGTTTTATTCCACTGTGGTCAGACAGCATACTCTGAATGATTTCAGTCATCTTTTTTTCCAGCTTTTTTGAAAATTATACTTCAAAAAATTAGCCGGGCATGGTGATGGGCACCTGTAGTCCCAGCTACTCGGGAGGCTGAGGCAGGAGAATTGCTTGAACCTGGGAGGCGAGGTTGCAGTGAGCCGAGATCCAGCAGCTGCACTCCAACCTGGGCAACAGGGTGAGACTCTGTCTCAAAAAAAAGAAAAGAAAGAAAAGGAAAGAAAAGTTGAAAGCATGGCATTTTTTTTCCAGCTTTTTTGAAGTATAATTGTTATACAAAATTGCACATAATTAATGTATACAATTTGACAATTTTTGACATATGTACACACTCATGTTACTATTACCACAATCCAGGTAATAAACATATCCATCACCTCCAAAAGTTTATTTATGTGTTGTTGTTGTAAGAACACTTAACATTAGATTCACTCTCTTAACAAATTTTTAAGTACACAATACCTAATTGTTAACTACAGGCGCTATGTTGTACAGCAGATCTCTGGAACGTACATGTATTATATAACTGTAACTTTATACCCACTGAAAAACAACTCATTCCTCTCTTCATCCCCTGGTAACCATCATTCTATGGTCTACTTTTATACTTTTAACTATTTCATATGCCTCATATTAAGAAGAATCATGCAGTATTTGTCTTTCTGTGACATTTCACTTAGCATAATATGTTCCAGTTCCATGAATGTTGTTGCAAATGGTAGAATTTTCTTTTTAAAGGCTGAATAATATTCCATACTTTCTTTAGCCATTCATCTGTCAATGCATATTTGGTTTGTTGCCATATCTTGGCTATTGTGAATAATGCTGCAATAAACATCAGAGTTCAGCTATCTCTTTAAGATCCTAATTTCAAATCTTTTTAATATATACCCAGAAGTAGAATTGTTGAATCATATGATAGCTCTATTTTTATTTTTTTGAGGAATCTCTGTACTGTTTTCCATTGTGGCTGTACCATTTTATATATTCTCACTAACAGTGTACAAAGCCAACACTTTTTTTTCCCATCATAGCCATTCTAATGGGTATGAAGTGATATCTCATCCTGGTTTTGATTTGCATTTCACTGATGATTAGCAATGTTGAGCATCTTTTCATGTATTTGTTGGTCATTTGTATGTCTGCTATGAAGAAATGTCTATTCAAGTCTTTCCCCATTTTTAAAAAAGGGTATTTTATTTTATTTTATTTGCTATTGCATTTTTTTTTTTTTGAGACAGTCTCGCTCTGTCACCCAGACTGGAGTGCAATGGCACGATCTCGGCTCACTGCATCCTCCACCTCCCGGATTCAAGCGATTCTCCTGCATCAGCCTCCCAAGTAGCTGGGATTACAGGCTCCCTCCACCACGCCCAGCTAATTTTTGTATTTTTAGTAGAGATGGGGTTTCGCCATGTTGGCTAGGCTGGTCTTGAACTCCTGACCTCAGGCGATCCACCTGCCTTGGCCTCCCAAAGTGCTAGGATTACAGGTGTGAGCCACCGTGCCCAGCTGCTATTGCATTTTCAGAGTTCCTTATATATATTGAAAATTAACTCCACATCAGATACATGGTTTGCATATATTTTCTCCTATTTTATAGATGGCCTTTTTACTCTGTTGATTATTTCCTTTGCTGTACAAAGTTTTTTTAGTTTGATCCAATTTCACTTGTCTATTTTTGCTTTTGTTGCCTATGCTTTTGGTGTCATATCCAAAAAATACATGGCCCAAACAAATGTCATGGAGCTTTTCCACTATGTTTTCTTTTACTAGTTTTACAGTCTCGGGTCCTTCATTTGTGTTTTGATCTAGTTTAGGTTAATTTTTATAAATGGTAAAAAAAATAAGGATCCAGTTTACTTA
Source organism: Homo sapiens (assembly GCF_000001405.40). NCBI lineage: Eukaryota > Metazoa > Chordata > Mammalia > Primates > Hominidae > Homo > Homo sapiens. The sequence continues at coordinate 116,395,086 of NC_000023.11, forward strand.
TTTTGCATGTGGATATTCAGTTTTTCCAACACCATTTATTGAAGAAATTGTCCTTTTCCCATTGTGTATTCTTGGAATCCTTGTCAAAGATCAGTTGACCATAGATGTGAGGATTTATTTCTGGGCTCTATTCTATTCTATTCTATTCATCAATTTATATGTCTTTGTGTCAGTACCATACTCTCTTTATTATTGTAGCTTTTTACTATATTATGAAATCATTTAGTGTGATGCCTCTAGCTTTGTTTTTCTTACTCAGATGTCTTTGGCTATTTGGGGGTATTTTTTGGTTCCCCATGAATTTTTAGAGAAATAGAATTTTTTCTATTTCTCTAAAAAATGTCTTTGGGATTTTGACAGAGATTACATTGAATCTGTAGACCACTTTGTGTAGTATAGATATTTTAACAATATTAATTCTTCCAATCCATGAAAACAGGATGTCTTCCCATTTAAGTTTTCTTCAATTTTGTTCATCAGCAATTTATAGTTTTCAGTGTATGAGTCTTTAACTTTCTAATTAGGCTTATTCTTAAGTGTTTTATCTGTTTTTGGTGCTTATTGTAAATGTTATTGCTTTCTTAATTTCATTTTTGGAACTATGTCTGTTTGCAGATTTCATGATCTTATATGTAGAAAACTCTGAAAACTCCAGAAAGCAACTATTAGAACTAATTAAGGAATTCAGTAAAGTTGCAGCATATGAAATCAGCTTACAAAAATCAGTTGCACTTCTGTATAGCAACAATGATATATCTAATTTCAGTCCTTTAAGTTGTGTTCAGGCTTACCTTATGATCCACATATGGTAAATTTTGGTAAATGTTTATTCTTTCTCAATTTCAGTGCTTAAAAATGTTGATTACGTCATTTTTGTTTCTCATGATGGTTAGGACTTCTATATTATTCCACTTTTGTCTACCGATTTTATCTTTTTTTTTTTTTTTTTTTTTTTCAGAGTCTTGCTCTGTCACCAGGCTGGAGTGCAATGACACAATCTCGGCTCACTGCAACCTCCGCCTCCCGGGTTCAAGCGACTCTCTTGCCTCAGCCTCCCGAGTAGCTGGGACTACAGGCACACACTACCACACCCAGCTAATTTTTGTAGTTTTAGTAGAGACAGGGTTTCACCATGTTGGCCAGGATGGTCTCGATTTCTTGACCTCATGATCTGGCCATCTTGGCCTCCCAAAGTGCTGGGATTACAGGCGTGAGCCACTGTGCTTGGCCCGATTTTATCTTTTATTAGCTATCATCCATTATGAAAGTAGTTTTCTCTATCTCTTTTAGTTCTTCCAGATTTTTTGCATATATTTTAAAGCAATTTTAAAGATCCTTACACATTTAGAATTGTTTTATTTTCTAAGTGGATTGATCTTTTCATCATTTTGTAGTATTCCATTTTATCTCTAATAATGCTTCTTGCCTTAAGGTCTACTTTGCTATTAGTAGAGCTATACCAGCTTTCTTTTAGTTAGTGTTTAAATAATATTTTTGTCCCATTATTTTATTTTTTTCAGCTTTTATTTTGGATTCAGCGGATACATGTACGGCTTTGTTACGTGGATACAGTGTATGATGCTGAGGTTTGGGGTACAGATGATCCTGTTAACTAGGTAGCGAGCATAGTACTCAATCGTTAGTTTTTCAGCCCACTACCCTTTCCCTCCTTCCCCCATCCTGTAGTCCTCAATGTCCATTGTCCCCATCTTCATGTCCACATTTACTCAATGTTTAGCTCCCACATATAAGTGAGAACATGCAGTATATGGCTTTCTGTTTCTGCATTAATTCGCTTAGGATAATGGCCTCCAGCTCCATCTACGTTGCTGCAAAGGACATGATTTATTTTTTCTTAGGCTGTGTGGTATTAATATTTCATCCTGTATATGTACCACATTTTCTTTATCCAATCAACTGTTGATGTGCACCTAGGTTGATTCCATGTCTTTGCTAATGTGAATAGTGCTGTGATGAACATATGAGTGCAAGTGTCTTATCGGTAGAATAAACTATTTTCCTTTGGGTATATACCCAGTAATGGAATTGCCAGGTTGAACGGTAGTTTTAAGTTCTTTGAGAAATTGCCAAACTACTTTCCACTGTGGCTAAACTAATTTCCATTCCCACCAACAGTATGTAAGTGGTCCTTTTTCTCCACAGCCTTGCCAACATGTTTTTTTGTTGTTGTTTTATTTTTGTTTTTGTTTTTGTTTTTAATAATCACATTCTGACTGGTGTGAGATGGTAACTCATTGTGGTTTTGATTTGAATTTATCTCATGATTAGTGGTGATTAGTATTTTTTTCATGTTTGTTGGGTGCATGTATATCTTCTTTTGAGAAGTGTCTGTTCATGTCCTTTGCCTATTTTTTAATGGAATTATTATTATTATTATTATTATTTTGCTTGTTGATTTAAGTTACTTGTAGATTCTCGATATTAGACCTTGGTAAGATGCATAGTTGGTGAATATTTTCCTCCCATTCTATATGTTGTCTGTTTACTCTGTTATAGTTACTTCTGCTGTGCAGAAGCTCTTTAGTTTAATTAGGTCCAACCTGTCAATTCTTGGTTTTGTTGCAATTGCTTTTGGGGAGTTACCCATAAATTCTTTGCTAAAGCTGATGTCAAGAAGGTTATTTCCTAGGTTTTCTTCTAGGATTTTCATAGTTTGAATTCCTACATTTAAATTTTTGGTCTATCTTGAGTTAATTTTTGTACATGGTAAAAGGTAGGGGGTCAAGTTTCATTCTTCTGCATATGGCTAGCCACTTATCCCAGAACCATTTATTGATAGGGAGTCCTTTCCCTATTGCTTATTTTTGTCAACTTTGTCAAAAGTTGATCAGATGTCTGTAGTTGTGTAGATTTCTTTCTGGATTCTCTATTCTGTTCCATTGCTCTATATGTTTGTTTTTGTACTAATACCATGCTGTTTCAGTTCCTGTAGTCTTATAGCACTTATAGTGTAGTTTGAATTTGGTTACTGTGATGCCTCCAGCTTTGTTCTTTTTGCTTTAGGACTGCTTTGGCTATTCAGACTCTTTTTTTGGTTCCATATGATTTTTAGAATAGTTTTTTTCTCTTTCTATGAAAAATGATATTGGTAATTTTGACAAGAATAGTACTGAATCTGTAAATTGCTTAGGGAAGTATGGCCAGTTTAATGATATTGATTTGTCCTATCCATGAGCATGTTCCATAGTGTTCCATAGTTTGTAAGCAACATTTAAAAAAATCCATATTGTCAAACTTTGTATTTTAATTAGAGCATTGGTCCATTTACACTTAATGCAATTGTTCAATTACTATCTTATTTTCTATTATTTCCATGTGTCTGTGTTCCTTTTTCTGTCCTTTTTAACCTTAATTCGGAATGAAACAATTAATTATTCTCTATATCTCTATATTTTTATCTATTAGTTTTTTAAGTATACATTATTTTACTATCATTTCACTGGCGTCTTTAAGGCCATAGTTCTCAAAATGTGGTCCAGGGGCTTCTAGGGGTGCCCAAGAGTCTTTCAGGAGTCTGAGATAACAATTATTTTTATTAATAATGTTAATATATTTTGCCCTTCCTCCCCTTTTCTTTCATGAATATACAGTGGAATGCTCTAGAGCCTCCACTGGGTATGATATCACAAGAGATTGAATACAATAGCAGATATGAAGATAAAACTGTCTTCTACTAAGCCAGATATTTAAACAATTTGCAGAAACATAAAAACAACACTATTACTGTCACTATATTTTTTTGTCTTGAATAATAGTTATTTTTGATATAATTACATAATTTGTGTAATGGGCTTACTGGTTTACTGCTTTTATACTCTTTTTATTTTGTTTATTTATTTATTTTTAGAGCTGGGGTCTTACTCTAAAAATAGAGCTGGACTGAAGTGCAGTGGTGTGATCATAGCTCACTGCAGCCTCGAACTCCTGGGCTCAAGTTATTCTCCTGCTTCAGCCTCCTGAGTATCTGGGACTACAGACATGCACCACCGCACCTAACATGCTGTTATTTCCAAATGAATAAATGTTTTTTTAAAACATCTCAGTTTTAATTTCTAATATGACAAATATTAACAAATGCAACTCACAAAACAAAAGCTCATTGGGGTCCTCAATAATTTTTAAGAGTGGAAAAAGGTCCTGAGACTACAATGAGAATCACAGCCCTAGAATCACATGCCTCCTTGATTTCATGCTGTTTAATATAAATTAGTAGTTTAACTTCTTCCTTGATAATGTTATGACCTAATAGTAGTTTATGTCCATTTCTGTTTCAGTCCTTTGTATTGTTGTTATGCATCTTAATTCTTCCTATTTTTTTTACCACACAAGACTTTATTATTAACTTTTTGTACAGTCAATATTAACTTATATTTACTAAGATATTAATCTTTCCATTGTTCTTCATCCTTTCCTGAATTTATATTTTTTGGTCAGTAATGCTTTCTCTACTACTTGATTGAGTTTTGGACATTATGTTTGAGAAATTACTGGACATTGTATATTAAAAATTTTAGCAATTCTGGATGATATTATTCTCCTATAGAGTGGATTCATTCTGGCCTCTGGTGAGCAGCCTGTTTAAGGACAGATTGCCTTGATCCAATCTGAGACTAAACTGATTTTTGCTTGGGTTGCAAGATTTTTTCTTTTTTCTTTTTGAGTCTCTATCTAAATTTTGTGTTAGGCCTAGAGTATAGCTTGTTAGGGATCTCAACTAAGAGCATCTGTGTTTACTAGAACCTCTCCTGTTTTGTGGAAACTCAGAACTAAGAAACTGCTTGAAAACTTGGCTCCACTGTTCAGTAGCTTTCTGCTTAGCTTATTACTTAGGCTGTTGCTTCACACAGCAGATGAATTCAGCAAATCTTCATGGTGGAAAATAGCAGAGTGTCCAGCTCACTTTACTTTCTCTCTTCTCTCTGGGCTGAGATGTTGGTCATTAAAGTTCTGGTTCTCTTGACAGGCTCAAACTCCCTTTATTTACTTATTTATTTGGTCCAATGATTTTTTTTTTTTTAAATTTTACTTTACGTTCTGGGATACATGTGCAGAATGTGAAGGTTCGTTACATAGGTATATGTGTGCCGTGGTGGTTTGCTGTACCTATCAACCATCACCTAGGTTTTAAGCCCCACGTGCATTAGCTATTTGTCCTGAAGCTGTCCCTCCCAACCACCCCACCCCCCGACAGGCCCCAGTGTGTGTTGCTCCCCTCCCTGTGTCCATGTGTTCTCATTGTTCAGCTCCCATTTATGAGCAAGAACATGTGGTGTTTGTTTTTCTGTTCCTGTGTTAGTTTGCTGAGGATGATGGCTTCCAGCTTCATCCATGGCCCTGCAAAGGACATGATCTCATTCTTTTTTATGGCTGCATAGTATTCCATGGTGTATATGTACCACATTTTCTGTATCCAGTCTATCACTGATGGGCATTTGGGTTGGTTCCATGTCTTTGCTATTGTAAGTAGTGCTGCAATAAACATACGTGTGCATGTATCTTTATAGTAGAATGATTTATATTCCTTTGGACATATACCCAGTAATGGGATTGCTGAGTCAAATGGTATTTCTGGTTCTAGGTCCTTGAAGAAGTGCCACACTGTCTTTCACAATGGTTGAACTAATTTACATTCCCACCAACAGTGTAAAAATGTTCCTATTTCTCCAAAGCCTTGCCAGCGTTTGTTGTTTCTTGACTTTTAGTAATCGTCATTCTGACTGACGTGAGACGGTATCTCACTGAAAAATATGGAACGCTCACAAATTTGCTTGTCATCGTTGTGCAGGGGACATGCTAATCTTCTCTGTATCGTTCCAATTTCAGTATATGTGCTGCCGAAGTGAGCACAAACTCCATTTATTTTTCTTCTAGTCTTGTGAGTTTGCCAAAAACTCTGTTGCTTCTCTCCCTCCTATCCAGAGCGCTCTGCCTCGCTTGCCAGTCTCTCACCCTATAAGAGGCAAATGTTCTAGAGAGAAAAGCCCCTTGTAGCACGTTAGTGTACCTCTCTGTACCTCTATTTTCTGAGGTTTTGGTCTCTCAACTTCTGGTTGTCTTGGCAATTTTCAGATGCCCTCTAGTTGTCCCCTGTGCATACATAAATCTATAACAAGATAATCTACCATAGTAGGCCAGTGGAAGTCTGGATATCAACCAGGCCGGCTCCTTAGGATGAGCTCATCATTTCTGCTCCTTCACCTCAGGCCGAAGTAGGGTCCAGTAATTTTAAGACGAGGTTATTACAAGCTTAGACACTAAGAACTGATGGAGTTTCGTTCCTGGCTACTTTGTTTACCAGCTTTGTGTATCTGTGAAGATCATTTATTTTTTCTAAGCCTTAGTTTCCTCATCTGTAACATGGAGCTGATCATAGAAGCTATCTAGAAGGTTTGTGAGAATGAAATAAAATAATCCACAAATACATTACAGTGCTTGGCAAGTAGTATGTGTTAGATAAATACTAACTACTATTAGTACCTGTAGATTTTATGTAAGCACAATGATTACAAGGGATATTCAATATAACAAATTAAATGTAAATTACTTATATTCCTTTACAATGAATATTATTAAATAGATAAAAGCTGAGTTCGAATAAGTGAAGGATAGTTTTAGTGGATTTATGTAATGTATTTTAATTTGTTTTGTTGCCTCAGTTTCATCACCTATAGATAATCTACCAATTACATCCTTGGCCCCAGAACGTAATAATGCTTAGGTGAGCTGTATATATTAACACCCTCATCTCAAACTGTAGTTTTATGTTAAAAGTTTATGTAGTTAATTATAAACAAATAATCAAACTCCTTCCCTTCTCCTTCCACATGTCCCAAATAACGTTTCAATGTTATTTTTTTGCTTGGTTAAAAGAACAATTGGCTATGGTGAGAGTGGAGGGGGTTTTCTGAACGTAGAATATGTGCTATAATTCGGGTTGTCCTCTGTCCCATCCCATCTGGAATCTTGCCTGAGTCTTAGCCTGAAGCACTGTAATGACACTGAGTAAAAGCCAAAAGGGCTGTTTCATTCCAATCTCTTAGGTGGATGAGGATGCTTTACATCAGCAGTGGTGGTGCCAGCCACTCCTGCAGAGACAGTAGGAGGCAGTAGACTGTGCCAGTGGTTTCAGTAGCAACAGACGAAGCCAGTGCCCTTGTTGCAGATATTAGCTCCCTCCAAAATGAATAGTGGCAGACTTGATGCTAATATGGGTAAACACTGGAACTTGAAGCAGTGCTTCTGGCAGGCATCAGCATCAATTGCCCCTTTGGTGGGATTGTGACTTTCTGGCATTAGTGTTTGTAGGATACCTGGTCAAAGAGACAGGAGTAGAAAGAGAGTTGGGGAAAGGGGGATAGTGAATGCCACAGCATAGCTAAAGAACACATGGGAAATTCTCCCTGTGGACCCGCAGAGCTATTTGGAAGATGTGTGAAGGGGGTTGGAATTTCTACACAGTAGGTAGAGGCAGAGCCATGCTTTGTGACTGTCATTGTAATATGTCATTATCCCTCGACTAGAGTACCTTGGGAAACACAGAGCTTAAGAATAATAATAGTGGTAATAATAATACAGGAGCTACTACAGTTTTCCAAACACATCAACAAAATATAGAGAACTGCCATGCATGCTAATGTTCACCATTCATTTAGCTCCCAGGCTCCAAAGGAAACAGGTAAGTATATTAGATGTAACATTAAAGAAATATGATTTTTTTAAGGACAATCAACCAGAAACTGGAACAGCCTCATGGGAATGTTTAATTATGGGCATAACCCCTATGGTAGTTGTTTTTGGATGCAGATTAAAAACCATTTAAGAATGTATCTCATTGTTTTAAGATCATGGCTCAGTTTCGGACCAAAATGGTGTTGTTACACTGCTTGTTTACCTACCTTTCTACACTTTGGGTTTCTGTAAGGCAAAATCAACAAATGATAACATTTGATGTTGCCAAACCTGAATTTTACCCTCAAAGAGTAAATAAATTTAAAAATATGCATCATAAGCTCTGAAGAATTTCTCAAAAAGGAGTACTAGGGAGGTAATTTGACCAGTACAATTCTCCGTTATATAAGAAAGTCTTTTGTAGTTATTGCTTAAAAAACCCTCAGGCAAATTGATTTCTTATAGCTCATATCTTTTCAAATACCACATCAATTCACTAAGTGTCTGTTGAAGTCTTACTTTGTGCGAGATAGTAATGAAATAATCAGAGAAATGGATTTAGAATTGCAACTGTAACAAGTCCTGGGAAGAGAGCTACATAGCACCATGAAAACATATCTTTGTCTGAGAGGTCATGAAAGGCTTGTTGGGGGAAGTCACACTTAAATTCAGAAATGAAAGATGAGATCAGGTGCCTTATCTTAAGAATTATTAGTCTTAAGCCCATTTACAGGCATATGGCTCACACCTGTAATCCCAGCATTCTGTAAGGCTGAGGCAGAAGGATCACTTGAGCCCAGGAGTTTGAGATCAGCCTTGACAATGTAGAGAGACCCTGTCTCTACTAAAAATAAAAAAAAATTACCAGGCATAGGGGCTCACACATGTGGTCCCACTATATGGGAAGTTGAGGCGGGAGGATTGCTTAAGCCCAAGAAATCAAGGCTGCAGTGAGCCATGATTTTGTCACTGTTCTCTAGCCTGGGGTAACAGAGTGAGACCCTGTCTCAAAAAAATAATAATAATTGGAGAATGAGAATGAGTTAACTAGGTGAGGGAGGGTGGCACTGAATGAGGCAGAGGAGATAGCATGTGGAAAAGTCCTGTGGTTAGAGGGAGCATCACATATTTAAGGACCTGAAAGAAAGTCAGTGTGGCTGGAGCCACATTCTTTTCATTATTACCCGAAGTCATTTTCTCATAAGGTAAAATAGAGTAAGAACATTTTTAGATTTCAGATTTCATAGCGATCCCTGGCATCAGAATCACAATGATCTTTTCCCAATACTCATTTCTTCTCACCTGCTGAATCAATTGAATTTGTATATTTCTTTAGTTTTCATTGTGGTTTATGATTCCTTTAATCTGCCCTATTTATCCAGTACTTCACCCTGATTGGCTTAATTTACTTCTTTCCATAGGGAACCATTTTAAAGTGCTTTGCTAATCCCTATAATTTACTTTTTACCCTTTTGGGTTTATCCCATACTTCTTTGCTGACCTCCAAACCTAAGTAGCCATCATCTTACTCTGTTCTCACTCCAGGATTCCAAGGTTGTTTAAAAATCATGCTATCATGATTTAATGACAATTTATACTGCCCTCAGCAGGGTCCTCAATACCACTCAGTTATCTCTTAACTAATATTTTATTGCATCCTCAGGATTTATTGTAAGCTTTTCCATTGAAAACAATACCCACTATAACTCCACTATCCTCACTCATATTAGATGATCATACCTTCTATTTTTCGCAAAAGATTGAGGCAATCTGATGTAAAATTTTTCAGTATATCTCTTTCATGATCCCATTGCTTCTTTACATTTCCTCTATTAACAACTATTTTAGGTCTTTAAATCTCCTCTTTCCCACCCAACTCAAAAGAAAAATGAGCCCCTTTCTTTCCAAAGTTAGTTCCTCTATCTTTACCCTTATTCACTCTTACTTCCTTTAGGATCATGCTCCTCTCTCTCTGGAATGTTCAATTTCTTCATCTGTATTGGTGTCTTCTTCTTTATGTATAGTTCTAATCAATGATTGCTCATCCTAAAACAACATCAAATGAAGCAAAACAAAACGCTGATAAGGCATTACTAGTCCCTGAAGCTGCCACCCATCTTCTTATACAATAATGCCAATAACAACAATCATTTCTGATAAGAGCTCCTGATGCTGAGCTAAGTGCTTTAAACATTGCTTCATTTCAGCCTCACCAACACCTCCTGTGGAGTGGAGTGTTTTTGTCCCATTTTACAGATGAGGAAACTGAGGTTTTGGTTTAATATTTGTTCTACTTCCTAGTAGTCTATTTATTCCTCAGCTTCTTCTAATCTTAATTCTACTCTACCCATTCTAATGAAGCAGCTTTGTCAATGATTTACTAATTTCAAATTCAACAGGCTTATCCAGTTATCAATTTCACTGCTGCATTTGCTTTTTATTTGATGCTGTCTACTGAGACCTTTGATGTGGGCATTCCTGTGGGCATTCCTGAGGGCTTTGTCTTTGGTCCTTTTCTCTTCTTACACTTTCACAGTTATTAATTAATGTCACTGATCTAAGTGATTATAACCTGTATGTCTCTATCCTAGACCTCTCTTTTGAGCTCTAGCTCCATGTATTCCATTATCTAGTAGACATTTCTACCTACATATACCACAGATACCACAAACACAAACAAGTCAAAACTAAACAAACCTCTCCTCTTCAACTTCCCCTTCTTTATCCAAAAAAGTCTCTCCTCCTTTTGATTTCCTTTGGGCCAGTCTCCTAGTTTGCCTCTCCACCTCTAGGTGTACTTGCCCAGGGACACAGGTGTGAGAAGAACCTTCTTAAAGCTTATCTCTGATTATTTCACCCCTCCTGTTTAAAATCCTTTCATGTATTTGCATTCCAATCCAAACAAACTAAAACTCCTTATGTGTTCCAGGACATTCACAATTTGTCTATTTTACATTGTTTATACTCTCAGTTCCTGGTTTTCAAACCTGAATTTATATAAGAGCCAACTGAGATCTTATAAAATATTGATATTTGGGGTTCACCACAAACCAAATAAATTGGAGTCTCTGGGTTGGGATTGGCACCTGTAGTTTCAAACACTTTTCAGGTGATTCTAATGTGTAGCTGGGCTTGAGGACTTCTCTAAGCCAACTGCACTATGTTTTTTTTCTGCATTTGGCCCATGCCTCTTGTTTCTCTACACTTGCTTATACTTTCTCTTTGACAGATACCCTCTGTGGCCACAGTCAACATTTTTTGAGGTATAATTAACAGAGTAACATGAAAACATTTTAAGTGTTCAGTTTGACAAATTTTAAAAATTATTTACACCCATATAACCACCACACAAAATAAGACCATTTTATCCCTGCAGGAATTTCACTTGTGCCCTTTTCCAATTGGTTTTCCTCCCTCCCAGCAACCACTTTTGGGCTTCTAACAATAAAGATTTTGCCTGTTCTTATACTTCATAAAATTGCAACCATATTGTGTGTACTATTCTTTGTTTGATTTCTTTCAGTAAAATGCCTGAGATGTATCTTTGTTATTGTACATACAGCAGTTGATTATTTCTGAGTAGTATTCAATTGTGTGAATATACCACAGTTTTTGTATTCATTTTTTGATTGAAGGACAACATTAGGCTGTTTTGATACATTCACTATTTGAAGCTGTATAAATTCCTCAAGGCCCACTCCAAATGCTAATTTTGTCATGAAGTCTTTTCTCATTTCCCAGTTATAAGTGATCTCTCTTTACCGTGACCTCCCATAGCATTTTGTGCCTGTCCCAGACAGTGCAGAATGTATAAGAATCAGATAGAGCTGTGTTTAAAATATGTCTCTATCACAAACTGGCTGATCATATATAACTCAGTGTATTTTTTTTTTTTTTTTTTACTGCTACAGTAACACATTGCTACAAATTTACTGACTTAAAAATAACACTAATTTATAATCTTACAGTTCTGGAGGTCACAAGTCTGACACGAGTCTTGCTGGGCTAAAATCAAGGTGTCAGGAGGGCTGCATTCCTTTTTGTATGCTCTGTGGAAGTATATGTTCCCTTTCCTTTTTCAGCTCTTAGAGACTGTCCATTTTTCTTGGCTTGGACTCTCCTTTCTTTTCTCACATTGTATCACTCTGAACTTTTTCTCTGCCTCCCTCTTCCACTTTTGAAAACAATTGATTATTATTGCATATACTTGTGGGGTACAATGTGATGTTTATATACATACATTGTGGAATGATAAATCAAGCTAATTAATATATCATTGCCTCACATGCTGATCATTTTTTTGTGGTGAGAACATTGAAAAATCACTCTTTTAGAAATTTTCAAGTACACAGTACAGTATTGTTGACTGTAGTCACCATACTGTACAATAGAGCACCAGAATGTATTCCTCCTAACTGAAACTTTGTACTCTCTGATTAACTCTAGCCATTTCTTCCCTGCCCCACTGCCCCAAATCCATGATAACTACCATTCTACTCTCTGCATTGTTTGACTTTTTTAGATTCCACATGTAAGTGAGATTATGCAGTATTTGTCTTTCTGTACCCGGCTTATTTCACTCAGTATTATGTCCTCCAGGTTCATCTATGTTGTCACAAAAGACAGGATTTCCTTCTTTGTTAAGTTGAATAGTATTCTATTGTGTACATGTATCACTTTTTTTATCCATTCATCCATTGATGAACATTTAGCTTGTGATTACATTAGGCCCGTTTATATAATCCAGGACTGGCAACCTTAATTCCCTCTGTAATCCTTAATAGCCCTTTGCGACGTAACATATCATATTCACAGGTACCAGAGGTTAAAATGCAGATGGATATCTTTGGGAAGGTAGCATTATTCTGTCTACCATATTCAGTTAAATCCTGGGTTTGTTTCCTTATCTAGAAAATGAGATGAATGCTGCCTACTTTATAGGATTGTAGTGAGGATAAAATTAAATCAGCTAACATATGTAAATTGCCTAGCACAGTTCTTGGAAAAACACAGCAGTGTTATTGATTGAACAAATATTTGAGACCCTACTTTGAGCTAGGCACTACTGTTTGTGCAGGTAATGCAATAATAAAACAGACCAAATATCTGCTTTATGTAGTTGACATTTTAGTTGGCTGAGACAGGTAATAGCCAATTAAATAGCAAATATATAGAATTTTAGAAAGTGAAGTGATGTGGAGAAAAATAAAGCAGAGTACAGGGATAGAAAGAGATAGATGTTATTTTATATCAGAGGATCATAGACAGCCTCTCTGATAAGGTGATATTTGAACAAAGTCCTAAAGTAGGTGAGGCAGTGAGCCACAGTGATATCTGGATATCTGAAGAGTGAATGTTATAGGCAAAGGGAACAGCAAGTACAAAGATCCAGAAGTGGAGCAGGTCATCCCAGTGGGCTGTATTGGGGTCCTGAAGGAGGTGAAAGGTAGGAGGTGAGGACAAAGAAATAGTGGAAATTATTATGATTATTCTATTGTCTTCTGCCTTACCACTTTGTAGGGTGCTTTGAGGGCATGAACTTTATCTTTTTTGTGATGAGAACTGTAAAAATTTACTCTCAGCAATATTGAAATGTAACAATATTCAGTTATAAAGTATATTCAGCACGTTATCAATCTTTAAAATAAAATCAAACATTCCTGTCTTTTTGGTGTTGCATGCCTCTCAGCTTAGCACAATGCCCAACACATGGTAACTGTTCAAGGTAACTTTGTTATATGGACTGTTATTATACATACTACCTACATAAGTCATGTTTAAATAAGTCACTTGGTTCTCCTATTCCTTTATTAACCTTAATTATGTTTAGTCATATATCATAGAAAGAAAATGTTCTCCCACCCAGCTGTATAACCCACTACTCTCCATTTTGGTGAATGACTTTGCATAGGAAAAACCACCTTTTCTTTCCACTTGTAGATTCCTGGAGGTTGTCTGAGCCTGAATGACTGAGTATATTTAAATTTCTTGCCAAAGAGTAGCCTCAGGCTGTGTTAGTTGCTTTACCTATTTATTCAAAGGGTCCCAGATGAAGACAGAATATTTATTAATCAGTTTTGTCTGTGCCTCAGAGTCACATGCTCCAGCCCTTTGCATTATTTCATTAGTTATCTTGTTCTCTGCATAACATTTTCAGAAATTTCTAGGAAGCCGGGAGCATTTTCAGAATTTTCTGGGCAGACTTGGAAGTATTGGAAATTTTAACTTTACATCAGCCCTGCCAGAACTTGTCTATAGCTAGAGTTGTCAGTCAAAACACAAGATACCTTGTTAAATGTGAATTTAGTATAAATAAAAATAATTTCTAATGTAAACATACCCCGAATATTATATTCAACATATTTATACTAACAAGAGTTTATTTGAAAATTTACCTGACAACGTTATCTGTAAATTGAATTCCTGAAACTTCTGCATCTACCTTGGGACTACTATAACTGTGACTACTTCAGATCTAGTCCTAGAATTGCCCATATTTACTATTTCCATGTTTTCTAATTCATACTCTTATCAACTAACTCGTCAGGCTTTGTTGCTACCATAAACTGAAGTTAGTCTGGTTAATATTCTCAATGACTTCCACAGTGCAAAGTCCATTGATTCATTCTCAGCCCTCAGAAGCGTTTGCTCAGTTGATCACTCCTTTCTCCTTGTTGCACTATATTCCCTTGGTTATATAACACCACCCCCTCCTGGTTTTATTTCTATATAGTAGGTTGCTCCATGTTCATTTCCTTTGCTGGCTCCTTCTCATCTATCCTACCTGTCAACATTGAAGGGATACCATATTTCTCAGCAGCTCAGTCCTCATATCTCTGATCTCTGTTCTCACTCTCCTGTTGATCTTATCCTCTATCACAGTTTTAAATTTCATTTATATGTTAATGAAATGTTGACAACTTCAAATTTATATCTTTATCCCAGACTTCTCCACAGAGCTCCAAATTCACATGTACAATGCCTACTCAAAACCTCCACTTGAATGTATAATAGGCATCTCAAAGTAAACACATCAAAAATGAAACTCCTGTTCGTCTACCTTGCCTCACATAGCCCCACTCCTCCCACAGTTTTTGCCATCTCAATTATTGGGGAGCTCCATCTTTCTAGTCTTTAAGCTTTGGCTCATTTATTTCACTCTTATTTCACAACTAATACCTTATAAATCACATGGACATTTTCCTTAAGATTTATCCAGATTCTGACTACTTCTCACTGTCTCCACTGTTACCTTCTTGGTCCACCAGCTGTTGGCTAAATTATTATAATAGCTTTGATATGGTTTGGCTGTGTCCCCACACAAATCTCATCTTGAATTGTAGCACCTATAATTTCCATGTATTATTGGAGGGACCCAGTGGAATATAATTGAATCATGCTGTTCTCATGGTAGTGAATAAGTCTCATGAGATCTGATGGTTTTAAAAGAGATTTCCCCTTCCACTTGGCCCTCATTCTCTCTTGCCTGCTACCATGTAAAACATGGCTTTGCTTCTCCTTTTCCTTCTGTCATGATTGAGAGGCCTCCCCAGCCATGTGGAACTGTGAAGTCCATTAAAACTTTTTCTTTTATAAGTTTCCTAGTCTTGGGTGTGTCTTTATTAGTAGCATGGGAACAGACTAATACAGTAATTTGGTACCAGTAGAGTGGGATGCTGCTGTAAAGATACCCAAAAATGTGGAAGCGACTTTGGAACTGGATAACGGGCAGAGATTGGAACAATTTGGAGGGCTCAGAAGAAGACAGGAAAATGTGGGAAAGTTTGGAACTTCCTAGATACTTGTTAAATGGCTTTGACCAAAATGCTAATGATATGGACAATGAAATCCAGGCTTGGGTGGTCTCAGATGGAGATGAGGAACTTGTTGGGAACTGGAATAAAGGTGACTCTTGCTATGTTTTAGCAAAGAGATTGGCAGCATTTTGGCCCTGCCCTAAAGATTTGTGGAACTTTGAACTTGAGGGGGATAATTTAGGGTAGCTGACAGAAAAAGTTTCTATGCAGCAAAGCATTCAAGAGGTGACTTTGGTGCTGTTAAAAGCATTCAGTTTTAAAAGGGACACATAGCTTAAAAGTTTGGACATTTTGCAGCTTGATGATGTGATAGAAAAGAACAACTCGTTTTCTAACGAGAAGTTCAAGCTGGCTGCAGAAATTTGCATAAGTAATGAGGAGCCAAATGTTAATCTCCAAGACAATGGGGAAAATGTCTTCAGGGCATGTCAGAGACCTTCTAGGCAGCCCCTGCCATCACAGGCCCAGAGGCCTAGGAGGAAAAAATAATTTCCTGGGCTGGGCCCAGGGTCCCTGTGCTGTGTGCAGCCTAGGGACTTAGTGTCCCGCATCCCAGCCACTCCAACTGTGGCTAAAAGGGGCCAAGATACAGCTTGGATTGTGTATTCAGAGGGTGCAAGCCCCAAGCCTTGGCAGCTTCGTGATGTTGAGCCTGCTGGAGCACAGAAATCAATAAGTAAGGTTGGGGAACCTCTGCCTAGATTTCAGAGGATGTATGAAAACGCCTGGATGTCCAGGCAGAAATTTGCTGTAGGGGCAGGATCCTTACGGAGAACCTCTGCTATGGCAATGCAGAAGGTAAACGTGGGGTTGAAGTCCCCACACAAAGTACCCACTGGGGCACTGCCTAGTGGAGCTGTGAGAAGAGGGCCACCGTCCTCCAGACCCCAGAATGGTAGATCCACTGACAGCTTGCACTGTGTGCCTGGAAAAGCTGCAGACAGTCAATGCCAGCCCATGAAAGCAGCCGGGAGGGAGGCTGGATGCTGCAAAGCCACAGGAGCGGAACTGCTCAAGACCATGGGAACCCACCTCTTGAATCAGCATTGCATAAATGTGAGACATGGAATCAAAGGAGATAATTTTGGAGCTTTAAGATTTGACTGCCCTGCTGGATTTCAGACTTGCAAGGGGCATGTAGCTCCTATGTTTTGGCTAATTCCTCCCATTTGGAATGGCTGTATTTACCCAATGCCTGTACCCCCAGTGTATCTAGGAAGTAACTAACTTGCTTTTGATTTTACAGGCTCATAGGTGAAAGGGACTTGCCTTATCTCAGATGAGACTTTGGACTGTGAACTTTTGAGTTGATGCTGAAATGAGTTAAGACTTTGGGGAACTGTCGGGAAGGCATGGTTGGTTTTGAAATGTGAGGACATGAGATTTGGGAGGGGCCAGGGGCAGAATGATATGGTTTGGCTCAGTCCCCACCCAAATCTCATCTTAAATTGTAACTCCCACAATTCCCATGTGTTGTGGGAGGAACCTGGTGGGAGTTAATTGAATCATGGGGGTGGGTTTTTCCTGTGCTGTTCTTGTGATGGTGAATAAGCCTCATGAGATCTGATGACTTTAAAAAAGGGAGTTTGCCTGCACAAGCTCTTTTCTCTTGTCTTCCCCCATGTGAGACGTGCTTTTCACCTTCTGCCATGATTGTGAGGCCTCCCCAGCCAGGTGAAATTGTAAGTCCAATAAACTCTTTCTTTTGTAAATTGCCCAGTCTTGGGTATATCTTTATCAGCAGCATGAAAACAGATTAATACAAGGGTTGAACTAGTGATTTTAAAGGTCTCTTAGAACCCTAATTTTTTTGGCTTCTAGGAGAGTAATTCCCAACACCAATAGTACTTGAGCAGTTTTCCTGCAGACCGGAACTGTCCTTTACTCTCTAGCAAGCTTTTTGAAAAATTCAAAAAGAGAGGGTATTTATAACCTCTTCTTTACCATTTCTAAATCATCAGTTCAACATTTTGATAAGTCAACATTTATTGAGAAATTTTAAAATTGTCCAGATATTCCAATGTTGATGCTATACCTTAATATATTAGCAAAGGGTGAACTTCATATCTTTTTTAACTGACCACTTATTTTATGGGAATATTGATTTGGGTTGTTTGATAAAAATGTGAGTGGTCTCATCCTACAGAAGCAGATATCAAGTGTTATTTTATTTTATTTTATATTATTTGAGACAGAGTCATGATCTGTCACCAGGCTGGAGTGCAGTGGCACGATCTCAGCTCCCTGCAACCTCTGCCTCTTGGGTTCAAGCAATTCTCCTGCTTCAACCTCCCGAGTAGCTGGGACTACAGGCATGCACCACCACGCTCAGCTAATTTTTGTATTTTTAGTAGAGATGGGGTTTTACCATGTTAGCCAGGATGGTCTCGACCTCTTGACCTCGTGATGTGCCTACCTTGGCCTCCCAAAGTGCTGGGATTACAGGCGTGAGCCACTGCTCCTGGCCCATGTGTTATTTTCCTAAAAATGAGTTCAACCTGAACTTTTATAAGTTTTTTTTTTTTGTAAACTGGATATACATAACAATCCTTATTAAAAAGTGCACTGAGAAATTAGCACTGACTTTAAAGAGTTGAAGGATTGTCACGTAAATAAGGTTTACATTAACTCTTGGAGCTCCAGAAGATAGAACTATGAACAGGAGTAGAAGTGCAAAGAGATGAGCCTGCTGGATTTTGCCTTACATATGTATGATTGTCACTAAAAAATAGGTATCTCTGGCATGAGTGCCAGTAAGTTTAAATAATTAACTAATGCATCATATCCCAAGTGCTTTCTGTTAATTTTATGTCACCACCCTCAGATCAAAACGTGTAGACTGAGAGTGTGACTCAATTATTTCATAACTAAGAAACACTTAATCTGATCCTAATTAGTCATCTCTAAACTGGGACTTCACCCTAGCTTTTTAGCCTTGGATGACAAGTTAAAAAGTCACACAGAGAAGATATTTACATTGGCATTTTGATGACCATGGAAAATAAATGATCTCATTAATAATGTAGATCTTTTTTTCCCCCAGGGCAGTTTTCAAGTATAGAAAGTATTCTATTTTTTTATGAATTAAGGTTAAAGGGAAGATTCTGACATAGAAAAGAAGAAATTTCTTTCTGAGCCTCTTTAATGAAAAACTAGCAAACTCTTTCTAGACTTTCTTTTTAAAAACAGCCTCTTGACTCATGAGAAACTGAAGCAAATTATCACTTATTACATGCTCACTTTGTAAAAGATGCGGTAGTAGGAGCTGCTCGTTTTAACCTCTCAACAATCCTCTAATATTCATATATTTCTATTGTATTGGTGAAGAAACAGGGTTACAGCAAGAACTAATTTGCCTAAGATTACACAGCTGGTAAATGGTAATGTGAACCGGGTATTTCTTACTTCATTCCCTTGTTCTTGTCATTGTCTAAGTTTTCCTGAGACTGATTTCCATTGTTTCATAAAGTATTTTCCCGTGTTATTTTCCATTTTAGTGCTAAGGTATTTAGATATTTGACTTCCCAGGTCCTATTTTCCTTGGAATAGGTATCAATCTCCAGTCAGAGCTAATAGTAGTAACCTCAAGAATTATACATTAGGGGGCTTCTGCTACTCAGCAAACATATAGAAAGCAACCAGAAAATCTGTGTTTCTAATTCTTAAACAGTTGGTATGTATTAAGGTACATATATATCAAAAAGGTAGTATTAATTAGTACTTTGGAACATAGGTACAAGTTAAATATGTATGCACAATGGTATACAGTAAGGTACTGTTTATGATAGCAAAATTTTGAAAATAAATATTCAATGATGAATTTAAATTATACTACATAATTATGAGAAAGAATTCAGTCATTAAAATTCAGTCATTAAAATAAGATCTGTTACTTATTGACATAAATTTTCATGTTGTTAAATTTTTGAAGCTTTCAAAAGAATATATAATGAAAAATCCTAGCATATCATCAAATAAAATACAGCGCTATATTAAAACATATATATATTCCAGAAAGGGTTAGGTTTATTTCCAAAACACAAGGGTGATTTAACATTTTAAAATCAATGAATGTAATTCATATTAATAGAATCAAGGAGATATTTATATTTTACCTCAGTAGATGCAGAAAAAGCAATTTATAAAATCTAATACCCCTTCAAAATAAAGAAAAAAGACAAAACTTTTAACAAATTAGGAAGAAAGGAACATTTTTTAGCCTGATACATGATTATTTAAACTAAAAGTCTACAGGAAACATTATGTTTAGGAATGAAATGTTAAAAGATCCCCCATACACATTACAACTGGGGGTGAGACAAGAATGCTCCATATCAATCTACTTACCAATATACCAGAGGTCCTAGCCAGTATAACAAGGCAGGGAAAAAGTGGTATTAGGACAGAAAAGGAAGAAATAAAACTGTCATTATTCATAGATGAGACTGTGTATGTAGAAAGTCCTAAAGAGTCTATAAGAAAGCTATTGAAATTAATAAGTACGTTATCAAGGTCCCTGAATATAAGATCAAATAATTATATTTGTAAATTTCAGAAACAAGCATAAAATAAAAATTTAAAGGATAACATTCACAATACCATAAATATGTCAAATACCTAGAGAGATCAGACAAAATATATAACAGATCAATACATACAATTAGAACATTAGAACAATGGGGAAAATAGAGTTCCATCTACACATATGTAATTTACGATTTATGTCAAAAGCGCCACTGCAGTGCAGCAGGGAAGGATGACCTTGCCAATAAATGGTGCTGGATTTATAGTCTATTGAGCTACAAATAGAAAAAAAGGAAATTTTACCTCTATATTATAAACAAAGAAATTTCATATGGACTGTAGATCTAAATATGAAAGGTAAAATAATACAGCTTCTGTGAAAAAATATAAGCGAATACCTCACTGACTTCGTGCAAAGATTTTTTAAACAACACACAAAAGCACTTAATAAAAGAAGATGCTATAAAATTGGACATTAAAATTAAGAACTTATATTAATCAAAAGCATCATTAAGAACGTGAAAAAAGCCAAAAAAAGAAAAAGAAAAACAAAAAGAAAATGAAAAAGCCAGCTGCATACTGGGATAAGATGTTTATAAAAACTATGATCAACAAAGTTGGAGTAATGAGAACATCTAAAGAACTACAAATCAACAATGACAGACAACTCAATAAACAAATTGGTAAAATACTCGACCAGATACTTTGTAAGATAGGATATCCCAATAGCCAATGGAATATGAAAAGCCTCTGAGCATCATCAGTCATCAGGGAATCGGAAATTAAAAACACATTGAGAAACACACATTCACCTGAAAGGCTAAAGTGAAAAAAAAAAACAGATAATAACAAGTATTGGCAAGGATGTAAAGCCACTGGGACTCCTATGAATTGCTAGTGGGAATGTAATTTTTATTTTTATTTTTTATTTTTTGAGATGGAGTCTTGCTTTGTCACCCAGGCTGGAGTGCAGTGGCGTGATCTCAGCTCACTGCAAGCTCCACCTCCCGGGTTCACGCCATTCTCCTGCCTCAGCCTCCCGAGTAGCTGGGACAACAGGCGCCCGCCACCACGCCCGGCTAATTTTTTTGTATTTTTACTAGAGACGGGTTTTCACTTTGTTAGCCAGGATGTTCTCGATCTCCTGACCTCGTGATCCGCCCACCTCTGCTTCCCAAAGTGCTGGGATTACAGGCGTGAGCCACCGCGCCGGCCGGGAATGTAAATTTATACAACCACTTGAGAAGATGGTTTGGCATGCTATACTAAAGTGAATAGCCTATGATCCAGCAAGTTTTCTCTTAATATACAAAAGAAATGTAAAAATAAATGCACTAAACATACGTACAAGAATGTTCTTAACAGCATTATTCATAATAGACAAGAACTGCAAAAACTCAAATGCTCAAGTATAGAATGAATAAAAAACTGATTGTATATTCACACAATGGACTTCTGTGCAACCACTTGGATGAGTCTTATAAAAATAATGAGATGTGAAGGAAGCTAGACATGAAAACAAGTGCACACTCTATAATTCTATTTATACAAAGTTCAGAAACATAATTATTTGATCTCATATTCAGTGACCTTGATAATTCACTTATTAATTTCAATAGCTTATAGACTTTTTGGAACTTTCTACATACACAATCTCATCTATGAATAATGCCAATTTTATTCCTTCCTTTTCTGTCCTTATACCACTTTTTCCCTGACTTGTTGTAATAGCTAGGACCTCTGGTATATTGGTAAATAGATTGATACAGGGAATCCTTGTCACATCCTCAATTGTAATGTGTATAGGAGTTTCTAAACATAATGTTTCCTGTAGGCTTTTAGATTAATCATATATCAGGTTAAGCAATTTTCCTTTCTTCCTAGTTTATTAAAAGTTTTATCCTTTTTTTCTTAATTTTGGAGGGATATTCTTAGACGTGATGGCTTTATAAAAGAGAATGAAAACAGGGGCTGTGTAGTATAGGAAATATTTGTAACAAAATGTTTGACTGCTAAATATCTGTGTATATTGAAACCAATTTATTTATTTTCCCTCCAAACGCATAACTGCCCACTTTGTGGTTGGAACTTAGATATTAAATTTGTTGTGATTTAAGGAGTAGGTACATAATCTTGGAGTTTGATGTTTTCAATTCAATTGGTGGATTTTTCTCAGTGATTCAGAAAAGGTCAATGTTTTGGCCTCATAATTGTATGTTTTGTTGCAAGCCAATTCAATCACATATGAACAAAACAGGTCTAACATGATTTTACTGGCAAAAGGCCAGCCAGCCTCTGCTGCAATCTTTTAATTCACAAGCTTTAAATGATCCTTTTAGTGGTTCTAGATTGGCTAGGGCTCTCTAGTTCTGGGTGCATGGGGCATATGAAGCACAGGTTCTTTGGTCAGCTTCAGTGAGTTTCACCGTTGTCTTGGACTATCCTTTGATAATCATACATAAATTAAAAATTCAGGAAATCATTTCCCTGCTAGAAATTAGAAAGTTCAACTCAACTTAGGCAAGAAAATTATTAGACTGTCTAGGAAATTTATTATTTCTATGATTTAGTTCAAAAAAATAGATTTAGTACCTTCTTCTTTTATTTCCAAAATCAAAACATCAAGGTGGAAAAGCAAGAAAACTAGTCAAATGACTTTTCTTTCTTTTCCAAAGTTTTTTCTCTCTCTCTTTCTTTCTTTCGTTCTTTCATTCTTTCTTTTTTCTTTTCTTTTGTTTTCTTTTTTTTTTTTTTTTTTTGAGACAGGATTTCCCTGTGTTGCTCAGGCTGATCTCGAACTCCTGGACTAACGCAATCCTCCCACCTCAGAACCCCCAAAGTGCTGAGATTACAGGCATGAGCCACTGCACCTGGCCTGAAGGTTTTTTCTTTGTTATGTATAAGAAGTGAGCTTTTTTTTTTTCGTTCTGACAGGCATTTTATTTACATTATATTATTGAATCCTCACAACGGTCCAGTGAAACAAGTACTATATTACTGTCTCCATTTTACCGGTAAAGAAACTGAGACACTGAGTGCTTAACAACTTGTCCAAAGTCATTCAGCTAGGAAGTGGCAGAACTGGAATTTACATGATGATTCATATGTTCCAGAGACTAAATTCTTAACCATTATAACGTATTTCAGATATATGTGCTATCTAGTAGTGCAAATATACCTTTCTTTTTTTTTTTTTTAATAACAATCCTTTAGGGGAGAAGTTAATTTTGTATCAATTCATAGAAGAGGAAATTGAGAATTATAATGGTTTGCTAACCTGCCTAATCTTATACAAAAGAACATTAGCAAAAGAAACAGTAAAAATGTGTTTTGTGATATGGCACACAAAGGGCCTTCAACTGCTTTATCTGTCAGGTTGATCAGTCATATTAATCAATCCTATAGTTAAATATTTTTTCCTATACTTTTCAGGCGGCAACCCTTCTACACTCCACCCTCTTAATCACATCTGCTCAACTCAGGGATTTTCTTCTCTACAACAATTTTTTTTTTCTCTCTCTCTCTCTCTTTTTTTTTTTTTTGAGACAGAGTCTCGCTCTGTGGCCCAGGCGGGAGTGCAGTGGCGCAATCTCGGCTCACTGCAAGCTCCGCCTCCCGGGTTCACGCCATTCTCCTGCCTCAGCCTCCCAAGTAGCTGGGACTACAGGCGCCCGCCACCACGCCCGGCTAATTTTTTGTATTTTTAGTACAGATGGGGTTTCACCAATTTAGCCAAGATGGTCTTGATCTCCTGACCTCGTAATCCACCCGCCTCGGCCTCCCAAAGTGCTGGGATTATAGGCGTGAGCCACCGCGCCCAGCCTTCTCTCTCTTTTTTTTTTAATCCCCAACCTCAAGCTTTGAGTGGAAACCAGAAGCAGCACCTCACTACATTAAAGTTAGGGATGCTTTACTGAGAGCAGCAGTTCTCAACTAGAGAAGTTTTTGTCCTCTCACCTCCGGAAACATTTGCCAATGTCTCATAACATCTTTGATGATCACAACTTGGTGTGTGTGGGGGTGCTACTGGCATCTACTAGGCAGACACCAGGGGTGCTGCTAAACGTCCTACAATGCTCAGAATTCCCCTCCACAAAATGGTGTCCAAGAGCTGGGTTGGGCGGGTGGAGAAAATAAGAAGAAGTTGGTCAAAGTACATAAGTTTTAAGTTATAAGGTCTGTAAGTTCTATGGATCAAATGTACAGCATAGTGACTATAGTTAATATTGTATTGTGTACTTGAAATTTGCTGAGAGTACATTTTAAGCATTCTTAGCAAAATAAAAGTTAAATATATGTATTGGTCCATTTTGTGCTTCTAAACAGAATATTACAGAATGAGTAATTTATAATGAACAGAAATTTATTGGCTCACAGCTGTAGAGGCTAGAAGGTCCAAGATTGAGTGACCTTCATGTAGCAAGAGCCTTCTTACTATGTCATAACATGGTAGAAGGCATCACATGAGTGAGAAACAGAGAGAATGGGTTGAACTCATCCTTTTATAAGAAACACACTCTCCCAATAACAATATTAAATCGTTCATGAGAGCTCTGCTTATGAATCACCTCTTAAAGTTTCCACCTCTCAACACTGTTGCATTGTGGGTTAAGTTTCTAACGCATGAACTTTAGGGAACACATTCAAATCATAGCACTATATGAGCTAATGTACGTGTTAATTAACATGATTGTGGTAATTATTTCCCAATGGATATGTATACCAAATCATGTTGCACATTTTAAACATACAGAATTGTGTCAATTATGCCTCAATAAAACTGAAAAGATATTAAAACATTAATTTAAGAAAAAAAACATCATGGCTCAAAATGCCAATAGGGTTGAGGTTGAGAAACTCTAACTTGGAGGTATAATCATAAGTTGCCTTACATGGCTTGTTGAATGAGCTTACCTAGGACAATACCAGTTCTGTAACTAGGCTACTGTCTCATAAATTCCAACAGCTTTAATGCACTCAAGATGGCTCTTGTACACAGAAAGAATTGTCTCAAAGATCGTTTCCCAAACATTTATAGGTTGATATAATGGTTATATTTATAACCATGTATAGGTTATACCAACCTATAAATGCAAGTGGTTAATAATTTATTCAAAGAAATAAGAAACAAACAAGTGAAAAAGCAAGCCACTCCTTATAAGGGGATGGGAAAAGAGAGAGAAGCTCTGACAGAAGTTGATTCATACATTAGATTAGCTCTGACCTCATCTTTAGTAAATTGTATCCTGACATACAGATAATCAAATTCTTTTCTCAGATATTTGTATGGAACTCTTAGACATCAGAAAGAGCTACAACGAAGGTATCTGAGGATAAATATTCTATCTCAATGTTTTAAAATAAGCAAGTGTACATCTAAAGATAGACTAATAGAAAACATTAAAATTGTTTTTTTTTTCTCTTCCAACTTTAATTTTAGGTTTAGTGGATACCTGTACAGGTTTGTTACATGAGTAAACTGCATGTCGGGAGTGGGGGTTTGGTGTATGGATTATTTCATCAGTCAGGTAATAAGTATAGTAACTGATACGTAGTTTTGGATCCTTACTCTCCTCCCACCCTCTATCCTCGAGTAGGCCCCAGTGTCTATTGTTTCCTTCTTTGTGTCCATGTGAACACAATGTTTAGCTCCCACTTGTAGGTTTTCTGTTCCTGTGTTAATTCACGTAGAATAATGGCCTCCAGTTCCAACCATGTTGGAACCACTGGGTGTGAGTCATTTTGCCTTACAATAATAGCTTTAATATAATATATTTTATATAGTTGTATAGGGTCATCAGGTGGTTTTTATTTCGACTTCTAATGTGCTCTGCAGTTACATATTGGTTTATTTTCAGAGTGTTCCTGGGGTATTAATGGTTCATGGCAGGTTATTGGCTGGCTATAGAATCAAACATAGTATGAAGTGTTGGGGGAAAATGAAAATGATTGATCATAAGAGATATCTCTGTTTCAATTTAATCTTTCAAAATTTCATGTTGTGAAGTGGAAAGAGCTCTAGCTGTGGTGCCAGATAAACCTCAGTCTCACCTGTGGCTCTGCAATTTTCTAGTCATTGCAGTAAAGTTACTTAGCCTTCCTAAGCCACACTTTCCTCATCAGTAAAACAACATATTGAGAATTTCCACCTAAGAGTTTTGTGAGGATTAAATGGGACTGTGCATGTAAAATGAGAAGCACACATTCTCTTGCACATGTTAACACTCAAGAAGTGTTAGTTTTCTCCCATATAATCTTCACAGGAATTGCTGGAAGTTATGAAACCTAATATGCAAAACATTATGGAATTAACTTTATTTGGTGGTCTCTGTGACTATCTGAAATAACAAGAGCAGCTTGTAAAGACTTTCACATAGATACTTGTTCTGTAATTTGTATTACATTCTGATGACATTTACAACACAGTTAGAAGTAGAGGGTTGTGTACCTAAGAGATATCAGAAAACAAAGCCACTAATTTGACTGAATGGCTGTATCAAAAAGTCATTTTCAATAAAGATCTGTAGAAACCCACAGAAAATCTTTCTGATAACAGGCAGTAAATTACAGTAAATGTAGGATGCGAATAAACAGGTAAGACCCTTGTATATTTGGGACAGGGTTAGAGTTCCTAAGCCATACTGAAAATATTGCCCCATAGTTGTCACATTCCAAGAATTGCCCAGCCAGTTTGAGATAGAGTAAATTGGCATAATTTTTGATGATAATTTAGCAATATGTCTTAAATGTTAAAATAGTCATTCCTTTTTTTTCTCTAATCACACATCTAGAAATCTAACCTGAAGAAATAATTCTTGGCAATTTGTAGACGAAGATGCTCATTTAACCATGACTTATAACAATGAAGACCTAAAAAAATTATAAATCACCAAGAATAGGTCAAATAAATTTTGCTATGCCTGTGTGATAAGATGCTACGTGGCCATTTTTTAAAGATGTTGGCAAAAGAAAATGTTTAAAATATAATATCACATACGAAAGAAGGGATCAAAAAACTTTTACAACATAAATTCAGTTTGATTTTGTTCACATGTATGAAGCATATACTCGAGCAGCAGTAGTTGTATCTGGGTGGAAGAATTGTAAAGGACTTTTGTTTTTGCATTATAATTTTATTTTATAAAAAATCTAACAGAAACACTTTTTATTAGTAGTAGAAAAAATAAATACTGTATGCTATATAGTTTTGGAATACTTAAAAAAGGTACAGTTTTATGTTAGCCCTGAGTAGTGGGCTAGCTTGTCTGTCAGGACAGGGGAGGCCAAGTGTGTGAGCTGTCCAGCATTGGAGAAAAATCTAGAGCAACAACATCTTTAAGAGCCTAATTAATAAGTCAGTTGTGTCTAGCTAATTTAAACAATAAGCTTGTGTGCCTGCAATTTAACTAATCTGTGTATAGTTTATACCCTGAAATTGCTACACTCTGTTGCAATTTTGCACTCCAACTAGTTGAGAGAGCACTAGTGAGCAGTAGACATAGAGCAGAGAGGGAGACAAGGGAGAAAGGAAGGGGAAAGGCTACGGGCCATAGGTCATGGAGTTCAGCAAAGAACCGCCCTTCCCTCTGCTACCCAGCCATTACCTTAGATGACATCAGCAGGAAACTGCCTGCTTGAGGTTAGTAGCCCTATTTTCTAATACTCCCAATTATCGAGAAGTATGGAGGAAGTATATAGTAATGCATAAAGTTTCTAGATTCTTTGTTTCATTTGTTGCCTTAAAGTTTGGACCAACTTTAAGGGTAGGACACAGAAGAATAAAAGTTTAGACTGGGATTCCAGGAGATTCACAGGCTTACAGGTGCGTACACCACCCTCTTTCCTCCCTGGGACATTAGAAAACGCAGAGCCATATGATTTGAACATTTTCTTTCTTTATTTTTTGTCTTTGCCTGTTTTTTTTTTTTTCTGTTGTTATTTGCCTGGACAGTCCAAGGGAGGCAAGAACATTAATATGAGGGAGGAAGTTGTCAGATTACTACAGGAATAGGCTTAAATACCTAGACATGGTCATTAAATACCTACTGATATACTCCTCAATTACACTGACTTCTTTATCACTTCCATTTCTCTGTCCTCTTTCATTTTTTGCCTGTATAGAAAGGATGAGAAGATAAGATCAAACATAGACTAAAAAAATAAACTCATAGTTTTTCTCTGACTAGAAAACACATACATAATGATTGGAAATATAAGTTATTAAATATCTCACCACCTGAAGAAAACTGTTTCATATTTTGGCATAATTTCTTCTGAACTTTTTCCAAAGTATTTGTATATGGGTTTGCATTTTTTTCCATATCATTATATGTTCTTCTACAACAGACATTTTATCGGGTAAAAAATACAAAGTTTACTTAAACATTCACAAAATGTGTAGACATTCAGAGTGTTACTAGTTTTTATTGATTCCAAATATCACTACGATGAATAGCCTTCCAGCTAAATTTTTGTCAACATCTTTGTTTCTTTAGGGATAGATTCCTAGTATTATGATGTACCAGGTCAAATGGTATAAACATTCTTCGGGTTTTTAATTTATGTTGTCAAATTGCCCTCCAGAAGTGTATGCTGATTTAAAGTCTCATCAACTATGCAAATAAATATAAATCAAGACTTTCAAACCACAAGAAATAACACAAACACTGTAATAAAATTCAATTCTGACAGCCAAATAAATAGAAATGAGTCTCACTTTTGTCATTCTTCAGCCTTATTTCATGTGCTGGGACTGCAGTTTAACCCTCACCTATTTTGAGATATCCTCAGATAGAATAAGGGTGTAGAATGAACATTGAATAAAAAATAAAATTCAAAATAATGCTAATGGTACTTTGGAAAATTCTCAAGTGATTCTGTTTGTGATAACTCTGAAGGCTCCCTCCTACCTACAGCTTGATATTTAGATTCAGGTGTTTCTAGCCTCAGGCTCAGCAAGCGACAAATATGTATTGAGCCTGCTATGCTCCAGACCTTTTTCAAGGCAATGGTGATACTGTGTTGAACAAGACGAAGTCCTTCCTACCTGAAGTTGCAGCCTGGTAATCCTACTGCAATAAGCCAACCATTTCTTTTACTCCCACTCCCACCACAAAATCTTGTGCTCTAATCAGACCTGTATTGTGCTGCTTTATACTCATTCTTACTTAATTACAGTTATCTTGTCCCATAAGCCCTAATCCTTTCAGTCAAGGTTTATCTGAAGTCTCCTGTGAAGGTCCCCCCAGCTATTACAATAGTCTGAACAGTTGATTCTGTACTTACACTTTAGAACTCGATTATTCATTGTCTTGAATAATAGCAAAGACTTGGAACCAATCCAAATGTCCATCAATGATAGGCTGCATAAAGAAAATGTAGCACATATACACCATGGAATACTATGCAGCCATAAAAAGGATGAGTTCATGTCCTTTGCAGGGACATGGATGAAGCTGGAAACCATCATTCTCATCAAACTAACAGAGGAACAGAAAACCAAACACCGCATGTTCTCACTCATAAGTGGGAGTTGAACAATGAGAACACATGGACACAGGGAGGGGAACATCACATACCGGGTCCTATAGGGGGTTGGGGGGTTAGGGGAGGGATAGCATTAGGAGAAATACCTAATGTAGTTGATGGGTTGATGGGTGCAGCAAATCATCATGGCACGTGTATACCTATGTAACAAAACTGCATGTTCTGCACGTGCATTCCAGAACTTAAAGTATAAAAAAACAAGTTACATGCATGAAGTGTTATAGTTTCTCACTTTCCTCTTAAAGAGGGAGAGGACTTATTAAGGGTAAAGAGTAAAGGTAAAAGGGACTCCGAGATAACTGCTTGCCATAAATTGCAGGGCCTGGCAAAAAGGGGACGCTGGCTTTTCATTTTGCTTTGTTTTAACCTCTGCTTATCTGGTGGACCATCTTATTTGTCCTTTATGACTGAGCACCAGGAGAAAACAGCAGAAAAGAGATATTAGTGGAACAGTCGGAACTCCCAATTTGTCATAGAAAGTACATATGTGTTTCCCTTTGATCAAATGGATGACACCAGAGGTAGCCAGGCTTGAGTCTTCCTTCCAATATGCTACCCAAGTGGGCTATCAATTGATGAAGCTGTTCCCAACAGCCAAAGGCTTTGAGGTGTACTACCAGAGGCAGGAGCCGAGGGAAGCTTCGAAGAGGTTGAAATTCATTGTCAGATTAACAGTGCAGTGGGGGAGTCACTCACTTACATAGCTCCAAAAGACCTCACATGCACCCATTATTTGGATACCTGACATGCAGAGGGCATTGATGACCACCCATTCATAGCCAGAGAAGCAGTGACAGCTGAGCTTAGATTATACCAGTAGTGCCTTCTAACTCCAACTCTGCAGAGTAGAAAGGAACTTTGAAGAGAGAGGAGGAAAGTGCAGGTGGTATTCAATCACCACTCCAAGTCTCTTGAGTTGAAGTTTGGCTGTTACTGAGGGAAGGGAAGAAGTAAACTGGCAATGAATTGAAATTTTAAAATGGGTTACAATTTTTAAAATGAGCTGGACTTTTTAATAACTAAAAGTGATAAAAAAAAAAAAGCTAGAGGATATGCCTGAGGTGTTTTTAGGGGTCAGGAAATGCAGATTGAACACATCATGGTTAAAGGTAGTAATCTGAAAAAAATCACATATTTGTACCCATCACAATTCAACAAACTGAATATCAATACAGATTTTTTTTTCCTAAAGGTACCCTAGTCAGAATAGGCAATAGGATTTAGTACCTATGTCAGAAAACGTTGCTATTTTTTGTCTGTATCTACAGCATTTTTTTCCATCAAGAAGTTATGTAACAACAATGTGAGTGTTTTCTTCTGAACTACTTAACAAAAAGGACTAGGACACACTATACCTATTTCACTTGTAATACCTGATTGTAAGCAGCAACTCAAGCTGGTAAAATGATTAAATGGAAAGATACTATGTAAGAGGTACTGTTTAAAATTTTTTCTGCATTTTCATTACTTCCTAGTAAGTTTTAATCACATAGCTCCCTTCATTTCTAGACAAAAAAGATCTAAATAAATGAGTCAGACTGTAACCCACACCGAGGCATTAGCTGGTGTTGTGTAATTACAAGACAGGTGTATCACCACTCCTAAGCCTGAAAACAACAGTATTTCAATAACACAGGTCATGGGCCAGACCACCTGCAACTGATTGCTGCACCCCACTGATGTTAACAACTATAATAATACTGATTATACAGCTGGACTCCAGTTTATTGTTTATGAGTCCTCCCTTCCATGGATATTGGTGGAGGTCCCAGTGCTAGTTTCATAAACTGATCTCTGATTGTCAGTTGAAAAGTCTATGGAACTGATCCAATTGGCTTATGCACAGAAACGACCCTCTTCTCTTCAGCAGTCTCCTGAGAGGGATCCTCAGTTTGGAGCAGTGAGCTATCTATCCGGTGTTAAGGTGTTATCTCCTCAGGCTGGTAATTAATACTAATTAGCCCTTTGTTTGTGTTTTAAGGAGAAACTGGATAAGAGGGGAAAGGTGGAAGGAAGGAAGTCTTCCAAGAAAAAGAAAACAGTTTGGAAGAAGGACTGGGTGAAGCGTGACATGGGGTAGAGGAAGGAGAAATAGAAGTAAGCAAGAGGGAGGAATACTGAGAGAAGACAATTTAATAGAATAATTGAGAAAGGCTGAGGTGGAAAGGAGACCCTCTGTAGCAAAATTACTGGGAAAAACTCAGGTTTTGTTAATACAACTGGGTTTGAATACCAGCCCCTATATATTCCAGCCCTATGACCTTGGACAAGTTATTTCACCTATCTCTGCCTATTTGTTAATATGTAAAAATGGGGATAGTAGTACACTTGCGTGGTACAGTTGTTGTGAAGATTAGAAATAACACGCATAAAGTACATGGCATATGGTAGCTACTCAAAGAAAAGGGTAGCTGATATTGTGGTAATAGTGGTTATTGTTATTGTTAGAAGCAGTCACATTATTATTGTTAGTGACAATATTATTTGACAGTAATAAAGCACAAGTTAATTAGTTGCCATGACATTCAGCAAAAAAAGAAAGTGCATCAATGAAGGATGCCTCAGATAGCCCTCCATATGTCAGTTTTAGAAAGAAGCTAGAACATTGCTATGTGTGGTGAAGGAAAAAAGAATTGCAGTGTATTATTCACATATTAGACATCACTTTTACATTAAAGAACTTCAGGCAAGCAAGAAAAAGTAAATGCTATACTTTATGACTAGTTTTGTTTGCAGCACCTCCTTTTCCAGTTCTTTAGAATATGTAGTGACAAGATTTAAACTTTATTAATTAGAAAAACATATTGAAAATGCCTGCACACGAACACAGATAATATTAATATGACCATTCTTTTTTTTTTTTTTTTGAGACAGAGTCTCGCTCTGTCGCCCAGCCTGGAGTGCAGTGGTGCGATCTCGGCTCACTGCAAGCTCCGCCTCCCGGGTTCACGCCTTTCTCCTGCCTCAGCCTCCTGAGTAGCTGGGACTACAGGCACCCGCCACCACGCCCGGCTAATTTTTTGTATTTTTAGTAGAGACGGGGTTTCACTGTGTTAGCCAGGATGGTCTCGATCTCCTGACCTTGTGATCCACCCGCCTCGGACTCCCAAAGTGCTGGGATTACAGGTGTGAACCACCACGCCCAGCCTAATATAACTATTCATTAATTGTTTTTTATCTCTTCAAAGGACTCTAGTAGAGGTAGGTTAGGGTTCATAATAAATTATACTTTATGTTTGTTTTTATTTAAGAAGTTAACAAGAACAATTATTCCATGGATCTTATGAAGCAAATAATTTCCTGAGGTAAGAAAGTAAGAGTAGGCATTTGGCTGTCTGAAAGGCCTTGGATTTAAGAGCTAAGATACATAGTTTTGATAAAGTTTATTTTTGTAAATGAAAACCGGCAGCAAGCATACCTTACAGCAATGCATTTAAAAGGAGGAATACCAGTATACCAAAGGTGAAGTCTAAGTCCAGGCATACCTCATTTTATTGAACGTCACTTTTATTGTGCTTTGCTGATATTGCACTTTTTACAAATTAAGCGTTTATGGCAACCCTGGTTTGAGCAAGCCTATTGATGCCATTTTTCCCAACAGCATGTGTTCACTTTGTGTCTGTGTGTCACACATGGCTAATTCTCACAATATTTCAAACTTTTTCATTATTCTTATGTCTTATGGTAGTCTATGACTGGTCATGTTTGATGTTAACATTTTAATTATTTTGAGGTGCCATGAACTATGTTCATATAAGACGTCAAACTGTTGTGTGTATTCTGACTGCTCCATTGGCTAGCTGTTTCCCATCTCTCTCCTTCTCCTTGGGCCTCTCTATTTCCTGAAACACAACAGTATTGAAATTAGGCCAGTTAATAACCCTGAAATGGCCTACAAATATTCAAGTGAAAGGAAGAGTCTCACATCTCTCACTTTAAATTTAAAAAGCCAGTAATGATTGAGCTCACTGAGGAACCATTACTGAAAACTGAGAGAGGCTGAATGCTAGGCATCTTGTGCCAAACAGCCAAGTTGTGAATGCAAAAGAAAAGTTATTGAAGGAAATTAGAAGTGCTATTCCAATGAACACGTGAATGATAAGAAAGTGAAACAGCCTTATTACTGACATGGAGAAAGTTTTAGTGGTCTGGATAGTAGACCAAACAAGTCACAACATTCCCTTTAGCCAAAGCCTAATTTGGAGCAAGGCACTAACTCTTCAATTCTATGAAGGCTGAGAGAAGTGAGGAAGCTGCAGCAGCAAAGTGTGAAGCTAGCAGACCTTGTTCATGAAGTTTAAGGGACGAAGCCATCTCCATAACAGGAAAGTACAAGGTGAAGCAGCAAGTACTGATGTAGAAGCTACAGCAAGTTATGACAAAGATTTAGCTAAGACTATTGATGAAGGTGGCTACATTAAACAACAAATTTTCAGTGGAGGACAAACCAGACTTCTATTCAAAGAAGATGCTATCTAAGACTCATAGCTGCAGAAGTCAACACCTGACTTCAAAACTTCAAATAACAGGCTGACTTTCTTGGTAGGGGCTAATGTAGCTGGTGACTCTAAGTTGAAGCCAATGCTCATTCACCATTCTGAAAATCCTAAGGTCCTGAAGAATTATGCTAAATCTATTCTGCCTGTGTTCTATAAATGGAACAACAAAGCCCGGATGATAGCACGTCTGTTTACAGCATAGTTTATTGACTATTTTAAGCCGACTGTTGAGACCTACTGCTCAGAAAAAAAGATTCCTTTTGAAACATTACTGCTCATTAACAAAGTATCTGGTCACCCAATAACTCTGTTGTACAAGGAGATTAATGTTCTCTTCATGCTGCTAACACAGCATCCATTCTGCAGCTCATAGATCAAGGAGTGATTTTGACTTTCAAGTCTTATTATTTAAGAAATATATTTTGTAAAACTATAACTACCATAGATAGTGATTCCTCTGATGAATCTAGACAAATTACAGTGAAAAGCTTCAGGGAAGGATTTACCATTCTAGATGACATTAAGAACATTCATGATTCATGGGAGAAGTTCAAAATGCCAACATTAACAGGAGTTTGGAAGAAGTTGATTCCAACCCTCATGGATGACTTTGAGGGGTTCAAGATGTCAGTGGTGGAAGTAACTGCAAATATGGTGGAAATAGCAAGAGAACTAGAATTAGAAGTACAGCCTGAAGAGGTAACTGAATTGCTGCAATCTCATGATAAAACTTGAATGAATAAGGAGTTATTTCTTATGCATGAGCAAGGAGTTGTTTTTATTTATTTATTTATTTTGAGATGGAGTTTTGCTCTTGTTGCCCAGGCTGGAGTGCAGTGGTATGATCTTGGCTCCCTGCAACCTCCACCTCCCAGGTTCAAGCGATTCTCCTGCCTCAGCCTCCCAAGTAGTTGAGATTACAGGCATCTGCCACCATGCCTGGCTAATTTTTTGTATTTTTAGTAGAGACAGGGTTTCGCCATGTTGGCCAGGCTGGTCTTGAACTCCTGATCTCAAGTGATCCACCTGCATCGGCCTCCCAAAGTGCTGGGATTACAGGCGTGAGCCACCACGCACGGCCAGAATATCTCTTAAGATGTCATCTACTCCTGGTGAAGATGCTGTGAATATTGTGGAAATGACAACAAATAATTTAGAATATTACATAAATTTAGTTGGTAAAACAGTGACAGTGTTTGAGAAGACTGACTCCTATTTTGAAAGTTTTGCTGTCAAACAGCATCACATGCTACAGAAAAATCTTTTGTGAAAGGAAGAGTCTGTTTATGTGGCAAGCCTCATTGTTG
Source organism: Homo sapiens (assembly GCF_000001405.40). Lineage (NCBI taxonomy): Eukaryota > Metazoa > Chordata > Mammalia > Primates > Hominidae > Homo > Homo sapiens. Next base: position 116,430,468 of record NC_000023.11, read on the forward strand.
TCTTAAGAAATTGCCATAACCACCACAACCTTCAGCAACAACCACCTCTATCAGCCAGCAGCCAACAATATCAAGGCAAGGCCATCCAGTAGCAAAAAGATTATGACTTGCTGAAAACTCAGATGATTGTTACCATTTTTAGCAATAAAGTATTTTTAAATTAAGACATATACATTGTTTTCCAAACAATTCTATTGCACACTTAATGGACTACCATGTGGTGTAAACAGAACTTTTATATGCACTAGGAAACCAAAAAATGTGTGTGACTTGCTTTATTGCAATATTCACTTCATCGTGGTGGTCTGGAACTGAGACTGCAGTATCTCTAAAGTATCTCCGTACTTCCCTCCTTTAATGCATCATTAGAATAGTATCAGGTAACTAGGTCATGTTAAAATTTTTTATTCATTGTTTGTTTAAAAAAATAGTCAAACAGCCACACTAGCTCCATTGCCCAGTTGATTTAGGTGTGCCTTATATTAAGGATTTGGCTTGGTTAAATATATTCAGGAAAAAGGGTGCATTGCATGGGTTGGTTAGTGAAGCACCCAAGTATTCCAGAGTCTCCGAACCTATTTGTTTGTTATACCTTAGAGAACAATATATGTCTATATTTGTTTCTGAGCCATAGCTACTGAAATCAGCCTTCACCTTGAGCACCTAGCACTGATTGTCCTCACTGTGGATCCAAACTTCTTGCAGGTGACACTTGTAAATTGACAATGTGAGACTCAGCTGGAAAGGAGGCATAAATGTTGTTTAAGTTGCGACCTCTTCAAAGAGGAAATATAAATAAATGTGTTCAGTCTAACTGAAGTGGATATTAAACAGAGTTTCATCTATGTGTGGTGCTCTATTAGATATGGAGGGTCAAGTGATGCCTAATTATTCCATGTTACCATAAATGCTGGTGGATTACAGCAGGGAGTCAACAAACAGAATTTTCTAACATGTTACCTTATTTTCTTATAGTAAAATAGTTAGAGAACATAGGCTTTAGAGTTGGATCGTTTGGGCTCGAATATCAGATCTTTCACTTACTAGTTGTGTTATTTTGAGCAAGTCACTTAACTTCTCTAAGCCTTAGTTTCTTCATTAGTAAAATGAGAATTATAATTTTTCCTACCTCAAAGGGGTTCTGTGAAAATTAAATTTGAGAATAAATGTAGATCACTTAACATAGTACCTGGCTCAGTAAATAATGGTTTTCTTTTCTCATCAGGCACCCTCTTTCTTCTACCTTCTGTCTTTTCCTGCCACAGCCCATTCCATGCCATGAGGCCTTTAAAGGTCTATGTTGTAGTGCTGATGCTGATGGAAACATACGTTGGAAAACTGTTGGGTAACGTATATTAAAGCTGAATTGATTATACCCTGTGATCAGAAATTCTACTCTAGTTCTATACCTAACAGAAATACATACAGAAGAAATGTTAAAAGAAATTTCATAGCAGGAATATTCAAAATAGGTCTAATCTGGAAACAGCTCAAATGTTCATCAGTGAAATGGTTAAGTGAATTTGGTATGTATTGTATAGTAGCATATTCATACATTGTAATATGATATAGAATGATAATAGGTGAACTACAGATCCATGTAACAGTATGAAAGACCCTCTTAAACATAAGGTTGAGTCAAAGATGTCAGACACAAAAGTGTATATATTACAATATTCCATTTGTTAAAAGTTCAAACACCGGCAAAACTAACTTACGGTGATAAAACTCAAGATAGTGACCAATCTTGGGGAGGGTAATAAGAGGCCTTCTGAGGTTCTGCTAATGTTGTTTCTTGAACTTACTGCTAGTTGCATGGGAGTGTTAAGTTTGTGAAAACTCATCAAGCTGTATATCTATAATTTGTGCATTTTTGGTATACATGTTACACTTCAATATAAAGTTTATACTAAAAGCTCTATGTTATGTTACAGGCAATGTAACAAAAACATGAAATTTAACAAATTCAGCTTCCCTATTTGGAAAGAACCAATATGAAATTATGCATCAGGAGCTATTATTTTCTTTCAAGATTCTATAGCATGTTATCCTTTATATTCTGTAGAAAGCAAGATTTGTGTTCTCTGTCAATTCACTAGTTGATACTGCTAGAGCATCATCACTTCTTTGGCTGACAACAAAATTTTCTTTCTTAAATAAGTCTTGCTTCTTAGAATTATAGGAACCTTTTCTAGAAAAACTTACTAATGTTTTGACTATGGGTAGAGTCTGATTTTTAGTAAAGTGGTTAATGTCTGAAATCATAAACTTCAAATGCTTAATTCATGTTTACAAATTTACTAAAATAGGAATTTATATCATTTATTTTTACTGTAGACCAACTAGTCTTTCTTCTTCATTCTTTCACACTTTCAGATGGTGAAGTTTAAAGAGTTCTTTCAGGAGAGGGCTAAAAAACAATGTGGTTGCTCAATAAGGCATTGGGTTTCATGAAAGTGTTCAAAGGCCTTCTCTTTTATTTTTATTTTTTAATTACATATTTGATGTATATATTTTGGAGGTACATGTGATGGATAATTTGATATATTCATGTAATCAAGTCAGGGTAATTGGGATATCCATCACCTTAAATATGAGACTAAAGATAACTTCCATGGTTAATGACATAATCTTAGTGAGAAAGAAGAATATGGGATGTAACTATTGGATCCATTTTTATTTTAACTTGTTTCCTGGAAAAAATCACAATTATGAGCTGATTTTTAGTTGCTAGTGACTTATTACTAACTAAATCTTTCGATTGCTGTATTAGTCTGTTTTCACACTGCTATAAAGATACTACCTGAGACTGGGTAATTTATAACTAAAAGAAGTTTAATTGACTCACAGTTCCACATGGCTGGGGAGGCCTCAGGAAACTTATGGAGGAAGGGGAAGGAGAAACAAGCACCTTCTTCACAAGGTGGCAAGAGAGAGAGAGAGGGTGCAGGGCAAACTGCCACTTTTTAAACCATCAGATCTCATGAGAACTCCTTATCACCAGAACGGCATAGGGGAAACTGCCTCCATGATCCAATCACCTCCCATCAGGTCCCTCCCTTGACATGCAGGGATCACAATTCGAGATGAGATTTGGGTGGGAACACAGAGGCAAACCATCTCATTTGCTGACAATGCTTTGTGTGTGTGTGTGTGTGTGTGTGTGTGTGTGAAAAAACAGCAAATCAGGTTGATGGCTATTGTTGTGTGTGTCCTAGCTGGGATGGCCCATATTTAAAAGTCCCCCACTGAACAACGTAGTGCTTGTGGGTCGTTAATTATAATGTTGAAGTGTTTTTGCACAACTAAAACAGAGCTTGCCATGTGTCATGCCCAAGTTAACAATCACTTTACTATTGCCTTTCAGACTGTGGCTTAGGCCTAGATTGCAAGGCAGATGAGTGGTCACACTCTCTCTCTCTCTCCTTATTTTTTATTACTCCAATAATGAACAGTCTTCTCCTGTTTTCCCACACCATGCTCATTCATATCCCTGTGATCAAGTTTACTTAGTTCCCTCTCTCTTTCACCCATTCAACTTCTATACTTCTTTCAAGTTCCAAATCAATAATTCATAAACATAATTTGTTCATCAGTTAATAAATCAGGGCCCAAAGAAAAGAAAATATGCTCTTGGATCTCTTGAGCCTTTGAGAGTGAATTGTAGACCAGGTGTCCTTCCCTTTTTTGGCAACAAAGTCATTAAATTACTTGTCTGAGTCAAATTTTCTAATAAATATTTACTGAGTGCCTACTCTGCATCAGGTTTTGTGTTAGATGCAAGAAGAATTAACACAGTCTCCCTGCCTTCAAAGAACTGGTAGTCTAGTGGATGATAAACAAGTAATTTCACACAATGTAAAAAGAATATATGGTGCATAGGGACACAGAGGAGAGACATCTAAATCTAGTCCGCTGTAATAGAGGAGGAACTATTGTGAAAAGACCTGGAGGAGGACACCCAAGCAGAGTTTTAAAGGATGAGTAGTAGCCAAATGAAGAGGAGGGTGGGAATTTCCAGAAGAAGCAATAGCATGAGCAAAGGCACTGAGGTGAGAAACATGTCTGTGACATACACACTAAACGTTTGAGACAATGAATGGGAAGAGATGATACTAAAAAGGCAGGCAGGAGCCAGGTCATGAAAAGCAAAGCATGGTAATGGGAATAATCCTACCCCCACCCACCCCGAAACAGAAGTATATTATCTAAAATCGATCTCACATTTTATGTGTTAAATGCTCCAACTCTCAAAGGTGATAGAAACTTTACTGCATAACAGGCAGGGAAAATTGGCCCCCCTGTATAACAGATACCCTTGCCTTGTGATATGTTTGGGCTTTGTGCCCCCACCCAAATTTTATCTTAAATTGTAGTTCCCATGATCCCCACGTGTGATGGAAGGGACCCAGTGGTATGTCATTGAAACATGGGGTGGTTACCCCCATGCTGTTCTCGTGATAGTGAGTAAATTCTCACAAGATCTGATGGTTATATAAGGGACTTTTCTCCCTTTGCTTGGCACTTCTTTCTCCTGCTGCCATGTGAATAAGGACGTGTTTGCTTTCCCTTCCACCATGATTGTAAGTTTCCCAAGGCCTCCCCAGCCACGTGGAACTGTTAATCAATTAAACCTCTTTCCTTTATAAATTACCTAGTCTCGAGCAATTCTTCATAGCAGCATGAGAACGAACTAATACACCTTGTGATTCCCATAATCTCTCTATCCTTAGGATTCCTGTCTTCTTTCTATTTCCTTGGTTACCAATTGTTTGACGTGCCCCAAGGTTGGCTTCTTTCATTTATATGGGACTTTGATCGTTTAGTAAATGCTATTGGATTTGCTTTTTAGCTCATCCTTTTATAAGGAGGTTTATAAGCCCTTCTTGCTCCTCTCCCTTCTATGTTTAATCTTAGCCTTTAGGTCATACCAGTAGTGTACAGTACTAATAGGCACACACTCATGCATTAGCACTCTCCATCCCCCAATTCCCCATTGATACATGCACATGTGCACACACACACACATGCACATCAGCCTTTGTTATGTTCAAGACAAAGTTAAATAAAACTTATTGATACTTTCCTTACTACCATCCTACATCTTTCATGGACTTTTCTCTACCTTACCTGCCAAGATTCCCCAGGGCATATTTCTATTGCAAATGGAAAATTCTTGCAGTCAGTGGAGAACAAAGGAGCTGTACATAGGGTACAGAATTTGCCTATTTGCTCATTCCTCTGTGTGCATGAATTTGTGCTTTGCTTCATAGAACCACCATCACTATCTGTTACCTGGGCAGACTGAGTTTAAATCCTTTGAGTTTCCTGATGAAAAGGCATTCCATTGGTAAACAGCATTATAATAATTATTTCCTCCCTGGTCAAGCTGGGATGTTTCCTCATAGTTTACTTTCTAGGCCTCATCTTTCTTACAGAGTGTGCTCCTTTGTTAAGGTTAGAATTTCCCATAAACCTGCTCAATAATTTGTTTGTGTTTGGCTTCTTTGAAATACTACACAAAGCAATCCCTGTAAAAGGCAAAGCTGTCCTGAAGGCTGAGAAAGGAGCCTGAGACATAGGCTCCAAGTTGCTCTTTTCAGGCAGAGCCAGCTGGGTAATCTTATCTCAGATGGCTGCTTTTCAAGGTGCCCAATTCAGGGGCTTTTCCTCTGGGAGCAGCATTTGCCCCAGGGAATCAAGTGCTTTCTAGTCAGGGGCAAAACTTTGGGAAATCTGAGGACCCAGGGTGGTATGGTCTGTTCAGGAGAATTTTGGGGAACAGAATGGCCCCCTTCTCCCTCCAGCACTTGTACAGATCAGCACTTGGCCCCAGAACAGAGACCAGACTGAGAGGCGAGGTTAGGAGGAAACAGGGGACCCAGGAAAGGCGGCTAGATTGCAAACGTACCTACACAGCTCTGAGTCAAAGGCTGTCAGTCATCTCGGCTCAGACTGCTCTGCTCTCCAGCAGCCCAGCCCTTTCCCAGGGCTGGGGCAGGAGATTGCTACATGTAGGCTTATCTGGGGAAAAACCAGAGCCTCACTTTAGTCCCTTCCGGTAATTGACACTACTGGACACCCAGGAGGGGGAGGAGAGAGCTTCTCTTCATAAATGTTCCCACCCCTGGGCAAGGTGGCTCACTCTGGCAGGTAGGAACAGGGGAGAGTGCACCTGCTACCAGTCAAGCTCAGCCAGACTGCAAGAGGAGGCGAGGCGGAGCCAGCCGAGGGAGTGAACCATGGACAAGTTGAAATGCCCGAGTTTCTTCAAGTGCAGGGAGAAGGAGGTAGGGGTCTGGGAGCTGCGGGAGGTGTGGAGGACCTGAGAGTGGAAAACTTAAGGGGGGTTGCTAGTCTCAGTTTTTGCTTTCTGTGGCTGTTCCTTGTGCTCCACATTTCTGTTCAACTATTAGGTGTGACTGAGATATACCTATAGAGTAGAGAAGAAAGAAAAGCTCTTACTCTCATAGCTAGAAGACTTAGGGCCACCTCATCCTCTGCCTTGGGAGTACCCACAAAATCCTGTTCTCTATCCCTCTCCTAACTGTGTCCACATGCTAGAGGAAAGTACAAAAGTACACTGTTCTTAATTGACCCAAAGAACCCTCCATACCCCAGAGAAGTGAGCAGGTTGGGAGAGAACCCCTGTCCCTTCTCTCCCTCCCAAGTGGAGAGAGAGCTACTTCATCTGGTGAGACAGGAGAATTTGTCTCTGCATATTATTCTACGGCTTTTAGAAAGGCATTGATTTTAATCTGTAAGACAAAGAAAAGTTAAACTACCCTTAACTTGATACATCCAATACTATCAAGCCATAAGAAAAGTTTATAGATTCTCGTTTTTTTTTCCAGCAGACACTACATTTGATCCTGCTCAAAGATCTGCTACAATATCAATATTGATGACTTTATCTAATTCATCTTTAAGACTTTTGTATTTGAAACCTGATTTGTCTACTTTCATTTTTCCCTCACACCAGTGTGACAAAGACCTTTGTATTTCAAACCTAATTTGTCTGCTTTCATTTGTGTCTCACACTGCTGTCACATTTAACGTTTTTACCAAAATTTGAATAATCTTAGCTGATGGAGTAATAAACATATCTACCTACAGAACTTTGCTCATTTTAAGAGGTAAATGTTGTAAAGTAAAAGCAGCTATCAGCAGAAATCTCCCCAACTTTCTAAAGCATTCCCCTCAGCTATGGTTTTCAGGGTTTCTTCCCCCCATTTTCTGTTGCTCTATGGATTTGTGAAATTATGCTTCTGTGGAATTTGTAATGGTAGAAAGGCAAGCTGTTGATATTTTTTCTTCCCCAGAAAGTGTCGGCTTCATCAGAGAATTTCCATGTTGGTGAAAATGATGAGAATCAGGACCGTGGTAACTGGTCCAAAAAATCGGATTATCTTCTATCTATGATTGGATACGCAGTGGGATTAGGAAATGTGTGGAGATTTCCATATCTGACCTACAGCAATGGTGGAGGTATTCTATTTCACCCCCACCCTCCCACCCCCGCTTTTCCCTCCAGTTTTAAGTGTGGTTCTGTATGGCTTCTGAGAATATTTTACGAGTTGAAGGAAGGCATATGACAGTTGACAGTTTGGGTTAGTGGGAGAATGAGAAACAAGCATATTGAATTTATTATTAGTCTGGGTTACCAGCTCAAGTTAGAAACCTAGTTTCACAAAATCCTCAGGTATAAACTTGATAAAAAGCTTTATTTTTAGCACTTCTAAGCTTCTGATTTGAGATCTCACATAATCTTCAACTATGACATACTTTTCCTAATTTATGCATGTTTCTGTGATAATCTGTTCAAACTCAAGTTGTGCTTTGCTTAATTTATAGCTGAATCAGAAATAAACAGAAAAATAAGTTCTATTAAGAAGCTCAAATAAATTATTTGCTTAACTAAAATAATGCATTACATTTTGGTGACTTAAGTGTTGAAAGAGATGATTAAAAAGTAATTAAAGGTTTAGTATTTTAAGTTGCAATATTGAGTTACATGTATTCCAAATTGGACTGACTATGTAGAAGATCCTTCTAAAATGAAATAATTTAGTTCAAGGATTGTTGTTTTATTCCTGCAAAAAAACACTGTTTATACCTTGTAGATCATTAGGGTAGACTCAATTAGAAAAAGGAGAGAAAAATCACTTTGAGGTGACACACAAAGGGAAACAAAATGAATTGCACAATTCTCTAGTAATGTCCAAACAACTTTTCACTTACACCATATTTTATTTACTCGTAATTACAGGTTCTATTAGAAGTATAGAGGTGACATGCCCCTATATTTCATAACTGGGTACCAGTGAGACTGTGCCACTATAATTATTTTTCTTAGTATAATAGGATTTTGTGTGGTGATATTTCAATCATATTTCTTATTAATTGGTTACATTAAAATATTCACAGTGGTCTTCAGAGACTTAAGAAAGAAGCTCTGTTTATTAAACCGTTTAAGTGTCAGTAGCATGAATTCCCCTATCTAGAAGCTGGGTCATTTAGTTGTCTTGGTATCGAATATTAGCTGGAAAATGCATCAGAAATCACAGTTTTATTTCCGTCTCTGTCCTAAGGTCCAGTGTGGTAAAGAGAAGCATTCTGGATCATTTTGAGCCTCTTGTAACTCATGTTTAGAAAAAGAAATTCCCTGTGCCTTGACATCATACATAGGCCCAGTAATTGCCACAAATTTCTAGGAACTATATTAAACTAGTTTTAATAGAAACTTTTAAAATATAGCCAAAACAAAAATAATAATATTAATTGTATGCTATTATCTTTTTCACCATTTCCTCTAAAATTTAATATGCCGTATTGGCTTTCAATTTTTTATAAAAACATCATTTGGGTAATAGATGATCTAGGCACTCTCAATCCTTCTTTCATCCAAGAGTAGAAGAGGAAAATGAAATTAAAATTTGTTAAATGCGAATTAGGTTTAAAAATATGGTCAGGTTTGAAAAGTTGTTTCTAAAATCTGGAAATATTTTTATCTGTATATTCTTTTTAACAGTTTATTAAAGAGAAGTGTCATACCACCTTAAGGTCTAGGTCTGCAGTATTGACAATTTGTGGCTATATTAACTATATTAACAATTTATCATCTATGGATAGTATTAATAATAAAATAATATAATAGGTGAAAAGTCAGGTATAACACTGAAGAAAATAATCTTTTTTAACAAAAAATACCTGTTCACACTCGGCTGGTAAAGCTTGTTTATTGTTGTAGTTAAACAGTTGTATTTTTTTTTTCGTATTTGTCATTCATAGGACTTAAACTTCTACTAGTCATAGTAAAGATGGTATGTACATTGCAACATCTATACAAACATATTTTTCCCTATGGTCTAGTGACTTCCAGGGTTAGTATTAAAGTAAGTCACTTACCTATGAATAAATAACAAGTTCTTTATAGACTCATTTTTAGTAGAATGTATTTTGAGAGTTGAAAAAAATGTTATTCCTAGGTATGATGTTACAGTATCATAATATGAAAAATACTTGAGGCAAAACTGTAACATGAGTAAATTAAATGTATACAATCTGAAAACCCATTTTTATCCACTGATCCCCACATTCTTTATTAAACTTTGCCAATTCTTCTGGAATGTTTTATTAATAAGTTTAATATTCTGCCCTTGCTTCAACGTATAATTTGGCAAAACTTCTAATGAAAAATACTATGCCCCAAAAGTGGAAAGAAAAAAAAAGGAAAATGATAAAAGGTTAAAAGGATGGGGGAGGTGAATTGTCTAGTGTGGGAGAATTATTCCTTGTGAAATTGAAAGTTAACTACAAGTATTTCTCAAAAGTTCAGAGTCTTCAAACAAAACCAATACATTTTGTATTAACATTGAGTGAAGAACCTTGTGACTCTTTGGAGAATAATAAACTTAATTGCAATAGCTTACACTGTGAGCCACATTAGCATTTTAACTCCAAGTCTTAAAAATAGACCATTTATTTTTAAAGGAGAAAGAAAGATAACCAATGTTGAACATGGGCTATGTGCCTGGCATTTTGGCAAGTGTTTTCACATAGGCCCTGTATTTGAACCCTTATGACAAACTGAGTTGGCATTGTTCTCCCCTTTTATAAGGAATCCAAGATTCAGATGTTAGGCAAATTGCTGGAGGTCACATAACTGGTAAATGGTCTAGCCAGGATTTCAACCTAGGTTTACCTGGCTCCAATGCCTGGGATCGCTCAATTCCTCTGGCTTACTTTCTATACTCTACCATTTTTAATAATCACAACAGCCTCATTAGGTAATACTAGCATCCCCATTTCATAGATGAGAAATCCAAGGTTTAAAGAATCAACTACTTATTCATAGAAAGCAGTGAACTTTAGGCCCAAACCCAGCGCTCTTTGATTCCAATATATCAGGATGCTTTTAAAGTGTTATGCTGGTTGTCAAAGTGCCATCAAGACTTCGAGCTGTAATAGTGCTTTGGTTCTTTCTCACCTTTTTTAGGCGCCTTCTTGATACCTTATGCAATTATGTTAGCATTGGCTGGTTTACCTTTGTTCTTTCTGGAGTGTTCACTGGGACAATTTGCTAGCTTAGGTCCAGTTTCAGTTTGGAGGATTCTTCCATTGTTTCAAGGTTGGTATTAAAGCGTTTTCTTGGTATTAAAGCATTTTCTTCACCATGCTTTTTTGTATATTTGTGCATATAGCTACCTTCACTGTGAGGAACAAAAAATTGCTTAAAATTCTGACAATTTAAAGCAAAGAAAACATGCATTATTGTTGTTTTGCTGTACAGTTTGCCACTGCAGAATTTAAAAAATCAAATGTTTTTATTTCTGTTTATCATGGGCTGCAGAAATGGGAAGGATTAGAAAGCACGCTAAAGATGGTTAGAAGGGTGTCATTATTTTCCTATTTTCACCCTGTGAATTCTTTTGGCACATAGTCTCATGCTCTAATTTAAAGGCCCTAACTTTTTTCTACTTCATATGTAGTTTTTGTCTTACTGCCTTTGCATATCTTTTACAATGCCTCATTCAGAAAAGCTGAAGGGTAGGCCACCATTTTTTTTCTTGGATGCTCTTAATAGAATAGGACACTGGTAAAGCTTAAAAATGCCTTGTTATTAAACATCAAACTACCTCTTTTGACTGAAGATTAAATATCATTTTGGTATGTGCTAGCTGCTGAAAATTATTTGTTTTCAATGCAACATCAAAAATAAATTCATAGTGAGGTGAATAGAATATTGTTCTGGAAGAGTGGAGAAACTACCTTAAAAGCTAGTTTTGAGCATTGGAGTTATATTCAGCACGCTAAACTGCATTTTGAAACTACCTAGTTAAGGAAACTTTGGATATTTAAATTCAGATTGTTACTGAATTATTTAATTTTCTTTACACATAGTTGTAGATATATCTACACCATCCCTCCAGGTCATTATTTTAGAGGCTTCATTTTCTACTTCTCAAAATGTTGATTTATAGATGAATATTGTATTGGTCAGTGAGTAAATAAGATACAAGCTTTGAATTTTTTTTGTCTAAAGAATGTCGACTTTGCATGATCTGACAAGAATTTGCAGGCTTAACAAGAAAAAGTAATAAACATGGGTTTTTCTTTATGTGAATTTGATGCGCTTACCACAAGTCTTCTGGCCTTGGCCTTAATACCCTTTCTAATCAACTAAGAAACTGCACCAGCAAGCCAATCATAAAATTAAATTTAAATTTAGAAGAAAATTACTCAGACAGCATTAGCCCCTACTCTCCCAGAAAGAAAAAGGAAAAAAGTAATTTAAAACAGTCTTTATTTATTTAGAGACAGAGTCTCACTCTGATGCCCAGGCTGGAGTGCAGTGGTGGATCTAGGCTCACAGCAACCTCCGCCTCCCAAGGTCAAGCAATTCTCCTGCCTCAGCCTCCCCAGTAGCTGGAACTACAGGCATGCACCACCACGCCTGGCTAATTTTTGTATTTTCAGTAGAGACAGAGTTTTACCATGTTGGCCAGGCTGGTCTCGAACTCCTGACCTCAAGTGATCCACCCTCCTCAGCCTTGAAAAGTACTAGGATTATAGGCATGAGCCACCGCACCCTGCCTGAAACAGTCTTTTTTATTTTAAAATAGATTTTGTGGTAATTGAGATACAGCTTTTTTATGAATTAGCAAAGTAAATTTTACTTGAGTTTGGTTTTTATTTTAATTGTTCTTTTTTTTCCAGGTGTGGGAATTACAATGGTCCTGATCTCCATTTTTGTGACAATCTATTACAATGTCATAATTGCCTATAGTCTTTACTACATGTTTGCTTCTTTTCAAAGTGAACTACCATGGAAAAATTGTTCTTCGTGGTCAGATAAAAACTGTAGCAGATCACCAATAGGTAAAATTTGTCAACACCCAAATAGTTCTTTTATATATATTTTTTATAAGCTTGAAGGGTCAAATCATTCTCTAAGCAACTTAGGTACAATTTTAAATGTTCCAAAGGTCACTGGTGAAAGCAGAAGATAGCATATATAATCAGAAAAATGATTAATACAATGTATTAATCTCTGAGAGCAGTCAGGAAGGCTAAATCATGCCTAAGAGTACTTCTTCCAGGCCTAAGTCTTGGGCAGGAGAGGAGAAACTGAGAAAATGATAAAGGGAGAAAAGTGCTATCTAGGATAGTTGTGTGTGTCTCAGGAGACAGTAGGTGTTGTTCATGTCATATGTTGCTAATCTTTGGGATAACGTACCATCCATGTCATAGACTATTACCATTTTAATTACCTATGTATATCAGAGGATAAATTTATAAATATTTAATGCTTCCGAGAAGTTTAAAGGCCTTAATTTGTCTATATACATAGGTTGGATAGGTAAATCCACATACAAAAGTTTGTTAGAGCACTAAACCTCAACTGAAACAATTGTTACTCTATACCTGTTGTTACTATAAATACAATCACAGCTTAAAAGGGCAGACAGTTTTGTAATCCCTCCTAGTTTAGTAGAAAAGATTTTAAGATGCTGAATGTACATAGCTTATTCCATCTGTAAGATTTCTACTCCACTTTTTTCAAGTAACAATTTTGATGATAATTTAAATATGTTACCATTAAAACATTTTCTAGGAAAGTAATCTTCTAAAACTAAGTACATGTCTGTGTCTATATTTTTTATCCTCTTTAGTAACTCACTGTAATGTGAGTACAGTGAATAAAGGAATACAAGAGATCATCCAAATGAATAAAAGCTGGGTAGACATCAACAATTTTACCTGCATCAACGGCAGTGAAATTTATCAGCCAGGGCAGCTTCCCAGTGAACAATATTGGAAGTAAGTATACTAGATGATTTACTTTTAAGTAGATGTTATCTTAAAATTTGTACAAAACAACAAAACATTAATCATCTCCTTCCTTAACTCACATAAATAGAAAAAGGAAAATCAGGACAAATTATATTTCATTTAACTCAAATGTCTACCTATCCCAGGTGATTAGTAGTTACCTGCAAAATTAGCTCATAGTCAGCAATGTGTCTTTTATAAATTAGTTATTAAATGGGCACAACACTGTAATGATTTATGAGGTGTTTATTAGCTATGATTTAGGAAATTGCTTTGAAGAAAACACATACAAATTTTAGACTACAATGATCAAGTTGTAATGATAAATAGTTGGGTGATGAGTAATATTGCTATTTAAAAAAGTGTAATTCTTCAGCAGTTTTGTTTACAATTGTCATTATATGGTAAGAATAGATATGTAGTGTTATATTTACTTTTATTAATTTCAAACGATCTCTCTACTTACTCTATATCTATCCATTACTCTTACCTAATATTGTTGACTCTACTGCTAAATGACCTCTTCTTCATCCACTGTTAATGACCTTTGTAACTCTTTTAAACTTTGGATCTTCAAATGTTCTCAAACTTCAAGCTTAGAAATAAGATCCATGCATGTACCTAGTGAGAATCTTGGAATTTTACAGAAAGTCTGTGGAAAAGGCGTGAATAACAGGATCATTTGAGTTTGATGATATCTATAAGTATGGAATGAGGAAATATTTAATATAATTGTAAATGTTTTCCTCATTATTTTAACATGAGAAAATACTGTAATAGTAAAATAAAATAATCTGACATAAAGTCAATTTATTTACATAAAGGATCTTGAAACAGAGGAAAGTAATAGCTAAAAGAATCAGTAGATCTTTTATTCTGTGGTTTGAAACTTTGGATTGGCTGTGGTTAACTGAAGTTCAGAGCCTGGCCATTTAATAAACTATCTGTGCCCTTCGTATTGATAGTATCTATCAATAAAGGCTCACCGAACTTTGATATATTAATAAGATACAATATTCATGAAGCTTCGACCTGGATAAATGGTATTACAAAACTCAATGTATTTTCTTTAAGTCAAGTGATTCTGTGATCATAAAATGGCTTATGTGTTTCAGTAAAGTGGCGCTCCAACGGTCAAGTGGAATGAATGAGACTGGAGTAATTGTTTGGTATTTAGCACTTTGTCTTCTTCTGGCTTGGCTCATAGTTGGAGCAGCACTATTTAAAGGAATCAAATCGTCTGGCAAGGTAACTTGAAAAACACATTAGATAGCGATATAGCAGCTTTCCAATTTCATGGTAGTTCAATATCAAGCATTACCAAAAGCATGTTTTTTTTCTATAATGGGAGCATTCAAATGTGTGAAAAGCTTTCTAAATAGTGATTTTAAGCTCTAAGTAAATACATAGGATCTCTGTTATTGCTAAATACAAAACAAACAAACAAAATAAAAACTGGTACTAGAGGTGCACATTTCCTAAAAACATGGACCCTTTTAGCTGATAGAGCATTCTGAAGCTTAAGAGTATATTATTAAATTTTCTATCCTACTATATAAAGAAGCATCTTGAATGGAATCATACATTGCAATGTATGGTTTGGAAAGTCTAGATCCTTGTTCTATAGAGTAATAGTATCAGGAATCCCCTAGTCGGAGAGAGAGAGAGAGAGAGAGAGAGAGAGAGAGAGAGAGAGAGAGAGAAATGTGTGTGTTTGTGTGTATGTGTGTGTGTGTGAGTGTGTATGTATATATACACACAAACTATATATTCATTCTCTTAAAGATTGCCAAAATGGACACAGAACTTTTTCTCTCAGTGAAAGGGCCTCTTCTGAAAAACATTCTGTTATATTTTCCCACTTCATTGTTTACTTTTATAAACTTGCAGAGAGAATAATGGTAATTTAAGAAAACAACATGAAATTTTCTCTGTGAACAGTTACACAATACCCAGAAAAAATGTCTATGTGTTTTTAACTAGTCAATGGATATTTCCCTAAAGGTGGAGGACAAGAATAACTGGGGATCTTGTCTTTGTATTCTCAGTACAATATCTAGCACGTTCTGTTAATGTTAAGTTGTGATGAGACATGCTGTTACATCACAAAAATACTGTGAATATCACAAATCCAGGGAAAACTTTCCAAAATGTTTTAGTTGCACATTTTTTAAACCCTTGGTTTCCTTTTGATGTTAATATTGAAAGAGTCCATTAAAGGCCATTTACCCAGGCGATTAATTTTTATTGGTCTCTGAATGACTTGTTTAAACCATTTCCTTGGATGTATTATAAAACATAGGACATCTATGGATCAAGGAAATCATCCTCATTAAGGCAAAGCTGGTCTCAAAGGCAATCTGCTCATCTGGAACCATGTGTTATCTAGTACAGAAGCAGAGCACTTGTATGTATGCTATCAAACTCTCTTAATGGTAGCTGTAAGGATAACAGTAACAAGTGTCCAGTATTCACTTCAATATGCTTTTCTGGGATTTGAACATCTGCTAGGAAATATTTTCCTTTTCTTTGAAGACTGAATATATATTAACCAATGCAGGGTTTAAATCATTTCTCTCCTCACCTCAATGCAGTAATTTACTGAGAGAAGACATTCAGTCTCCTCAGACATGTATAAAGATATATTTATCAGAGCAATACATTTAGATCCCAAGTTATCACTGCTGATGTATTATTTATTTACAGAATAAACCTGGGAAATGTGGATTAACACATCAAATTATTTTTGAAATGGATCATTTGAGAGTAGTGAGGACACAAATAAGAAATTATGCTAACTTTGGTATATCATCAGACCCTATGAAATCCCCTGTACTTTATTTAATTAATCTCAACTGGCTAATAATTTTACTTGTATACAGTTATACACCATGATTTTAAAAATAATTTACTAATTTTTGGTTACTTTTCTTGGTAGGTGGTATATTTTACAGCTCTTTTCCCCTATGTGGTCCTACTCATCCTGTTAGTACGAGGTGCAACTCTGGAGGGTGCTTCAAAAGGCATTTCATACTATATTGGAGCCCAGTCAAATTTTACAAAACTTAAGGAAGCTGAGGTGAGTCTTAATTTGGATTTCAAATTATCTGAGGAGGTAAATCTTAAAAGTAAATGCCAAACATCTTTGGTTCCATATGAATATCATAATGTAATAGCTTGCAAAATAATATACAGTTAAATTTATTAGTTTCTATCCACTAGGATGTCTGACTTAGCTAATATTTAACCTGCCATTAATATTCTTTTATTGATGGTGAGATAATTTTTAGAAATAGGATTTTTAAAGTCATTTTTTATTCATATAAACTGAATCTATTTGACCAACAAAATTTCAGGCTTATTAATCTGAAAAACAATATTTCATGCATAAATACCCGCAAGTTGATGATTGGGGCTATGTGATTTATTGGATAAACTCAGACTAGCTTTAGAGATTACTGTTGAAAGTTTAATAGTCTAATATACATTTTAGTTTTCTTCAAAATTTAATATTTGCAAAATATTATCAAATTTTGTCTAGTGAATTGTGAAGTTAAAACATAAATTTGACAATGGATTAAGCATTCCAAAATTGTTACTTATACCAAAAACTTAAACGTGTGCCATGAATAAGAATTGGGTAACCCTATTTCAACTTTGCCTTCAGATAATGGCTGAATGTATCACTGGCATGTAACATCTTTTAAAATTTGACTGCTGAGAGTATTAACAGTAAGTGTACTACAGATAGTATGCTTCTATTAGTATGGTCTAGAATGCTTTCACTTCTTTTTTTTTTTTTCTTTTTTTTTTGAGACAGAGTCTCACTCTGTTGCCCAGGTTGGAGTGCAATGGCACAATCTCTGCTCACTGCAAACTGCCTCCCAGGTTCAAGCAATTCTCCTGATTCAGCCGCCCAAGTAGCTGGGATTACAGGCATATGCCACTGCACCTGGCTACTTTTTTGTATTTTTAGTAGAGATAGGGTTTCATCATGTTGGCCAGCCTGGTCTCAAGCTCCTGACCTCAGGCGATCCACCCGCCTTGGCCTCCCAAAGTGCTGGGATTACAGGTGTGAGCCACCGCACCTGGCCCTTTCACTTTTTTACTAGTCACATCACATTCTTAGCACACATTAAGCTTCTGTTCAACTAAAAACCTGTAATTTTATGTTGAAATCAAGAGAGACTATGTTAATATTATCTGCCATACTACTAATACTATTCAAAATGGATATTAGTTTGCTATAGTATTCTTCATGAAACTCATGCTAATTTCCAGCCATTGCTGTCTTCTTTTCTAAATACTTACAAGAGGATGTGTAATTATTTCTTGTAAAGATTTTTTGTAAGCAGTGCCAAATTTATTAGCTTTTAGTTGTGGAAATCTGTCATTAATTTACAATTACCTTTCTGAAAACTGAAATGCCAATCTTTGGTCTTTGGTTACCTTTTTTTGTGCTCAATAATTTCCACTCAATGATTAATCACATAGCTTTAACTTATTTTATATCTATGGAATTTTCTTATTATAGTCTTGGAGATTAATATACTTTGATGTGTCCACAGGACATCTTAATTTGTTTCTTCATTTATCTTGGGCCTCACTCTTTTTATCCCTGTTGGTTAATCTCTTCCTAATTTGAAGACCATTTTGGATGGTGAATAAGAAACAAATAAAATGGAACTTAGCATTCATCACCTTCTCCATGTTAGGTTATTGAACAAGATAAATTATGTTAATGTACTTGGAAACAGTAAGATTTTATATAAATATGAGCTAATGTACAATTATTTCAATTATTTGTTATATTATACTATCTTGCTAGAGTTGCAACATTTTCCCTAAGAAGTAGATTCACCATTTTCTTTGAAACTCATGACTTTGAGCCTAGTTAAAAATCCCCTTTGATATTCTTTTAGTGGCTTTTGCAAGCCTAAGATATATGGGTTTTGTAGTTCCTTGAAATCATTCTGAAAAATTTATATGACACTTTTATATTGGTCTGTGTTTCAGTGACTCTAACATCTTTAAAAAATCAGAGTGAAACCTAAAGCTCCTTGTGAGACAAACAATTTCATCTTCTCACCCCTTTTCTCTCCAACACGACATGACCCAACTCCTTCTTTTTGGGGTTTGCTGGCAATGACAATTGTTTTTCTTAGATTTTTTTTTATTCCTCACAATATATATTCTAAACATGGAATCATAATCAGGTGTCTTTCCTTTCCTTTGAATATCTGAACTTCATTGAGATCTCCAGGAGAGTAGAGAACCACACAAATTTATAGATAGAGGAGTCTTCAGCAATGCAGAGATTATTTTTCTAACTCCCTCATTTTACAGTGATGAAACTAAGACTTACATAGATTCGATTTTAGCCAATTGTACACAGCCAATTAATAAAGTTTGAATTACGATTTCCTAGTCCCTAATGTAATAATCTTGTATATTGGTATGAGATTAACAGATATGGAGATTAAAACTATGTTTGGAATTTCTCTTCCCTTTTGTTTGCAACCTAGCTACACATCATGGTATTCAGTAGCATTCTTACACAACACAGGACTGCCACACCCACTTCCAGCTCCCCCTGTCACACAGGCACATGTAATGTATCAAGTAAAAGAAGCTCAGAGACCAACATGAGCATGCTGTTCATCTGTTAATATGGGCAATGACCAAAGAAAAAAGAGGGCATTTTATTTCTAACACAATTTTCTAAAATATAAGTGAAATAACCATGATCTATCCCAAAAGAGTTTTCTATGAAATTTGAAAACTGATTCTAAAGTTTATTTGAAAAAGAAAAAGGCCAAAACCCCAAGGTGTATCTGAAGTGAAGAGGACTTGTCCTATCAGATATGAAACAATATTTATAATGCTGTACTAATTAAAATAGTGAGGTGTTAGCATAGGTATAAATATATAGACCAGTGGAACAGGATAATAGTCTCAGAAATAAATTCAAAAACAAATGGAACTTGGTATGTGGCAGAGGTGGCAATGCAGATCAATAAGGGAAGGGATGATAATCCAATTGATAGAATTGACATCCAATTGATATCTAATTGATTTAATTGATAATATCAATTATCCTTGAACAATTGATATCCCATTTAGGAAACAACATCAGTTGGAAATTTCACATATCATTCACATATCACATATATTGATATGCACAATATCCATTTTAGGTGAACTGAAAATTTAACAATATAGGCAAAACTTGAATTCCTTTAGAAGAAAATACAGAATAGTACCTTTATAACCTTGGGCTTAGCCGTTTTTTAAAAGTAATAGAGATCAAGGATAATACCTATAGTCAAAGATGGATACCTTCAGCTACAGTAAACCAACAACAAAAACTTTGGTTCATCAAAGGACACAATGTTAAAAGGTAAACAAAATTAACCTACAAATTTTGGAGGAAAAAAAATCAACATATATAATAGTCAAAAGATTAGATTCCAAATTACATCAAGAATTTTAAAAACCGAGTAAGACAGCCCAAACCCAAAACTGGCAAAAGACATGACCAGGAATTTCACAGAAAAAAACAAATCATATGGAAAATGAAGTGTTTGCAAGTAGGCGGAGGAATGGGAACCCTCACAGCCAGCTGGTGGGAGTGCAAAATGGTACAACCCTTTAAAGAACAATTTGGCAAGATTTAGTAGAAGGGAGGAATACATATACTTTTCGACATCACAGTTACACACCTACATATGGGGAATGTACAAGAATGTTCACAGCTCCATAATAGCAACATACTGAATGATCTAAATGTCCATCAACAGGAGAAATGATAAATTGTGACATATGCAGTGTGGCAATAAAGAAGTGGAAAAAGGCCAGGCGCGGTTGCTCACGCCTGTAATCCCAGCACTTTGGGAGGCCAAGGTGGTCAGATCACCTGAGGTCAGGAATTTGAGACCAGTCTGGCCAACATGGTGAAACTCCGTCTCTACTAAAAATACAAAAAAATTAGCTGGATGTGATGGTGCATGCCTGTAATCCCAGCTACTTGGGAGGCTGAGGCACAAGAATTGCTTGAACCTGTCAGGCAGAGATTACAGTGAGCCAAGATTTCACCACTGCACTCCAGCCTGGATGACAGAGCGAGACTCTGTCTCAAAAACAAAAACAAACAAACAAAAAAGAAGTGGAAAAGAATGATTAAAACTACATATATTTAATTTAACCAAATAAATTTGCTTATATTCTTTCACTTTTGAATTACAAAGTGGACATTTTATATAGTTCAACTTGATGATGGATAAATTTCACAATACCTAATAAAAAATGGCACGTTGTATATGTTTACGTGCATTAAGATAACTTTTCTATAAATTCCAAAACAAAACATTCAAATCTAAGTGTAAAGAAGAACAAAGAAATTATGAGCACAGAAGTCAGGATAGCAATTGCCACTGGTGGGTAGAAGGGTGACAATGATGAGGGAGGGGTACAAAAAGGATTTAAGAGACTGCAACATTTTATTTCTTAAGCTGAGTAGTGGGCATTTGGGTGTTCATTTCATTGTTATTAATAATATATTCATTTGCTTATGTGAAATATTTACACAAATAAAAAATTGAGTATATGTTTTAAAATATTAAATTATTTTCTCTTATAGGTATGGAAAGATGCTGCCACTCAGATATTTTACTCCCTTTCAGTGGCTTGGGGTGGCTTAGTTGCTCTATCATCTTACAATAAGTTCAAAAACAACTGCTTCTCTGATGCCATTGTGGTTTGTTTGACAAACTGTCTCACTAGCGTGTTTGCTGGATTTGCTATTTTTTCTATATTGGGACACATGGCCCATATATCTGGAAAGGAAGTTTCTCAAGTTGTAAAATCAGGTATATAATACTATATATTATCAACTTTGATTAATTCAATGTATCTCACTTATGAAACTCCAATAGAATTTATAGAAATTTACTTGACACAGTCATGATTTAGAATATTGAATTTTCTTCCTCATTTCATCTTATATAATTTTGTTGCTGTAACAATATAATAATTCTTAGATTATCCATGTAAACAAGAGTATATTAAGGAAATATTGCTGAAGAAGATAGGATGTTTAATTTTGTTTAGTCCTTGCTAAGCACTTTCCATGCATTATAAAAGAAAGAAAATGTGTATACAAATTTCCTCTGTACAATTATACTATTGGGTTTGAATTTTTAAAACACATGAACATCATATAGGTGAGAGAGTCAAGTGACTTTGAGTTTCCACTTGTGTCTAGCTTTAAAGGAATCTTAGTGAACTCCCTAACTTTACGGATATTAGCTAGGGATGCTTAATTATCTGGCTACAGATTCTGGGGGAAAATACTAGGGTTGTTTTAAGTAGGGATGCTTCATTAAAATTTTGTTTATGTTTTTAGTATCATATGATGGAAAGACTGGTGATTCATAACAGAATGTCAAGGATCTTGTAGATTATCTAGTGTCCAGCTCCTCATTTACAGAGAAGTGGATTGATACACAGTAATGTCATATATGTCTTGCAGAAGGTCAAATATTTAGGAAGTGATAGAGCCTAGACTAAAAGCTAATTTTCATGAATCCCAAGTTAGTCCTCCGGGAGGTCGAAGAAACTTAAAACTACTTAAAACTGAGGATCACATAATAGAACTGGCACAAAATTGAAAAGCATTCTAAAGGTAACATCAAATGGAAAACAAGATTTAATTTATAGTTTCATTACATACGATTTTGCATATATGCATATAGTGATTCTGGGTAAACATTTGGAGAGAAGGTTAAAAACAAAAGTTAGTTCGTAAATGTATCTTTCTTTAACAGTGCAATTCTTTTAGAGCATCTAGGCTAAGATAATGTGAACTAATTTACGTTTCTGGAATTTAAGATAGTTTTTATTCTTTGTCAATCTTAAAAAATAAGATAAGTTAAATAAAACTATTAAAAGAATTAAAATTTCTTATGTGAGAAATGTACCATTTACATTACAGTCTATTTGCTAACTTAATTCATGTCACATGTTCACATTATCACATCACAAAACAACCAAATTCAATATTGTAAAAAGGGAATGTGAAATAGTTGGTAAAAAAATTTATGTCATGGATTGTGTTGCCAAATAAGATGAGATTTTTCTAATATCTTATGTTTTAAATGTTTAAATATGTGAATATTCTTGGTAACTAATTTATAATATCATACATGTTTCGTAGGTTTTGATTTGGCATTCATTGCCTATCCAGAGGCTCTAGCCCAACTCCCAGGTGGTCCATTTTGGTCCATATTATTTTTTTTCATGCTTTTAACTTTGGGTCTCGATTCTCAGTTTGCTTCGATTGGTAAGTAATACTTCCAGTGGTAACATATTCCTCTTATATTTCTTTTGCATTTCCTCTACTTGAAAACAAGGTGCTTTTATTACCCCTATTACCCCCTCTAGCTGTTAATCTCAGAATGATCTTTCTGAAAGTTGCTTTAAATAAAATTTAAATACAGAAAAATACTTGACACTCAAAAGGAATACACATTAATATTTTATCATACTTGTTTCAGATATTTTAAGAAAATAAACTGTTACAGGTGAATTTGAAGTCCTCTTTCTTTTCCTAATACAATCACATTTTTTTCTAGAAGCAACTCTTACCATAGATTGTGTATGTTATTCTATCCATGTTTATATACATTTTATATGTCTGTACATATCATATACATTTTTAAATTTGCACATAAATGTGAAGTTTCAGAGCATGCATATGACTCTGAAAGTTGTTTTTGCATTGATTATGAATCCCATTGATACACAGGCATATAGATCTAGTTAAATCACAATCTCTTTGTTGCCATAATAATGGGCATATGAATGATATACAATTTTTTAAAAATTACACACACTGCTGCAATGATCATCCTTGCACATACTTCTATGCACACGTAGGGATTTACCTAGGTTACATGACTAGAGAAATTCTGAAACAATTTTCATCCTACCACTCTCTCACACAATATTTTCAGTTTACTCTGTTTATAGGATAAAATCTAGACTTTTCTGGTTGACTTTCAAAGTCCTTGAAAATCTCAAACATATTTTCTGATATTTTCATTCTCACATCCTTCTACTCTTAGCCAGTTCCCTATTTCATGAACACATTTATCTCTTAACCTAGAATCCTTTCTGTTTCCACACCACTGATTCAAATATTTACCTTATTTAAAAGTCCTACTAGAATTCTTCCTTTTAGACTAATTCAGTTCACAGGGGACTGTTACCTTACAGTTGTTATCGATGAAAAATCATATAAAGCAGACTAAAAACAGCAAATAGCGCTGCATTTGATTTTCATCAGAACCAAGTGGTGACTGCCAAAAGAAAAAACCCTGTGGGTTTTTAAAAGCAGGGAACAGGGCTCAGAGTCTATTTTCAACATATATTTGTAAATTTGATTAACATACATTGAATTCTGTGATTAACAGTATTGGCAAATAAGTTGACATATAACATGTCATTTCTCCCCCTCTGAAGAAACGATCACAACAACAATTCAAGATTTATTTCCCAAAGTGATGAAGAAAATGAGGGTTCCCATAACTTTGGGCTGCTGCTTGGTTTTGTTTCTCCTTGGTCTCGTCTGTGTGACTCAGGTATACTACAGCATTTTTTTTCATAGAAACATATTAGTTGGAACATACTTTATAACCTAACTAAAGAAACCAAAGCTTAAGAGGATGCTTAGTGACAAGTCCAGGTCTGACTTGGATCAAGGTTTTCTGGGTTTTAGCCCATTTTTCTCCATTATTACTTTTATAGAAAGTCTATTTTGCAGATGAGGAGGCCGAATAATGGACAGTTACTTCAGTTACAATAAGATTACAGACTTTAAACACATACTACATTTCTCACAGCCACTTCAGAACATACAGACATTGCATACCATTCTGATAATCAACAAATTTAAGTGCTTATTTTCTTTCCAGTGACTCAGTATAGATTGAAAGATTCTTGAGATATTTAAAGTCACATTTGAGTTTACATTTGAAACATTGCTTTTCGCATTTTAGCAGAAGGGAAACTAAGGAGCATATGTCAAGATCAAATAAATAGATTCAATTTGAATATCCCATCAATCATAAAAACAATTAAAATATACTTAGAAGTAATTAACATTTTTTTGGTAGGCTGGAATTTACTGGGTTCATCTGATTGACCACTTCTGTGCTGGATGGGGCATTTTAATTGCAGCTATACTGGAGCTAGTTGGAATCATCTGGATTTATGGTAAATAGTAACTATAAAATTATTTTCCAGTTTTATTAAAATAGTTTAGTTTGATTCATTTTCATTATATTTACCTAATTATACTATTAATTTTTATACTATTATAATAGCAAAGTACAATATACTGCACAACATTATGTTATGTAAAAATATAATTACAGGTGTATGATTCATTGTTGTGGTAGAGAAAAATGTTTAGACACAGAAAGATAATTGATGCCATAATGGTTACTGGAAGAAAATATTAGCAAGCACTCAATGTACTCTTTGTTTTCTTTAGGAGGGAACAGATTCATTGAGGATACAGAAATGATGATTGGAGCAAAGAGGTGGATATTCTGGCTATGGTGGAGAGCTTGCTGGTTTGTAATTACGCCTATCCTTTTGATTGTAAGTAATAATACACCATGAACTTGATTTCGATAATACATATGTTCTAAGATAAACTTAATAATTCACATTGAAGACAAAAGGCAAATTAATTTTATAAAGGAATGATTTTCAAGTTTTGCAGTATTTATGGCTGGTGCCTCCAAGTTGCCTAAATTAAAATGCCTTTGCAGTATTATTTTGAGGCCATCAGTTTAAACATTTACCATTTGAGAAAATAAACAGGTTCGTATAGATGTAAAAGTTATCAGTAATTTAAAATTTATCAATACAAAAAATGAAAATAAAACATGAATTTGCTCATTCCCTAAAAAAATATGTTGAGCCATCAATAATATTCCTAACCTCTCTGCCAGGCACAGAAAAAACAAAGATGCATAAGGCCCAGATCCTCTCTTCAAAGAATTCAGTTTAAATATACTGACTGCTGAGAAACAACAGTCATATTTTAATTCATATTTTATCTCTTAATGAGGGAGGTATTTGGCAGATGATAGTAAAAGAAACTTACCTGTGTCAATAAGGGCAATGGTTTATGTCAATAAATTCAACAATTAATACTATTTAGAAGCTGAGGTAAAGCAAAAGTATGTCTTACTCGAGAGACATAACTTATCAACTTAAAATGTTCAAATAACATTTCAGGACAGTAAATGGCTGAGCACCAAAATAAACACTACACTGGAGGGAGAATGATTATGGACTAGAAATAATGGTGGTGGGGTGAGGCAGTGTCAAAGCTTCATAGATTTATTTTGGTTTTCATTGCCTTCATGCTTCAAAGGTTTTCCTAGAAAAGACCATTAAGTAATTCTATGCAGGATTTCCTTCAAATCTAAAGTACCACATTTGTTTGTAGAGAGGATTACATTTTTTTTTTTAACATTATGAGATCACTTTCAAAAGCTGAGCAGTTTGGAACGAGATCATGGTGAATTAAAATATTTGGATATTCCATATTTTTGCTAAATGATTTTGAAAATGACACTAAATATTTTTATTTGACAAGTCTCCATAATAAAGTAAGCCCCCTTGTCAACTTAGAAGGTCTAGCTGGATCACTTAACAAGCTAATATTCAATGATTACATAAGTTTGACACCTGAATTTAATTTAAAATGCAAAAGTATTAGATATGAAATGATTTACATTGCCATCTATTTTTTATAAAGTCATGTGTATTGGACTCCACTATCCCTCATCCATTCTTTTGTAGTTATGTACATTCATAGTAACTGTAAAGTATATTTAAATTACTGTAATTAAATTAATGGAGCTAAGCCATTTAATTTTAAAATTAAACATAGATCTATTTATTGTTTTCTCGCTGATTTTAATAAAACAAAAACAGCTAAATTTAAGGAAGCTCCTTAATAATTATTGGGTTTTGTTTTGTTTTGCTTTACCAATTTCTAATTAATTAGTTTTAATGCTTCAACATTTCGGGTTTATTTTAACTTGGCCTTATAATGTGTTCATCTTTAACATTCAGATTTGACTGTATTGCCTAAGCAGATATTGAGGGTTTTTTTGTTTGTTTTTTGTTTTTCCCTCAGTAAGATGCTGGAAGTGAAATGTGCTTTGGTAAATGCTCACCAATAATGTGTGTAAATGCATGTGTGTTTTTGATGTGTCAAAAGGGGATCTTTGTGCAGTGGGAAAGAATAGAAGCAATTCCTAAGCAAGGAGAAAAGCATGCCCACTAAGGTGTACTTCACATTCTCATTGTATTAATCTATATGCTGGCATGTAGATTTAATCTATGGCATAGAATAAAACCATGCTATTATAAATCAAAGTGAAAAGCTCAATAACAGAAAATTTCAGATATTATTTTACTTTCAATCTGATATATGGTCAAGTATTTTATTGAAATATATGTTGAACAAGTATTTGGATTTATAAATATATGATGGTATTAATTTTGGAAAAATTTATTCAAAGTAAAAATAAAAGTTATATATTTTGGTTCATTCCATATTGTTATCTTCTGGCTTGTTACCTGATTATTTCAATTATTTGAATATATTTTCATATTAACTATTTTTGATAAATCACATCTGAGGAACAGAATCAAATTGCTAATCATCAGTGCAATAAAGTCTAATCTTTAGCTTTGTCTTTGCATATTTAACTTTGACAGGCAATATTTATCTGGTCATTGGTGCAATTTCATAGACCTAATTATGGCGCAATTCCATACCCTGACTGGGGAGTTGCTTTAGGCTGGTGTATGATTGTTTTCTGCATTATTTGGATTCCAATTATGGCTATCATAAAAATAATTCAGGCTAAAGGAAACATCTTTCAAGTGAGTGCATTAAAATTGTTTATACTTTACACAAAGTAGTTATGATCAAAATGGAGATTAATTTACTCACATGGTAGTAATATGAGATTGTATGAAATACAATTAATTACTCCTTCCTCTTGGCTACTTCTATACCTGACACAGTCATCTGTTACTAGTGCACAACATGGTATTTTATTATTTATATATTTGCTGTGTTTCTCTATGCTAGACTATAAGCTCCTTGTGGGGAAAGTCGGGTCTTATTTGTTGCTGTACCTCTGGCCTTGCTACGGTGCTTAGCATATGACAGCTATGATATCTATACCTATGTTGAGTTGTCTCTGAAGATGTCACAAAGCAAATGACCTGTTTGCTTTATATCCATAGTCACTGCTTTTAAACCTCATCTGGCTATAATATACATCCTAATAGTGTTTTTATACTGGAATAAGCCTGGTAAATATCTCGAACCCAATCTAGAGCCTGAGTCATCCCTCTTCCATGGAGGTGTAGGGGTATGAAGTTCATTATGACATCTCAGTAGGACAATGACAAAGTAGGCTTAGCAGCCTTAGATTTAAATAAATTCCTAAGTCCATACAACAATGGATCCAAATCAGTGGTTTGATCCTGGAACTCCCATTTCCTTTGTTCTTGAAACACATCCCAGGTATACACTGGTTTAGATCCTCAGCTCGTCCTCATCCTAAGGCCAGGATGGAAATGTCTGATTCAGTGAAGGTACAGAGTAGTCACTCTGTTACTCTAATGGGTTCACACACCTTGTTTTGAAATCATTTACTTGCTCAGCTATTTTGGTTTAGTAGTTAATATACTTCTATTAACAACTAGCTACATTTGATTATACCTTTTTCTTGGTAAACTGTGCATTATTAAGAATTTAGATGAACACTTTTTAGTTTTCTATGATGCTTATTTTTTGTTAGTAGAGAAAAAATAATTTAAAGGAAAGTACAGTTCAATATTTGCTTGTTTACAGATTGTAGCACTTAAATTCTAAGACAATGATTTTTTGTTCTTGCATTTCAGCGCCTTATAAGTTGCTGCAGACCAGCTTCTAACTGGGGTCCATACCTGGAACAACATCGTGGGGAAAGATATAAAGACATGGTAGATCCTAAAAAAGAGGCTGACCATGAAATACCTACTGTTAGTGGCAGCAGAAAACCGGAATGAGATCTCATTGAAAAAAATATATGATTGTATAATGTGATTTTTTTTAGAATAGGGGGAACCTTATTTATTTGTGTGTTAACTGAATAGGAAAATGTACATACTATGTTCATGATAGTGTGATTTTTTTCACATTTAAGCAGGAATGCAATATAAAAATGTGAATCTCTTAATTCTCAGCCATGTGCTTATTATATTTCTTTTTAGATTGTCTATCTGTATAACACACACACACACACCTAAGAGTCTCTATTTCACAATTATATTTTTGTAAATAGTATATGCATTTTTAATACATTGGAGGCTTTATTTTGAACTAATTTCTTAGAGAATAGTTATATTTTCTATTACACAAGTTTAAAAATATTATTAACTTGTATTTTCTTAATATACAATCTATCTTTTCCACAAATATGAGTGGGAAATAAATCAGCACATTTGAAAGAAAGTGTTAAAACTGAAGGCCTCACTTAATTAGAAACGTGATAAATATATGGACAAATGGACTATACATACTATAAGAGGACTGTAGTTTAATACTTTTTACCCAAATATGTTTAAAAACTTCGTGCATTTGTTACAGCTCATGTTTTCTATATGAACTTAGTCATTAATGTTCTTTATAAAAAGTGAAATAAGATGGAAAAATAAGGATCCTACAGCCAGTAAGTGATAAATCTAGAAAATTGAGTTTTGAGTACCTCTTTTCCCATATACAATCTTCCTTCCTTAGGTAATTTGGAAGAAAACTATGACCCATTTAATTTCTATTGTGTTTCACAAAATTAAGTGTTGTTCATTATACTCTCTGAAATATAGGTTTAATTTCAAATAGAATATGGACTTAAATGTTAATGAGAAAATGGCTTTAATCAATTCTAGCATTTTATTACTGTAATACAGGGCTGATAGAGTGATTTTGTCTTATATGAGTAAGTTACTACTTACAGGTGATAACTTGCATACTATTGGAAGATAAACTTGTCAAACTTGTCAAGAATGAGAAAAGCCAAATTAGAAAATCCTATGTCCTAGTTTCCTTACCAAGGATAATTAAATATATCACTAAGAGCTTTATATATTGATTATATATTGTTGACAACTGGTTTAAGCATCATAGCCTATGATGATAAACACTGCCTATATATGTAAATAGCTTTTCATCAATTCTTAAATTTCTTAACCTAGGCTTCAGGGAGCATATGAAACCAAAATTATATGGAACATTTTCTGTGTGTACATGTACATGCATTTTTCTAGGGAGAGAGTCCGTAGGTTTATCAGAATATCAAGGAAAACTGTGACCCAAAGAAGTTTAAGAATCACATACACTGCTGCTGGCTTTTTGTGCTTGGCAAATGAGTGACAATAGAAGAAATAATTTTTCTTACACATTTTAAAACGTTTTCTCTTCCTTGTGATTGAAGATGAAAGGAGTAAGAAATTAAGGCATTTGTTTAATTTATACTGGTAACTTATTTAGGGGGGAGGGGACATGAAGGTAGGTAAATAGGTAGGCCTCTAATTGAACCACCTCTCTAAGTTATGTACGTATATATAAGCTGAAATTGTGTTTGACATTCTGAGGGTTTTCTTTTTCTTTTTCCTTTTTTTTTTTTTTGGTGGGGGGCTGGGGGTCAGAGTCTTGTTCTGTTGCCCGGGCTGGAGTGCAGTGGCATGATCTCAGCTCACTGCAACCTCTGCCTTCTGGATTCAAGTGATTCTCCTGCCTCAGCCTCTTGAGTAGCTGGGACTACAGGTGCCCGCCACCACACCAGCTAATTTTTGTATTTTTAGTAGAGGCGAAGTTTCCCCATGTTGGCCAGGCTGGTCTTGAACTCCCGACCTCAAGTGATCTGTCTACCTCGGCCTCCTAAAGTGCTGAGATTACAGGTGTGAGCCACCGTGCCCGGCCCATTCTAAGGGTTTTCTTTGAAGACAGGTCAAATGCTGTTAGTAAGTTTCAGGAGATTGTTAATTCCTCAGTTATACCAGATTTTATAAAATATTTGAGAATAGATGGCTAACAAGAGGTTAGAAATACTTTTCCTTAATTTTAATCCACAGTATGTTACATGCATTCTACCACTACATTTTGGTGCTATTTAAGGTGTGCAATTTTCTATAGGTGACTTTTGCAATTCAGGGAAGATTTGGGCATATTAAATGAAAGAATATCTAATTGGGGGAGGTGTGAAGGGAAAGAAATTCTTTTCAAAAGCTGACCACAAAGAGTAGTTAAAAGTTTTTGTCACTATCTTCACAAGTGTGTAAAGCACAGATTTCAACAGAGTGCTTGGCATATTGTAGGGTGCTCAATGGTGGTTTTTATTATTATTACTCAGATTCCACAGTGGCAAGAAACATCATTCTACATAATGGAAAACATTTACATCAAATCCCACTTACTTTAATGCGAACTTGGAGATAATTTATGGTATTGTATTGTAAACCATTAATGAAAACTTTTTCACAGTTGAGTGAAATTAAAATCACTATATCTCAACTAGTCGTCTACTGTCACTTTTTTATTGTTAACAAACTTTTGAACTGTTTTTCTTTCTCTATTGTGCTTCCATTCCTTCCTCAGTAAGTATATTTTAGCCATATGTAATCAATTACTTAAAGTATAAATAAGAAACTTGGTAAGTATCTGGATTTTTTGTATGTGACTTGGAATCCCCTCCCTCTTAAAAAAATAATTCATTTAGTATAAACACACAATCAAATGAATCTACTCAAAGTGTCTTTAATGATTTCCACCACTGGCATTACATCCTGTACGCTTTTAGGTGGATTTCCGGTGAGGTGATGCACCTCTGAAACCCTTGCTAAGTAGAGTATGTTCCAGTTCAACCAGCTTGTTTTCCACCATACTGAGGTTTACCAATATTCGCTTCTGCCTGGCTATTGAGTGTGGGAAATTATTTAAAATATCCCGAGAGAGGTCGTAGACTGCAAGATTGTTGTCTGTATTGCTGTTAATTAACCCAGAAGAAGAGGGTCTCACTAGTGCAAGAGCAGTTGAATTTGATGACATTTCGCCAGTGTTTCTCTGTAAAGAAAGGGAATTATACATACGTAGTTTATCGAATTAAGCAATTTCCAAACTACCGAAAAACAACTTGTTTAATCTTGGTCACCAAAATAAACTGATTTCCCCTAATATGTCGAGATTAAAAATGTATTGAATTACTACATTAATTCAAAAATATATTCTTCCAAAACCAGACTGAGAAAAAAAATATATGAAAGTAGCCGTTAGTGACAAAGTTCCATATCCTTTCCTTACATTTCCTGTAAGGAAAGCAGCCCAGTAGGTAAACATATGAACCCTTGTCTTTGACTCTTATCTAAAAGCACCTCACTTGTGACTTTAACACCAGAAAATCCACATTCACACTCGAATTATTTGTGAATGCCCAGAAAGCACCATAAAATAAAGATGGTGAGATTAGCAAACAGACACGTGGGAGAGGAGAAGCAAGAGAAGAAAGAGAGAAGGTAAGATTCTTAAAGTGGAGAGATGGTGGTGGGGAATGGGCACTGACAACTGCACTTTGATCTCCAATGAGTGGAAAGCTGACCATATTACTTAGGGACTTGGGGCTTTTTAGAAGAGACCAGAACTGTCGAATCACTGGTCAGAATACAGGAATTGCGGGAGTAAGCGGTAAAAGTCTGGGGCTCCTTTGAGCGAAAAGGAGAGATGAGGTGATCTCCCCTTACCTCTCATTTTACTGTATTTTACTCTCTTACATATACACTCCCAAGTCCATATACTCATCTAGCTTCATCTAATTCAAATCTCCCTTACATTCACCATTACCTGAAAGCGGCGATATTTCCAGAAGACAATCAAGGCACACAGAATGCTGCTCGCTAGGAGTAAATAGAAGTTCATGTTTCCTCTTCGGCCTCTTCTCCCTTCTCGGGACGGACCCCCTCAGCTGGTAGTTGGGAAGCAGTGGGCCTCTAGCCGCCTGGATTTGGGAAACTTTGGGCCAGGATGCCTGGTGTAACTGGGAAGTTCTGTGTTGTCCCGCTTTATGTACGGCTGAGGGCGCGAGACCTCACAATTGGGCACGCAAGCGGCGGTGCCACGCCACAATGAGATGATGTAAAAACCGGCCCTGCCGGAAACCAGGCGGCACTTAGTACCGCCTACCTGGTTAGTTTCAAGTCCTTAGAGAGGAGAGTGAAAGACAGTGAGGAAGTTTGGGATTTCTGGGAAGCCGAAAGGTAGTAGAAGGACAGGCTGTAAATGGATTGGTTAAATAGAATATTTAAAGTGCTCCTACCTTTTAAAAAATATGTCTTTGCTACAACCACTGCTTTATTCACTTCAAAAACAAGACAAAAATGTAATGTAAAAAGTAGTTACCCCCAAATTATCTTTGCCAGAAACTACCTCCTCCACAGTCACCTTGCTATTTTAGCTTTTACTCCAACCCTAGTTACATTGGAATAATTATGTACATTTGTATCATTTTACAGTTTAAGAAATAATTCTGGGGACATTTTCACATATAAACCTCACAACAAATTTGTACTAAAGGTATTTTTTTTTAATTTCAAGTTTATACCATGACATTTATTTTTATTTTATTTTTCATCAACTTTTAAGTTCCGGGATACATGTGCAGGATCTGCAGGTCTGTTACATATGTAAATGTGTGCCATGGTGGCCTGCTGCACAGATCAACCAATCACCGAGGTATTAATTAAGCCCAGCACCTATTACCCCAACACCCATTAGCTGTTCTTCCTGATGCTCTTCCTCCCCACCGATCCCGCCGCCCCCCACAGGCCACAGTGCGTTTTGTTACCCCTTACTATGTGTCATGTGTTCTCATCGTTCAGCTCTCACTAGCTCCTACTTATAAGTGAAAACATGTGGTGTTTGGTTCTCCAGAGCCAAGGTATTTTTACTATGTCTATTTTTGCAAATGTGGAAACAGATTCAGGTGTTAAATTCATTTGAAACTAATAGCAAAAGCAGGACTTGAATCCATGGAGTTTGAGCTCTGAGATAAACTCCCCCATTCTCCTCCTTATACACATGATCTCCACCTCCACTCTGATTTGTGAGCATGAAGTATTTTATATTCTCCTACCAAGGTACTGAACATTGTATTTGGAGTTGTATTAATGGGACGTAACACATACAGAAATAATTGCACTAGACAGGTTAGAAATGTTCAGGAAATTCAGTTAAATGTAGACTATGACACTGACCTAAAGACCTGGAACTAAAAATAATACCCACGGTAATCTTAAGGTGAGTGCCCAAATGCAATCCAGTAACTCTGCTAGGTAAACAACCCTCATCTTCATATAGATGGGAAGGGGAGAAATTACATTTTTAATTTTTTTCATATCACACCATTTCCTAGTTATGAGTACAAAGCTTAAAGTTTTATTGATTCAATGAATATTTATTAAACACTTATATACTAGACACTGTTCTGTATTTTAAGAATCTGATTATAAGCAAAAATAAAGTCTTTCTCCACCTGGAATGTGCACTCTAGTTTAAGAGGCAGACATTAATCAAATACAGAAATGTATGTGAAAGTGCTGAGATAAATGGTACCAAAAAGTACCTGGTGGTGTGGGAGCTCATAATAGAATATAGGATCTAAAGAGGAGTGAAGTTCCTGGCTTTATGGCTTACTCAATTGGATGAATAGGAGATAAAAAAGTATGGAGTTGCTGGTCATGAATTTAGTCTTGGACAAATGCAG
The DNA here is from genome assembly GCF_000001405.40 of Homo sapiens. Classification (NCBI taxonomy): domain Eukaryota; kingdom Metazoa; phylum Chordata; class Mammalia; order Primates; family Hominidae; genus Homo; species Homo sapiens. The sequence continues at coordinate 116,464,700 of NC_000023.11, forward strand.
TTTGAGGTGGCTTTGAGACATGAAATAAATGCTCCCAGGGAGATAAGCCAAGACATAAATTTGTGAGTCATCTACATATAAATCATAATTGAAATTTTAGATATAAAAGAAATTTCTTCATGTCAGTCTAGGAAGTACAAATGAAGACAAATTTGAATAGAGCATTGAAAGATTTTAATATTTAATAACTGGGCAATAACACTTCTATTAGTATGTGATTGTGGGCTTCCTGGCATCTAAATTTTCTGTTTCATTGAATAACATTGAGTGAAGCCCATTAACCTTATCTCTAACAATAGGATATTGAATTTTGATCCTACTGGTATTTAAGTGGAAACTTCAGAAATATTTGAAAATATTATCATCAAACACATTAAAGTACTGTTGCTAACCATTGATTTTTTCATTTTACTTTTTATTATAAAACATATATGACATAGAATTTAACATTTTAATCAATTTTAAGTGTATAGTTTTGTGGCAATAAGTACAATCACATGGTTGTATAAACATTAGCCATCCATCGCCAGAACTTTTTCATCTTCCCCAACTGAAACTCTATATTTATGAAACATTAACTTCCCATTTTCCCCTTTCCCTAGTCCTTGACAACCCCCCTTCTATTTTCTGTCTCTATTAATTTGACTACATTAGATACCTCATGGAAGTGGAATTACACAATATTTGTCCTGTCCTGAAGGGCTTATTTCAATGAGCATAATATACTCAAGTTTCATCCATGTTGTACCATGTGTCATAATTTCCTTTTTTTTCAGGAAGGGTAGGCTGAATAATATTCCACTGTATGTGTATACCATGCTTGGCTTTTCCATTCTTCTGTCGATAAACTTTTGTGCTGTTATCATGTTTTAGTATTGTGCATAATGCTGCTTTGAACATGGATGTACAACTATATCTTCAAGACCCTGCTTTTAATTCCTTTGGGTATATACCCAGAAATGGAATTTCTGGATAATACAGTAATTCTATTTTTAATTTTTCAGGAACTTCATGATGTTTTCCACAGCTGCTACACCATTTCATATTCCATGAACAGTGCACAAGGTTTCCAATTGCTCCATATCCTCCTCAACAATTGTTATTTTCTGTTTTCTTGCTTTTGTTTATATAGTAGCCATCCTAATGGTTATGAAGGGTATTTCACTGTGACTTTCATTTGCATTTATGATTAGTGATATTGAATGTCTTATGTGCTTATATCTTCTTTGGAGAAATCTCTATTCAAGTCCTTTCCTGGTTTTTAATTTGTTTGTTTGTTTTCTGTTGTTACTGAGTTGTAAAAGTTCTTTATATATTCTGGATACCAATCTCTTATCAGATATTTGCATTGCAAATATTTTATTTCTTCCTGTGAGTTGCTTTTTCACTGTTTTAATAACGTCCTTTAAGGCACAAAGCTTTTAATTTTGATGAACTCCACTTTACCTACTTTTTCTTTTGTTGCCTGTAATTTTGGTGTCATATCTTGAAAATCACTGCCAAATCTAACATCATGAAGCTTTTTTCAAATGTTCCTTCTAAGAGTCTTATTGTCTTACCCCTTAAGTTTAGGTATTTGATTCCCTTGAGTTAATTTTTGCATATTTTCTAAAGGGTCCAACTTTATTCTTTAGCATATGGAGATCCAGTTTTCCCAGCACCATTTATGGAAAACACTAATTATTCCTCATTGAATAGTCTGGGTACCCTTGTTGACAATCAATTGACCATACATTCAAGGGTTTATTTCTGTGCTCTCTGTTCCGTTGGCTCATGTGTGTCTTTATGTTAGTAGCACATTTTTTTTTTTATTACCATAGCTTTGTGGTAAGTTTTGAAATCAACAAATGTGTGTCCTCTAACTTTGTTCTTATTTCTCAAGATAATTTTGGCCATTTAATGTCTCTTGTGTTTCCAAGTAAATTTTAGCATGGATTTTGATATTTCTGCGAAAAACATCTTTGGGATTTTCGTAAGTCTTGCTTTGACTCTGTAGATCACTTTGGGTGGTATCGACATTTTAAGATTATTAACACTTTCACCCCAATATTATGGTATATATTTTCATTTATTTGTATCTTCTTTAAATTCTTTCAGCAGCATTTTGTAGTTTCTAGTGTATAAGTAATTTGCCTCCTTTGTCAAGTGCATTTCTGTGTTTTACTGTTTTTGAGACTATTGAAAATGGACTTGTTTTCTGAATTTTCTTTTCAGATTTTATTCTTAGTGGACAAAAGTGCAAGTGATTTTTGAGTGTGGATTTTACATCTTGCAACTTTGCTGCATCCTTTTATTAGTTCTAATTTCGAGTGTGTGTGTCAAGGTGTGTGTGTATGTATCGGTGTGTGTGTGTGCAATATTTAGGACTTACTAAATATAAGATCATGTTATTTGCAAACAGAGATCATTTTACTTCTTCCTTTTCTATTTGGAGATCTTTTGTTTCGTTTTTCTTTTTTAATTGCTCTGGCAAGGACTTTTAGTACCATGTTAAGCACAACTGGCAAGAGAGGGCATCCTTGCCCTTTTCCATGTCTTACAAGAAAAGCTTTTAGCCTTTTATCATTGAGGATGTTTGATTCCTAGTTTGTTGAGGGTTTTCATCTTGAAGGCTGTTAAATTTTGTCAAATATTTTTCTGCATCAATTCACATGATTGTGTGCTTATTTCCTTTTAATTCTGTTAATGTGATGCATTACGCTGACTGATTTTTATATATTGAACTATCTTTGCTTTCCAGGAATGAATTCTACTTGGTTATGGTGTATAATTTTTTAAATATTCTGTTGACTTCAGTTGGCTACCAGTTAAAAATATACAATTTTAGAGAAGCTTCAGATCCACAGAAAAATTGAGCAGGAAGTACAGATATTTACCATATGCCTCCAGCTCTCACACATGCATGGTCTCCCGGACTTTCAGCATCCCGTGATCAGGGTGGTGAATTTGTCACAACTGATGAATCTAAATTAACACCTATTTATCATACAGAGTCCATAGTTTATATTAGGATTCACTTGAGCATTGTACATTCTATGGGTTTGGCAAATTTATAATGACATGTATCCACCATTATTGTATTGTACAAAGTAGTTTCACTGACCTAAAAATCCTATGTGCTCTACCTATTTACACCTCCCTCACCTCAACCCTTGTAAACCACTGATCATATTACTGTATCCATAGTTTTGCCTTTTCCAGAATGTCATATAGTTGGAATCATACAATTTGTAGCCTTTCCTGATTGGGTTCTTTTTCTTAGTAATATGCACTTAGGTTTCCTCCATGTCTTTACATGGATTCAGAGCTCATTTCTTTTCAGTCCTGTCTGGATGTTCAAAAGTTTATCTATTAACCTACTCAAAGACATCTTGGTTGCTTCCAAGTATTTGCAATTATGAAAAAAGCTGCTATAACCATCCATGTGCAGGGTTGTGTGTGGACATAAGTTTTTAACTTTTTTGAGTAAATATCAAGGAATATGACAGATGGATTATATGGTAAAGGTTTACTTAGTTTTGTAAAAAACAACCAACTGTCTTCCAAAGTGACTATAACATTTTGCTTTCCTCCAGCACTAAATGAGAGTTCCTGTTGCGCCACATTCTTGACAACATTTGGTGTCAGTGTTCTGGATTTTGGCAATCCTAATAGATGCATAGTAATATCTCATTCTTGCTTTAATTTGGATTGTTCAGATGATATCTGATGCTTGGCATATTTTTGTATGCTTATTTGCCATCTGTATATTTCTTTGGTGAGGTATCAGTTAAGATTTTTGTCTCGTTTTAAAATCAGATTTTTTGTTTTCTTATTATTGAGATTTAACTGTTTTTTGTATATTTTGGATAGCAGTCCAGTATCAGATATTGTTTGAAAATCTTTTCTCCTAGTCTTTGGCTTATCTTTTTATTACCTTGACTGTGCCTTTCACAGAGGAGGAAATTTTAATTTGAATAAAATTCAGCTTATCTTGTTTTCATGGACTGTGCCTTTGGTGTTGCATCTAAAATGTCATCACCAAACTCACTTTACATTTAGATCTGTGATTCATCTTGAGCTCATTTTTATGAAGGTCGTAGGGTCTGTCTGTGGATTTATTTTGTGCATGTGGATGTCCCGTTATTCTGCCACCATTAATTGAAAGATTATGTTTGCTCCATTGTATTGTCAAAGATCAGTCAACTATATTTATGTGGGTCTGTTTCTGGTCTCTGTATTTTGTTTCATTCATCTGTCTATCCCTTTTTTTGAAATGAGATCTTGGTATATTGCCCAGGCTTGTCTCAAACTCCTGGGCTCTAGGTACATGGCGGGTATATATATTTATGGGGCAGGTGAGATGTTTTGATATAGGCATGCAAGGTGTAATAATTGCTTCATGGAAGATGGGGTATCTAACTCTTCAAGCATTTATGTTTTGTATTTCAAGCAAACCAGTTATACTTTTTTAGTCATCTATTTTTTATTATTTTTAAACAATTTTAGAATTAAATTATTATTGACTATAGCTACCTCATTGTGCTACCAAATACTAGGCCACTTCTATTCATTCTGCGTTTTTTGTACCTATTAATCATCCTCATTCCCTGCCTCCACCACCACCTTCCTCGCTTCCCTTCCCCGCTTCTGGTAACCTTCTTCCTACACTTTATGTCCATAAGTTCAATTGTTTTGACTTTTAGATCCCACAAATAAATGACAACATGCCATGTCAGTCTTTCTCTGCCTGCCTTATTTTGCTTAAACTTGATCTCCAGTTCCATCCATGTTGTTACAAATGACAGGATTTAATTTTTTTATGACTAAATAGCAATCTATCATGTAAATATACCACATTTTATCTATTCAACTGTTGAAAAACACTTAGGTCACTTCCAAATCTTGACTATTTGCAGCAAACATGGGAGTGCAGACATCTCTTTTATATACTGACTTCTTTTGAATATATACCCACCACTGGGATTACTGGATTATATGGTAGCTCTCTTTTATTTTATTTTTTTGAGGAAACTCAGAGTGGTTGTACTAATTTCCATTCCAACCAATAGCATATGATGGTTCCCTTTTTCTCCACATTCTTTCCAGCATTAGTTATTGCCTGTCTTGGATACAAGCCATTTTAACTGGGGTGAGATGGTATCTTATTGTAGTTTTGATTTGCATTTCTCTGATGATCGATGATGTTCAGCACTTTTTCATATGCCTAATTCCCATTTGTATGTCTTCTTCTGAGAAATACCTCTTCAAATCCTGTGCTCATTTTTTATGGTGTTATTGGATTTATTTCTATAGAGTTGTTTGAGCTCCTTATGTGCTCTAGCTGTTAATCCCTTGTCAGATGGATAGTTTGCAAATATTTTCTCTCATTCTTTGAGTTTACTCTTCACTTTGTTGATTGTTTCTTTTGCTGTACACAAGCTTGTTAGCTTGATGTGATCCCATTTGTCCATGTCTGCTTTGGTTGTCTGTGCTCAATAAACGTTTGCCTAGAACAATATCCTGGAGGTTTTCTCCAATTTTTTGTAGTAGCTTCATAATGTGAGGTTGTAGATTAAAATCTCTAGTCCATTTGATTTGATTTTTGTATCTGGTGAGAGATAAAGGTGTGATTTTCTTTCTCTGCATATGAATATACAGCTTTTCCCAGCCCAATTTATTGAAGAGACTCTCTTTTCATCAGTATATGTTTTTGACACCTTTGACAAAAATGAGTTCAATGTAGGTGTGTGGATTTTTTCAGGTTCTCTAATCTGTTCCATTGGTCTATGTGTCTGTTTTTATGCCAGTAACATGCCGTTTTGGTCTATAGCTCCGTAGTATAATTTGAAGTGAGGTAATGTAATTCCTCCAATTTTGTTCTTTTTTAGGATAGCTTTGGCAATTCTGAGTGTCTTCTGGTTCCATATAAACTTCAGATTTTTTTTCCATTTCCATGAAGAATGATATTGGTATTTTGATAAGCATTACATTGAATCTGTATATTGCTTTGAGTAGTATGAACATTTTAAAAATATGGATTCTTCTAATTCATGAACATGGAATTTCTTTCCATTTTACGGTTTCATCTTCAATTTCATTCATTAGTGTTTTACAGTTTTTATTATACGGATATTTTACTTACTTTGGTTAAATTAATTCATAGGTATTTTATTTTAATTTGTGGCTATTGAAAATGAGATTATTGTTTAAAATTTATTGTTCACATTGTTCATTGTTGGCATGTTGAAATGCTACTGATTTTTGTGTGAATTTTGTATTCTGAAACTTGAGTGAATTTATCAGCTTTAATAGTTTTTTTGTAGTCTCTAGGTTTTTCTAAATATAAAATTATACCACCGGCAAACAAGAATACTTTTACTTCTTTCATTCTAATTTGTATGTCATTTATTTCCTTCTGTTAGATTGCTCTAGCTAGGATTTCCAGTACTATGTTGAATAGCAGTAGTAAAAGTGAGAACCCTTGTTGTGTTCCAGATCTTAGAGAAAAGGATTTCAGTTTTTCTCCATTCAGTATGATACTGGCTGTGGGTCTGCCATATGTGGCTTTTATTACATTGAGGTATGTTCTTTCTATACCTAGATTTTTGATGGTTTTTATCAAAAAGGGATGTTGAATTTTATTAAATGCCTTTTCAGCATCAATTGAAATGCTCATATGGTTTTTATTTGTCATTTTATTGATATATCACATTGATTGATTTGTGTATGTTAAACCACCCCTGCATCTCAGGAATAAATCCTATTTGGTCATGATGAGTGATCTTTTAAATGTCTGGTTGAATTTGACATGCTAGTATTTTGTTGAAGATGTTTGCATCAATATTCATCAGAGATCTTGCACAGTGATTTTTTTTGATGTGTTTTTGTCTGGTTTTGGTATCAGGGCAATACTGGCCTCATAGAATGAATTTTAAGTTTTTCCTCCTTCTCTATTTTTTGGAATAGTTTGAGTAGGGTTGGTATTAGTTCTTCTTTAAATATTTTGTGGAATTCAGCAGTAAAGCCATTGAGTTCCAGGCTTTTCTTTACTGATAGATTTTTTTTAACTGCTTTTAACTCATTACTTGTTATTGGTCTGTCCAGGTTTTGGATTTCTCCCTGGTTCCATCATGCTAGGTTGTATGTGCCTAGGAATTTGTACATTTCCCGAATATTCCAATTTATTGGCATATAGTTGCTCATAGTAGCCACTAAAGATTTTTTGAATTCCTGCAGTATCAGTGGCAATGTTTCCTTTTGGATGTCTGATTTTATTCATTTGGATCTTTTCACTCTCCTTTTTTTATGTCTTTTTTTATTTTTATTTTTTATTATACTTTAAGTTTTAGGGTACATGTGCACAAAGTGCAGGTCAGTTACATATGTATACATGTACCATGTTGGTGTGCTGCACCCATTAGCTAGTTATTTAACATTAGGTATATCTCCTAATGCTATCCCTCCCCGCCTCCCCCCACCCCACAACAGGCCCCAGTGTGTGATGTTCCCCTTCCTGTGTCCAAAAGTCTGGCTAAAGGTTTGTCCATTTTATTTAACTTTTCAAAAAAAACTTTTTGTTACATTGATCATTTGTATTGTTTTCTTCATTTAAAATTTCATTTACTTCTGCTATGATTATTATTATTTCTTTTCTCCTATTAATTTTTAGTTTTGTTTGCTCTCACTTCTCTTGTTCTTTAAGATGCATCATTAGATTGTTTATTTGAAGTTTTTCCTCTTTTCTCATGGGCACACTTACTTATAGCTATAAGCTTCTCTCCTAGTATTGGTTTTGCTGTATCTAATAGGTTTTGCTATGTTGTGTTTCTATTATCATTTGTTACAAGAATTGTTTTCAATTTCTTTCTTAATTTTTTCATTGATACACTGGTAATTTGGGAGTATATTGTTTAATTTCCATGTATTTGTATAGTTTCCAAAATTCCTTATTATTGATTTCTAGTTGCATTCTACTGTGGTCAGAGAAGATGCTTGATATTACATCAATGTTTTGAATATTTTAAGACTTGTTTTGTGACCTAACATAAATATTCTTGAGAGTGATCCATGTGCTGAGGAAAAGGATGTGTATTCTGTACCACTTGGAAATGTTCTGCAAATATTTAGCAGATCTATTTGCTCTATAGTGCAGATTAAGTCCAATGTTTCTTTGTTGATTTTCTCTCTGGAAAATCTGTCCAATGCTGAAAGTAGGGTGTTGAAGTCTGGTTCCACCTATTATTGTATAGGGGCCCGTCTCTCTCTTTAGCTCTAATAATATTTGCTTTATATAACTGGATCCTTCAGTATTGGGTGGATATATATTTAAAATTGTCATATCCTCTTGCATTAACCCTTTTATCATTATATAGTGACATTCTTTGTGTCTTCTTACAATTTTTTTCTTGAAATCTATTTTATGTGAGAAAAGTACAGCTACTCCTGCTCTTTCTTGTTTCCATTTGCTTGGAATAACTTTTCCATCTTTCGATTTTCATTCTTTATCTGTGTTTATAGGTGACGTGTGTTTCTTGTAGGCAACAGATCAAGGGGGTCTTGTTGTTGTTGTTGTTGTTTTTCCATTCAGCTACTATGTGTCTTTTGATTGGAGAGCTTAGTCCATTTACATTAAATGTTATTATTGGTAGGTAAGGACTTACTTCCATTTTGTTATTTGTTTTCTGGTCTTCTCTTTGTTCTTGATTTCCTTTCTCTCATCCTTCAGCAAAGGTGATTTGCTCTGGTGATACAATTTCGTTTCTGGCTTTTAAAAAATATTCATTGTATTTTGTTTGGTTTGAAGTTACCATAAGGCTTGTAAATTCTTTTTTTAAAATTATACTTTAAGTTCTGGGGTACATGTGCAGAACAGGCAGGTGTGTTACATAGGTATATACACATGTCATGGTGGTTTACTGCACCCATCAACCTGTCATTTACATTAGGCATTTCCCCTAGTGCTATCTCTCCCCTAGCTCCCCACTCCCAGACAGGCCCCAGTATGTGATGTTCCCCTCCCTGTGTCCATGTATTCTCATTGTTCACCTCCCACTTATAAGTGAGAACATGCAGTGTTTGGTTTTCTGTTCTTGTGTTAGTTTGCTGAGAATGATGGTTTCCAGCTTCATCCATGTCCCTGCAAAGGACATGAACTCATCCGTTTTTATGGCTGCATAGTATTCCATGTTATATGTGTGCCACATTTTCTGTATCCAGTCTATCATTGATGGACATTTGGGTTGGTTCCAAGTCTTTGCTATTGTGAATAGTGCCACAATAAACATACGTGTGCGTGTGTCTTTATAGTAGAATGATTTATAATCCTTTGGGTATATACCCAGTAATGGGATTTCTGGGTCAAATGGTATTTCTGGTTCTAGATCCTTAAGGAGTCGCCACACTGTTTTCCACAATGATTGAACTAATTTACACTCCCATCAACAGTGTAAAAGTGCCAGAACTTTGGTAGGCTGAGAAGGGCGGATCATGAGGTCAAGTGATTGAGACCATCCTGGCCAACATGGTGAAAACTCATCCCTACTAAAAATATAAAAATTAGCTGGGCATGGTGGCACCTGCCTGTAGTCCCAGATACTCAGGAGGCTGAGACAGGAGAATTGCTTGAACTTGGGAGGCGGAGGTTGCAGTGAGTCGAGATCATACCACTGCACTTCAGCCTTTTGACAGAGAGAGACTGCGTCTCAAAAAAAAAATTATATCTTATAATACATTAATTTAAGGTGATAGCAACACTTTTTGCGTAAACCAACATACAATCCAAAAACCTAGTGAAAACCCAACGCCATAACTTCGTATCCCGCTTTTTAATTTTTGTTGTTTCTATTTGTACCTTATTGTACTCTATGTCTTCAAACGTCATTGTAGTTATTATTTTTTATTAGTTTATCATTTAGTCTTTCTACTTAGGATAACAGTAGTTTACACACCAAAATAATAATGGCATAATATTCTGTGTCTTTCTGAGTACTTAATATTAACAGGGAGTTTTTTTACCTTCAGGTAGTTAGTGATTTTTCATTAATATTCTTTTTTTTTTTTTTCTGAAGTACTCCCTTTAGCATTTCTTGTAGGACAGGTTTACAGTTGATAACATTCCCCAGCTTTTACTTGTCTGGGAAGGTACTTCTCCTTCATGTCTGAAGGGTATTTTTACTGCATATGCCATTCTAGGGCAAAAGGTTTGCTTTAAGCACTTTCAATGTTATGCCACTCTCTCCTGGCCTGTGAGAGTTCCACCGATAAGTCTGCTACCAGATGTGTTGGAGTTCCATTGTATATTATTTGTTTCTTTTCTCTTGCTGCTTTTAGGATGCTTTCTTTATCCTTGACCTTTGGGAGTTTGATTATTAAGTGGTGGTCTTTGGGTTAAGTCTGCTTGGTCTTTTATTTACTTCTTGTAGTTGCACATGATATCTTTCTCTAGGTCTGGAAAGTTATTTGATAGTATCATTTTGATACTCTTTCTACCTTTATCTCTTACTCTGCCTCCTCTTTAAGGCTAATAGCAGTTAGATTTGCCCCTTTGAGGCTATTTTCTACATGGTGTAGATGTGGTTCATTGTTATTCAATCATTTTTATTTTGTCTCCTCTGACCGTACATTTTTAAATAGCCTGTCTTCAGGCTCACAGATTCTTTCTTCTACTTTATAAATTTGGCTATTAAAAAACTCTGAGGCATTCTTCAGTATGCCAATTGCAATTATTAGCTCCAGAATTTCTGCTTGATTATTTTTTGTCATTTCAATCTCTTCGTTAACTTTATCTCATAGGATTCTGAATTCCTTCTCTGTGTTATTTTGAATTTTTTTGAGTTTCCTCAAAAGAGCTATTTTGAATTCTTTGTCTGAAAAGCCACACTTCTCTGTTTCTCTAGGATTGGTTCCTGGTGACTTACATAGTTCATTTTTTGAGGTCACATTTTCCTGGTTTATCTTGATGCTTATAGATATTTGTCAGTTTCTGGGCATTGAAGAATTACATATTTATTGTAGTGCTCTCAGTCTGTGCTTATTTGTACCTGTCCTTCTGCTATGGCTTTCTAGATATTTTAAAGAACTTAGGGATTGTGATCTTAGCTTCATCTGTTTTAGAGGGCACCCTAAGCCCAGTAATACTGTGGTTCTTGTAGATTCACAGAGGTACTGAGTTTATGGTCTTGGACAAGATCCAGAGGAATTTTCTAGGTAACCATGCGGAAACTCTTATTCATTTTTCTTACTTCCACTAAATAAACAGAGTCTCTCTCTCTCTGTTCTGAGCCCCCTGAACCTGAGTGTGTAGTAACACAAGGACTCCTGTGGCCACCACCACTACGACTGTGCTTGGTCAGACCTAAAGCCAGCATAGCACTGGTTCTCACCCAAGGCCTGATGTAACCACTCCCTGATTATCTCCTATGTTTGCTCAATGCACTGGTGCTCTACAATCAGCATGTGGCAAAGCCAGCCAGACCTGTGTCCTTCCCTTCAGGGTAGAGAGTTCCCCCTGGCCTTGGGTTGATCAAGAGATGCTGTCTTGGAGCCAGGGACTAGAATCAAGAACCTTATAAGTCTACCATCTATTATATTGTATTGTGGCTGAGCCTGCACTCAAACCACTAGATGCAGACTTTCACACTCCTCCTTCCCCTCTCCAAAGACAGAAGTGCCTCTACCCATGTCCACTATGATTACAAGCCCATGTGGAGTATCACCAGGCTATTGCCCATGTTCCTGTAAGGCCCAACAGCTCTTCAGTCAGCCTGTGGTAATTGCTGCCTGGGATGGAACTCACCCTTCCAGGCATTGGGCTCTCCTCTGGCCCAGGGCAGGTCCAGAAATAATGTCCAAGATTCAAGTCCTGGAATCCGGGATCAAAAGTGCCTGCTTGATGCTTACCACTCTTTGGTCAAGCTGGTACCTAAGGTGCAAGACAAAGTCCCCTTTACTTTTCTATCTGCTTTTCTTAACCAGAAGGACTCTCATCCAATAGACAACACAGCTGGGAAGGTGCTGAGTCTCAAATTAAGCCAAGAAGTCAGAGTCTCATCCAAATTTCTGGATATACTTCCTGGGGATAACTGCTGGTTATTCAGGATGCAATGGCTCTATGGTTTGTAGGTGATGAATGCTGTCAGGACAAGGTTCTTCTCTTCAAGGCAGCAGGTTCCCTTTTGGCCTATGGTGTGTTTAGAAATTTCATTCAGGAGCTAGGGCCTGGAAAAGGGGCCTCATGAAGCTGACAGGTGCCCTATCTTGCTGTGGCTCAGCTCTTATACAAGATGCAAGGAAAGTCCTCCCCAGTCTTTTCTCTCCTCTCCTAAAAAAAAAAAAAAAAGGAATGTGTTTCCTTTGGAGCTGCAAGCTGTGCAGCCTGGAGTTAGGGAAGGGATGATGCCAGTATTCCCTTATCTGCTTCAGCTGGTATCTTGGTAGGTCATGTGCCTTCCTACTCCACTAATCTTGGGCCCAGTTCAGCACTAGGATTCACCTAGGCCTTTCAGTCCTTGTGGCCTAGATTGCCTTTCAAGTTTATTTAGGGTCCCAGAATGCTTTAGCCTGCTTTGGCGAGGTTTGTGGGAACCGAAGTTTAGGCTGCTGGGATTGGCTATTCCTCTCTGGCTATGGCTGTTTTAAATGCTCACTCCATGGATGAGCATTAGCTGACTTTGTTCTAGCTTTATTTTCTGCTATAACAGGAGTACTGAGTTCAATTCCTCACAACTTCTGCAGTTTCTCTTTCCCTAGCACATAGGAACACTCTTTGCACCATACATCCACTGCTGGGAGATTGGGAAGGGGTGGTGTGGACAATTCAAGACTGTCTTTTTCTACCTCTTCAGTGCTTCCTTTCAGTAATATGAAGTTAAAACCACATACTGTGAGTGCTTACCTAATTTTTCAGTTCTTAACGATGGTGCTTTTTTGTGTAATTATTTGTTCAATTTGTGTCCTAGTGGGGGTTTAATGATCAATAGAGCCTTCTATTCTGTTATCTTGCTCTCATCCTCTATTTTCTGTTTTTTTGTGGATAGAAAAGATATATGTTTCCTGTAAAATTATTTTAGTTTAGAATATTATTATTTTTATTAATACCTCAGAGCGAATGTGTTTGATATTATGATGTTGGGCAATAGACACAGATGGGTTACTGGCATCGACAAAGACTCAATGTTCATACACAGTTGTAAAATTGGGATACCTGCCTCTTACAACAATAGAAAATATTAAGGATATTACAAGTGAACAAGGCTAGGAAGGTGCAGAAGGAGAGTACTTCAACATAATAAAAGCTATGTAAGACAAGCCTACAGCTAGCAGTATACTCAACCAGTGAAAAGTGGAAAGCTTTTACTCTAAGATGAGGAGAAAACAAAGATGCCCACTTTCACCACTTGGATTCACCACAGTAGTAAAAGTCCAAGCCAGAACAAATTCAGCAAGAAAATGTATAAAAGCCATCTTAATAAGAAGTTAAATTGTCTCTTTTTGCAGATGACAGGATCTTATATATAGAAAACATTAAAAATTTCATTAAAAATTGTTAGACCTAATAAATTCAACAAAGTTGCAGGATACAACATACAAAAATTTGTTGTGTTTTTATGCACTAGTCATGAACAATCTGAAGAGGAAATTGAAAAAAACAATCCCACTTCCAATAATGCCAAAAAGAAGACCATATTTAGGACTGAAAATGTGGGGCAAGATGGCAGAATATAAGGGCTCAACCAATTGTTGCCCCACAAAAACACCAATTTAACAACTACCTACACAGGAAAAAAAGAAACATCTTTAAGAACCAAAACTCAAGGAAGCATTCACAGTACCTAGTTTTAACTTCATATCACTGAAAGAAGCATTGAAGAGGTAGAAAAAACAGTCTTGAATCACTGACCCCACTCATCCTCCATCCCCCTGGCAGTGGTAGTGCAGTGCAGAGATTGTTTCTGTGCCCTAGGGAGAGGGTGAGCCAGCAATTGTGTCATTGAACTCAGTACTGTCTATTATAGGAGAAAGGAAAACCAGAGCACACTCAGCTGATGCCCACCCACAGAGTAAGAATTTAAACCAGCCATAGACAGAGGAGAATCACTGATCCCAGCAGTCAGAACTTGAGTTTTCGCAAGCCTGGACAATGTGGGCTAAAGTGCTCTAGGTCTGTAAATAATTTGGAAAGGCAGTCTAAGCCACAAGGACTGCAACTCATAGGCATGTCCCAGTGTTAAATTGGGCTAAGAGCCAGTAGACTGGGGGCTCACACAACCAACTGACATATGAGCTGGGGCAGCAAAAGGAATACTGGCATCATCCCTCCTTTAACTCAGGCTGCACAGCTTATAGCTCCAAATGAGATTCCTTCCTTATGCTTCAGTGGAGGGGAAGTAAGAGTGGGGAAGACTTTGTCCTGCATCTTTGATACCAGCTCAGCCACAGCAGGATGGGGCACTGGTAAGAGCTGTGAGGTCCCTTTTCAGGCCCCAGCTCCTAGAAAACAGTTCTAGACATACTCTGAGACATGAGGGAACCCACTTCCCTGAAGGGAAGGATCTAGTCCTGGCAGCATTCATCACCTTCTAACTGAGGAGCCCTTGGGCCCTGTATAGCCAGCAACAATATTGAGATACTACCTTGATGGCTTTGAGTGAGACTCTGAAACTATCTGGACTCAGGTGAGACTTAGCAAATTCCTCACTATGGTGGCTACTATGGTGATGAAAAAGAATCAAGCAGAAATTCTGGGGCTGAAAATTGCAATCTGCTTACTAAACAATGCATCAGTCTTTAATGGCAGAATTGATCAAGCAGAAGAAAGAGTTAGGGAGCTTAAAGACAGTTTATTTGAAAATACAGACACAGAGGAGACAGAAGAAAAAGAAAAAAGAATGAAGAGCAATGAAGCACACCTACAGGATCTAGAAGATAGTGTCAAAAAGGAAAATCTAAAAGTTCCTGGCCTTAAAGAGGAGATAGAGAAAGAGATAATGGCAGACAGTTGTTCAAAGGGATTATAACAGGAAACGTCCCATACCTAGGGAAAGATATTAATATACAAGTACAATAAGGTTATTGAACACCAAGCAGATTTAACTCAAAGAAGATTACCTCAAGGCATCTAGTACTCAAACTTCCAAAAGTCAAGGATAAAGAAGGATCTTAAAAGCAGCAAAAGAAAAGAAACAAGCAACATACAATAGTGCTCCAATACATCTGGCAGCAAGCATTTCAGTGGAAATCTTACATTCCAGAAGAGAGTGGTACGACATATTTAAAGCACTGAAAGAAAAAAATAACTACCCAAGAATAATATATCCAGTGAAAATATTCTTCAAACATGAAGGAGAAATAGTTTCTTAGACAAACAAAAGCTGAGGGATTTTATTAACACCAGATCTGTCCTATAGCAAATTCTAAAGGGGGCCCTTCAATCGAAAAGAATATTAAAGAGCAAAAGGTAATCATCTGAAGGTAAAAAAATCACTGGGAATAGTAAATACATAGAGAAACAGATAATTTTATAACACTGTAACTGTGATGTGTACTTTAGTCTTATCCTAAGTAGAGGGACTAAATGATGAGCTCATCAAAATAATAACTAGAACAACTTTTAGAGACATAGAGAATACAGCGAGAAATAAATAGGTACAACAAAAAGCTAAAAAGTGGGGAGACAAAGTAAAGGCTTATAGTTTTTATTAGTTTTTTTTTTTGCTCCTTTTTTTTAATGCAAAGAGCATGAAGGTGCCATCAGCTTAAAATGATGGGTTATAAGTTAATGTTTGAAGCCTTATGGTAACTTGTAACAAAAGCATAGAGTAAATGCACAAAATATAAAAATGGAGACACTAACTCATATCACCAGAGAAAATCACCTTCAGTAAAAGACAGGAAAGAAATAAAGAAAGAAAGAAGTAATAAAAGACCACAAAGCAACCAGAAAACAAATAACAAAATGGTAGGAGTAAGTCTTTACTTACCAATAATAACATTGAATGTAAATGGACTAAACCTTCCAAACAAAAGACAGAGTGGCTGAATGGATAAAAAAGAAAAACTACAAGGCTACAGTAACCAAAACAGCATGGTACTGGTACCAAAACAGATATATAGACCAATGGAACAGAACAGAGGCCTCAGAAATAACACCACACATCTACAACCATCCGATCTTTGACAAACCTGACAAAAACAAGCAATGGGGAAAGGATTCCCTATTTAAGAAATGGTGTTGGGAAAGCCATATGCAGAATTCCCTATTTAATAAATGGTGTTGGGCTAGCCATGTGCACAAAACTGAAATTGGACCCCTTCCTTACACCTTATACAAAAATTAACCCAAGATGGATTAAAGAGTTAAATGCAAAACCTAAAACCATAAAAAATCCTAGAAGAAAACCCAGGCAATACCATTCAGGACATAGGCATGGGCAAATACTTCATGACTAAAACACCAGAAGCAATGGCAACAAAAGCCACAATTGACAAATGGGATCTAATTAAACTGGAGGGCTTCTGTACAGCAAAAGAAACTATCATCAGAGTGAACAGGCAACCTACAGAATGGGAGAAAATTTTTTCAATTTATCCATCTGACAAAGGGCTAATATCCAGAATCTACAAAGAACTTAAACAAATTTACAAGAAAAAAAACAAACAACCCCATCAAAAAGTGGGCAAAGGGTATGAACAGACACTTCTCAAAAGAAGACATTTATGCAGCCAACAAACAAATGAAAAAGAGCTCATCATCACTGGTCATTAGAGAAATGCAAATCAAAACCACAATGAGATACCATCTCACACCAGTTAGAACGTCTATCATTAAAATGTCAGGAAACAACAGATGCTGGAGAGGATGTAGAGAAATAGGAACATTTTTACACTGTTGGTGGGAGTGTAAATTAGTTCAACCATTGTAGAAGACAGTGTGGCGATTCTTCAAGGATCTAGAACCAGAAATACCATTTGACCCAGAAATCTCATTACTGGGTGTATACTCAAAGGATTATAAATCATTCTACTATAAAAACACATGAACATGTATATTTATTGCAGCACTATTCACAATAGCAAAGATTTGGAACCAGCCCAAATGTCAATCAATGATAGACTGGATAAAGAAAACATGGCACATCTACACCATGGAATACTATGCAGCTGTAAAAGAGGATGAGTTCATGTCCGTTGCAGGGACATGGATGGAGCTGGAAACCATCATTCTCAGCAAACTAACACAACAACAGAAAACCAAACACTGCATGTTCTCACTTATAAGTGGGAGTTGAACAATGGGAACACATGGAAACAGGGAGGGGAACATTACACCCTGGGGCCTGTCAGGAATGGGGGGCTAGGGGAGGCATAGCATTAGGAGATATACCTAATGTAGGTTACAGGTTGATGGGTGTAGCAAACCACCATGGCACATGTATACCTATGTAGCAAAACTGCACATTCTGCACATGTACCCTAGAACTTAAAGTATAATAATAATAAAAAAAGAAAATGTGGTATATATACAACATGGACTACTAACTCAGCCATAAAAAGGAAAGAAATAATGTCTTCTGCAGCAACTTGTATGGAGCTGGAGGCCATTATTCTAAGTAAAGAAACTCAGGAATGGAAAATCAAATGTCGTACGTTCTCAATTGTAAGTGGGAACTAAGTTAGGAGAATGTAAAGGGATTGGAATAATGTAATGGACTTGGAGGAAAGGGTGGGAGAAGGGTGAGTGATTAAAGACTACACACTGGGTACAGTGTATATGGCTTGGGTGACAGGTGCACCAAAATCTCAGAAATGACCACTAAAAAACTTACCCATGTAACCAAAGACTATTGAAAGAAAAATAAAATAAAATAAAAAGTCAAAAAAAGAAGAAAAAAAAAACAAGACCCAGTAACCTGTTGCCTATAAGAAACACAATTCACCTATAAAGGCATACATACACTTAAAATAAAGGGATGGGAAAAGATATTCCAGCGAACGAAACTTCAAAAAAGCAGGAGTATTATATTTATATTAGACAAAATAGATAACAAAACGAAAAGTATAAGAAGAGATAAAGAAAGTCACTTTATTATGATAAAGGGGTAAATTCATCAACAGGATATATCACATTTAAATACGTATGCACCCAACACTGGAACACCCAGATATATAAAACAATTATTATTAGAGCTAAAGAGAGAGATAGGCCCCAATATAACAATAGCTGAGATTTCAACATCCCATATTTAGCGTTGGACAGATCTTCCCAGTCAGAAAATCAACAAAGAAACATCAGAATCAATCTGTACTATACGGCAAACGGATTTAATAGATATTTACAAAATATTTCATCCAACAGCTGCAGGATACACATTTTTTTCCTCAGCAAATTGATCATTCCCAAGGATAGAGCATATGTGAGGTCATAAAACAAGTCTTAAATCATTCAAAAATTATATAATATCAAGCATCTTCTCTGATCACAATGGAATAAAACTACAAATCAATAACAGGAGGAATATTTGAAACTATATAGATACATGAAATTTTAAAAATACATTTCTGAATGACAAGTGGGTCAATAAAGAAATTGAAAAATTTCTTAAAACTAATGATAATGGAAACACAACATACCAAATATGTGAGATAGAGTAAAAGCAGTGCTAAGAGGGAAGTTTATTGCTATATGTGCCTAAATCAAAAAAGAAGAAAGATGTCAAATTAATAACCTAATATTGCATCGTGGAGAGCTAGAAAAGCAAGGGCAAATCAAACCAAAAATTAACTTTAAAAGAAATAATGAAGATTAGAACTTCAAAAAATTTCAAAGAAAAATAAAATTGAAATGAAAACAATACAAAAGATCAACAAAACAAAAAGTTGTTTTTAAAAATGTTAAACAAAATTGACAAATTTAGTTAGACTAACTACGAAAAAAAAGAGAGAAGACCTAAATAAATAAAATCAGAGATGAAATCAAAGATATTACAATAGATACTGCCAAAATTCAAAGAAACATTAGTAGCTACTATGAGCTACTATATGCCAGTAAATTGGAAAATCTAGAGAACATGGATAAATTCCTAGACATTTACAGCCTACCCACATTGAACCAGGAAGAAATCCAAAACCTCAACAGACCAATAACAAGTAACGAGATTGAAGCTTTAATAAAGGTGTCCCAGTAAAGACAAGCCCAGGACCCAATGGCTTTACTGCTTAATTCTACCACACATTTAAAAAACTCATGGTAGTCCTACTCAAAGTATTCTAAAAGATAGAGGAGAAAGGAAAATTTTCAAACTCATTCTACAAGGCCAGAATTACCCTGATGCAAAAACCAAAGACACATAAAAAAGAAATCTGTAGGCCAATATCTCTGATGAATATTGATACAAAAATTCTCAACAAAATACTAGCAAACCAAATTCAACAATATATAAAAAAGATCATTCATCATGAGCAAGTGGGATTTATCCCAGGGTTGTCATGATTGTTCCACATATGCAAATCAATCAATGTGATGCATTATACTAACATAATGAAAGACAAAACCTTATGATCATTTCCATTGATGCTGAAAAGCATTTTATAAAATTCAACATCCCTTCATGATAAAAACCCTCAAAAGACAGGGGATAGAAGGAATATACCTCATAATAAAAGCCATATATCAAAGACCCACAACTAATATCATACTGAATTGGGAACAACTTAAAGCCTTTCCTGTAAGATCTGGAACACAACAAGGATACTAACCCTCACCACTGGTATTTAACATAGCAATGGAAGTCCTAGCTAGAAAAATTGGACAAGAGGAAGAGATAAAAATTATTCAAATTGGAATGGAATAAGTCAAATCATGCTTGTTTACAGATAATATAATTTTATATTTGGAAACACTTAAAGACCCCACCAAAAAACTGTTATAACTGATTAAAAAATTCAGTAATGTTGCAAAATGCAAAATCAACATACAAAACTGAGTAGCATTTCTATTTGCCAACATTGAGCAATCTAAAAAATAAAAATATAAAAACTCTTATTTACAGTAGCCACAAATAAAATCAAATATCTAGGAAATAACCAAAGAAGTGAAAAATAATAATGAAATTATAAAACACTGATAAAAGAAATTGAAGAGGACACTAAAAAATTGAAAGATGTTTCATGTTCATTGATTGGAAGAAGAATTAATATTGTTAAAATGCCCTTGCTTCCCAAAGCAATCTAGAGATTTAATGCAACCCCTATAAAAATACCACTGATGCTCTTCACAGAAATACAATAAATAATCCTAAAATTTGTATAGAAACGAAAAAGACCCAGAACAGTCAAAACTATCCTAAGCAAACAGAACAAAACTGGAGGAATCACATTATCTGACTTTAAATTTTTCTACAAAGCTGTAGTAACCAAAACAGCATGGTACTGGAATAAAAAACAGAATCATAGATCAAGGAAACAGAATAGAAAACCCAGAAACATATCCATTCACCTACAGTAAACTCATTTTTGACAAAGGTGCCAAAAGCATACACTAAGGAAAAGACAGTCTCTTCAATAAATGGTGCCAGGAAAACTGGATATTCATTTACAGAAGAGTAAAACTAGAGCACTATCTATCTCTCACCATGTACAAAAATCAAATGAAAATGAGTTAAAGACTTAAATCTAAGACCTCAAACTGTAAAACTACTACAAGAAAACTTAGGGAAGAATCTCAAGTACATTGTTCTGGGCAAAAATATCTTGAGTAATGCCCCACAATCACGGGCAACCAAACCAAGAAGGAACATATGGGATCCAATCAACTTAGAAAACTCCTGGACAGCAAAGGAAACAAAGTAAAGAGACAACCTACAGAATGGGAGAAAATATTTGCAAACTACCCATCTCACCAGAATATATAAAACGCTCAAACAACTCTATAGGAAAAAAATCTAATAATCCAACAAGAAAATGAACTCGATATTTGAATAAGTATTTCTCAAAAGAAGACATACAAATGGCAAACAGGCTTATGAAAAGGTGCTCATCATTGATCATCAGATAAATGCAAATCAAAACTACAATGAAATATCATCTCACCCCACTGAAAATGTCTTATATTCAAAAGACGGGCAATAACAAATGCTGGTAAGGATGTGGAGAAAACGGAAGTCGTGAACACTGTTGATGGGAATGTAAATTACTAAAACCACTATGGAGAACAGTTTGGAGAATCCAGTAATTCTGCTTTTCATTATATACCTCAATAAAGTAAATGAGTATATTGAAAAGATATCTGCACTTACATGTTTGTTCCAGCACCATTCCTAGTAGTCATGATTTAGAAGCAACCTATGTATCTATCAACAGATGAATGGATAAAGAAAATCTGATACATATATACAATGAATTACTCTTGTAAAAATAATGAGATTCTGTTATTTGCAATAATATGGATCAAAATGGTAATCATTATCTTAAGTGAAATAAGCCAGGCACAGAAAGACAAACATCGCATGTTTTCACTTATTTGTAGTATCTAAAATTAAAAGCAATTGAGCTCATTGACATAGTGAGTAGATGAATTGTTACCAGAAGATGCAAAAGGTAGTAGAGGAATTGGGGGGCGGGGGTTGGGGATGCTTAATGAGCACAAAAAATAGAAAGAATGAATAAGACCTATGATTTCATAGCATAACAGCGTGATATCGTCAATAATAATTTAATTGTACATTTTAAAATAACTTAAAAAGTAGAATTGAATTGTTTTTAATACAAAGAACGAATGCTTGAGGGGATAGAAACCCCATTCGCAATAATGTGATTATTTCATATTTCATGCTTGTATCAAAATATCTCATGTACCTACAAAAAACAAAGAATGAAAACATGGAAATGAAATGAGTTATCCTTTCATGTTAAGTTCAGATTCATTTAAATAAAGGAAATATTAAAAAAATTAAAAGATATTTAGGAGTAAGTTTAACTAAGTGGATGAATGATCTACATACTGAAAACTATAAGATATTGATAAAAAATTGAAGACAAATAAATGTAAAGATATTCCATGCTTATGGATTGAAAGACTTAATATTAATAAAATACCTGCATTATGCAAAAGTATGTACAGATTCAATACAATTCCTACAAAAGTCCAAAGGGCATTTTTCACAGACAAAGAGAAAACAATCCTCATGTTTGTATGGAACAACAAAAGACCCCAAATAACCAAAGAAATCTTGAGAAAGGAAAACAGAGCTAGAAGCCTCACATTTCTTGATTTCAAACTTTATTACAATCCTATTGTAATAAAAAGAATATGATACTTTCAGTGAAAAAAGACACAGAAACCAATGAAACAGAATTGATTGTCCAAAACTAAACCCACGCATATACAGTCAACTAATCTTCAAGGGTTTCAGGAACACACATTAGGAAAGTGATAGTCTCTTCCAAAAATGGTGTTTGTAAAACTGGATATCTACATGCAAAAGAATAAACAGAACCCTTGTCTTATACCATATACAATAATAAACTCAAATATATTAAAGACCTAAAAGTAACGTGTGAAGCAATAAAATTTGTAGGAGAAATCATAGAGAGAAAGCTCCTTAACAGTGAGTTTGAAAATGTTTATTTGGATGTGATGTCAAAAGCACAGGCAACAAGAGCCAAAAAAAAAAAAAAAAAAAAAAAAAAAAATCCCAAAACAAAAAACAAGTGAGATTACATCAAACTAAAAAATCTTCTGCACAGCAAAGGAAATAATCAACAGAATAAAGAAGCAACCTATGGAATGAGAGAAAATGTTTGCAAACCATAAACTATCTCCTATGAAGTTAATGTCCAAAATATATAAGGAGCTCATGCAATTAAATAGAAAAAAACAAAAATAACCTGATTAAAATATGGGCAAAGGACATGGATAAACATGTTTCCAAAGAAGACATACGAATGGTTAACCAATACATGAAAAGGTGCTCAATGTCACTAATCATCAGGGAGATGCAAATCAAAACCACAATGAAATATCACCTCACACATGTTAGGATGGCTATTATCAAAAAGACCAGAGATAACAAGTATTGGCAAGAGTATAAAGAAAAGGGAGCCAGTACACAGTTGGTAGCAATGGAAATTAGTACAGCCATTATGCCAAAAAATTAAAAATAGAGCTACCTTATGATCCAGGATTCTCATTTCCAGGTACATATACAATTGATATCCCAAAGAGTTATCTGCACTTCTATGTTTATTGCAGCACTATTCACAATAGACAAGATATGAAAACAACCTAAGTGTCCATTAATGCATGACATTTAGGTTCAAGAAAATATGGTGTATGGTATATATACACACATATATATACACACACACTATATATATATGCACACATACTGGAATATTATTCAGCCATAAAAGAAGGAAATCTTACCATCCACAAGAACATAGAAATTTACTTAGCTTATTTCTAAGCTTCCATCTGAGACAACATAGATATTTACTTACTTCACTTAGCATAATGGACAATCTGGAGTGCATTAAGAGGGTGGTTGCCAGGAATTGGGGATTAGGGAAAATGGGTAGATGTTAGGATACACATTTTCAGTTATGAGATGAATAATTTCTGGGGATCTAATGTACAACATTGTTACTATAATTAATGATATTGTATTGTTTAATTGAAATTACTAGGACAGCAGAGCTTAACTGTCCTCACTGCACACACACATACACACTTGTGGAAATAGTAACTATGTGTGGTGAAGGATGTGTTAGTTAATTTGATTGTGGCAATTATTACTCAATGCACATGTATATCTTATTATGTTATTATACATTTAATATATACAATTTTTTTGTCAATAATATATCAATAACCCTGGAAAAAACAATGTTAAATTTGAAAATACCTGATTCCTCAATCATTTGCATCTCACTGTTAAATATTGGTAGGCAACTTGATGAATATTTTCAAGCTGGTGTTTGAATATATGTAATATTTACGTTACAGTTGAGCCCTTTACAGTGTTGTTTATGGTAACGAGAGTTAGATAAATGTATTTGGTTACATGGACAATTTATTTGTGAAAATGGTTTGCTACCTCCAGTAATCTGGACAGTAAGTTCATGCCCTTACATTTGTTTAGTATTTCTATGCTTTACAAAGCATCTTCATTTACATGATTTCATTTAATTTTCCCAAAAGCCCTCCGTAGTAGATAGGACAGGTGTAATTCCCATTTTGCAGTTGAGTAAGGTGATGTAGATTATTTAATCGCTTTGATTAAGGTCTCAGAATTAGTTAACTAGGAACCTGATCTCCTGATTCCAGTTTCCCTCATTATACTGCCTCCATATATGTATCTTCAAATAGCAGAGAATTGCTACTTATTATACGGTTTTAGCTTTCCATTCCTGTGTAGAGAAGGTGAATAAATGGAGATGCCTTGGCAGCATTTTGCAGATATGCTAAGTATGTTAATGTGTTCATAAGTAGTTGAAAAATGTAATTCTATAACTTCATCATGATTGATAGTGTCATTTTGTTCTTGTGTACTTTTCAGTTTTTCAAGTACATGTAATAAGTAACAGTCTTGGTTGGTTGTTTTATTGGGTACTCACATGCTGTTTGAGAGGACCCCATTCATAGTCTTTTTGAAAATTTTTACCCTAGTAGTCCTTTTTTCATTTAGGTTTAAGTTTAGCTGTAGCAGAGATTCAGAATAGCAATAACTTAAAAAAACAATACAGTTGATTATAAGACAGGCAGTCTGGCACATGGAGGAGAAATTCATAAATCTATTGGGGAATATAGATTTGTTATATACAGTTTCTTTTTCATCCTCAACGTATATCTTCAACTTCATTGTCCAAAATGTTTGCTGAACTGCTCTCAGCTACGACACTTGCGGAAAAAGTAAAGAAGGACATGCCTCCTCCCTTTTAAGTACATTTCCCAAACATTGTGTATGGTGCCACTTTCATTTTACTGGCGAGAGTATAGTTACATGGCCAAAGCTCACTGCAAAGGAAGCTAAGAAATACTATGTTTATTCTAAGTGGCCAATATGCTCAACCAAAATTTATGGTATACTACCAAGGAGAAAAGGAATGAGTATTGTGGGGATATAGCTCAATCTTTGTGGATATCTATCACCCTTCTTTAGAAGGGGATTTAGATTTAGTTTCAGGATACCAACTCCTATTTTTGCCAATAAATTGCAATGAACTCGCTCAATTGTAAGAACTTCAGCTGATATTTGAAAATTGGAGAAAAAGAGGAGGAGAATAGCAATCTGTTTTTTTCAGAATACCACCTGTTTTCCTCTTCAAACACCTTCATTGGAATTGTCTATAAATAGTTCTTCTCTGTCTATTGTTACTCTCCCAGAACAAGGCCAGACTACATCGTGCCTATTCAAGGCCATGCAACAGGATGCACTGCATTAACCATTAATGTCTTGACATTTTCCCTATTAATTTACATAATTTTGAACTGACTGATATAAAAACAGAACATAACAAGTTCATCCCATGAGATTAAATTCAGACACAAAAACTGAATTAAACTGAATTAAAAATGAAGAAACATATTGAAAATTTTCTTTCTGATCACATATTCTCTAGTTTACCAACAGAGGGCTCTGTAGGTTTATTTTATTTTTTGGTTGCTCTGTACTTTTCAATTACAGCTTCCTTACATTTGGAAGTACACCATATTATCCAGGGTCAAATAAATAATTGTTATATTGTGTCTGTGAAATATACCATAGATCATTGATCTATAACACCAGAACCCTCAAGTCACTTGTGGATTAATATAATTAACATAGTATTTAATAGTTAATATAAATTAGCATGGTATTTTGCTGAGGACATGCTACTTAAAATTAATTATATGTAAAATTATATATAAAATTAATTATATATTTATATATATATATTCTGGAAAATATTAACAGACTCAGAAAAGAAATTGCTTTTAGCTTTTTTCCTCAGAATGAACTACATGTTCAGTTTAAATTGAGACTTTAACAATTCATTACGTCTATCACTGAAACATTGAAATGCTAACTTGAAAATTTTCTTAAAATATAATTTTCAACCTAGTCATAACTTTTAAGAATAGAAAAAATAAAATTTTAAAAATTGTTCTTAATATCAGTTGGAAATTTAAGTGAAATATATGGTTTTTCTAGTAACATCTATACTTCACTTTTCTAAAAATAATTTTTTACATTTAAAAAATTTATTTTTTATTTTTATGAATACATAATAGTTTTACATGTGATATTTTGATACAAGCATGCAATGTATAATGATGAAATCAAAGAAAGTAGAAAAGCTATCACCTCAAGCATTTGTCATTTATTTGTGTTAGGAACGTCCTGATTTCACTCTCCCAGATATTTTGAAATATATAGAACGTTATTGTTATCTATACTCGCCCTATTGTTCTACCAAACACTATATCTTACTTTTTCAATCTAACTGTATTTTTGTACTCATTAACCGGTCCCTCTTTATTCCCCCTTACCCACTACCCTTCCCAGCCTCTGGTAACCATCCTTCTACTCTCTATTAGATCAATAGTTTTTTTGGCTTCCACACATGAGTGAGGACAAGCAATATTTGTTTTTCTGTGCCTGGCTTATTTTAACTATCACAATTTCCTCTAGTTTCATCCATGCTGCTGCAAATAATAGGCTTTTATTTCTTTTTAAGGCTAAATCCTATTGTGTATATCTTTTTTAATCCATTCATCCATTGATGAGCACTAGGTTGATTCCATATCTTGGCTATTGTGAATAGACCTGCAATAAACATGGGAGTGCAGATATCTATTTGACACACTAGTTTCCTTTATTTTGGATATATTATACCCACCTGTGGGATTGCTGGACCATATGATAGTTCTGTTTTTAGTTTTTTGAGGAATATCTATACTGTTTTCTATAGTAGCCGAACTAATTAACATACCTACCAACAGTGTACAAAGTTTCCCCTTTCTCCACCTCCTCTCCAGTATTTATTATTGCCTGTCTTAAAAAATTGTGGGTGCATAATAGGTGTGTGTATATATATATATGGGTTACATTAGATACTTTGATAAAGGCATGCAATGCATAATAACATCAGGGTAAATGGGGTATTCATCACCTCAAGCATTTATCCTTTGCGTTACAAAAAATCCAATGTACTCCTTTAGTTATTTCCCCTCTTTTTGATAAAAGCCATTCTAACTGGAATGAGATAATATTACATTGTGGTTTTAAATTGCATTTCCCCAATGATTGGTGATGTTGAACATTTTCCCATATACCTGTTGTCTATTTTTATGTCTTATTTTGAAAAATATTTATTAAGATCTTTTGCCCATTTTTAATATAATTATTTATTATTTTGCTATGGAGTTTTAGCTCCTTATATATTACAGTTATTAATCCCTTGTGGGGATATTTTCTTCCTGTGGGTTGTCTCTTTACTTTGTTGATTGCTTCCATCACTGTGCAGAAGCTTTTTAGCTTGATGTAATCCCATTTGTAAAAAATAGGTTTATTTTGAGGTAAGTATGTGTGTGTGTGTGTGTGTGTATGTGTGTGTGTGTATATGTGTGTGTGTGAGAGAGAGAGAGAGAGAGAGCACGCATGTGTGTGTCTATGTGATGCCTTTGTAAAGCAAAGTATGAGATAAACTGGAACAAAAAGAAACTTTTCAAACAACTCCAAGAAATGTCTGGGGAGTCTGTTCATTACTTTACATCTATTCAATAAATATTTACTGAATATTTACCCTGTAGCAGATACTGTTCTAGATAGTAGGGATAAAATAGTAAAGAAAACAGACAAAAATCCTTTTTGCAGCTTATATTCTATTTGGACACTATGTACAAATTATCTGACTAATATTTTTTTTTTAGATTTTCAAAGGATACATAATTATCCAATTTAAAAAATCATGGAATGCTTTCTTGAAGCTAATAGAATCCGGACATAAAATCTTGCCAAATATAGCACAGGTAATTTAAGGACTAATTCATTTAAAATAAAAAAGTCCCAAATAAATTACTAGGCAAATAAAATATGGAAAAATAAAATGAAGATAATATCACCAATATAACTTATTTCAATAATATCAAAATGACTTCATTAGAAAGTCTCTTATTATATCACATCCATAGGTCAAAAGAAAACTAAGTTATACGGTTATCCCAATAGATGTCCATAGAGGCATTTTCTGAATTTCAGCACACATTTCTGATGAAAAAGACAAAGCATTAATTTTTTAAAAGACTGGGCATGAAAGAATAGGTCCTTAATATTATTATATTCAAATAAAAACAATAACCAATATCATCCATAACAGTGAAACACTAGAGACATTATAATAAAATCAGTAACAAGACAAGCATGCTACATCAGTGTAATTGTTTAATACTGGTGTAGAAATTCCACTACATGTAATAAGAAATACACACATAGAAAATCTAAAAAATTATACATAAAATATTAGAATTAATGAAAAAGTTCAGTGAAGTGCCTGTATGCAAAATATATGGACAGACTAAAGAGATTTCCTAAAAACTGATAGTAAGTAGTTAGAAAATAGTGTAGGCGAAAAAGATTCACTTACAAGGCAATATAATACACAAAATACTCAGAAACAATAAAAAAAATCTGAACAAAATTACAAAACTTTACTGGGAGAGGTACAAGATTTACGTAAATGTAGAAGAATAACATGTTCTGGAATAGGAAGACTAAATACTATGAACATGCCAAGTTTTTCAAAACTTCAGATGTAAGTTTACTGTAATTTGGATTGAAATCCCAATAGGATTTTTGAAGCTTGGGAAAATAATTTTAACATTCATCTGGAAGTTTTTAAACATGAGACAGCCAAGACATTTTTGAATTAGAAAAATAGAGGATGCTTGCTTATATAAAAATGTATCAAAGAAGCATTTTCTAAAGCAGTGTGGTGTTGGAACAGGAATATGTGGACATAGAAAAAGACTGGAAAACTCAGAAGAAAAATGAATATTCTAATAGAAAAGTGGTAATGACATGAAAAGAAAAATAGTTTACACAGACATTATAATCATGTCAAACTTAATGGGTAATCAAAGTAATGAAAATCGAAGTGAGATATATAGATATATATCTATGTAGATATATATTTGACAGAGATTTTAAAAATAATAATCCTCAATGATGGTGAGTGTGGATACTCCTTCTGCTAATAGGAATGCCAATGGCCTAAGTGTTGTCAAAATCAATTTAGCAAAATATATACTAAGAGCTTTAAAATATTAATATCTGTCTTAGCAATTCCATATAAGGAATATATCCTAAGGAACTATTCAGAGGTGGAGCTAAAGATGAACATCAAAAATGGCCATTTTTTGTTTATTTAAGCTGTGAAACATTGGCACTTATTAAAATGCCTATATATCAATGCTCAGGTAGTAGCATCTAACCATCAAATAACATATTTTAGAAATTATTTAACAATCTGATCAAATGCTTAAATGCTTACTATATGATGCTATGTGAAGAAATTAATGTGCAAAACCTTAAGATGCAAATTAACTACAGGCACACACACACATACATACACACACACACACACACACACCCCACCTCCCGGAGGGTAAGAGTACAAGGAAAAAGCACAGAGAAACTAGAAAAAATGCATTGTCAGGTTAACAATGGTAAAATCTGGATGATGACATTATGAGAGATTTTATGTTCTGTCTAATAATTTGGAACCTAAAAATAAACCATCCACTTTAACAGTTGTTAATATTTTTCCATATTTCTTGAGCCTTTTTGAAGGAATACAGCAGGGATACAGTTGAAGCCTACTTTTTACCCATATGTTATCCCAATATGCTCTTCCCTTTCAAAAAGTAACCACTCTCCTACATTTATTTTTTTCTTTATGTCATTATTTAATGATCTTATTACGTTTTTAATTTTTTAATTTTTAATTTTTGTGCTTACATAGTAGATGTGTATATTTATAGGGTACATGAGATATTTTCATACAGTCATGTAATGCATAATAGTCACATCAGGGTAAATCGAGTATATATCCCCTCAAGTATTTACACTTTGTTACAAAAATTTCAATTATACTCCTTTAGATATGTTTAAATGTACAATTAAATTATTATTGATTATAGTGACTCTGTTGGGCTACCAAATGCTAGGTGTTATTCATTTTTTTCTAACTTTTTTGTACCCATTAACCATCCCCACCTCCCCCTCAACCACACCACTACCCTTGCCAGCCTCTAGTCCCATCTTTGTACTCTCTATCTCCATGAGTTCAATTGTTTTGATGTTTAGATCCCACAAATAAGTGAGCACATGCAATGTGTGTCTTTCTGTGACTGGCTTATTTTGCTTAGCATAATGACCTCCAGTGCCATACATGTTGCAAATGACAGAATCTCATTCTTTTTTATAGTTGAATAGTCCTCCATTGTGTATAGGTACCACATTTTCATTATCTGTTCATCTGTTGATGGACACATGTTCTTTCTAAATCTTGGCTATTGTGAAAAGTGCTTCAACAAACAGAGGAGTGCAGATATCTCTTCAAAATACTGATTTCTTTTTTTTTTAAGGTATAAACCCAGCAGTGAGATTCCTAGATCATATGATAGCTTTACTTTTAGTTTTTTGAGGAACCTCCAAACTGTTAATGGTGGATGTACTAATTTCAATTCCCACTAACAGTGTAGATGGTTCTTTTCTCCACATCCTCATCCGCTTTTGCCTTTCTTTTGGATAGAAGCCATTTTAACTGGGGTGAGATGACATCTCATTGTAGTTCTGATTTGCATTTATCTGATGATCTATGATGTTCAAGACCTTTTTATATGCCTGTTTGCCATTTTTATGTCTTCTTTTGAGAAATGTCTATTCAAATTTTGTTCCTTTTTTGGGAGGAGGAGGGACAGGGTATCACTCTCTCACCCAGGCTGGAGTGTAGTGGCAGGATCTTGGCTCACTACAGCCTCAACCTCTTGGGCTCAAATGATCTTCCCACCTCAGCCTGCCGAGTAGCTGGGACAAGAGGCGTGGGCCACCACACCTGGCTAGTGTGTGTGTGTGTGTGTGTGTGTGTGTGTGTGTATTAGTAGAGACAGGGTTTTGCCATGTTGCCCAGCCTATTCTCTATCTCTTGGGCTCAAGTTCTTCCCCCACCTAAGCCTTCCAAAGTGCTGGGATTGCAGGCATGAGTGACTGCGTCTGGCCTTGTCTCATTTTTTTTGCTCAGATTATTATATATTTTCCTATAGAATTGTTTGAGCTTCTCATGTATTGTGGTCATTAACTCCTTGTCAAATGGGTAGTTTGCAAATATTTTTTTCCATTTTGTTGTCTCTTCACTGTGCTGATTGTTTCCTTTGCTGTGCAGAAGTTTTTGAACTTCGTGTGATACTATTTGTCCATTTTTGCTTTGGTTGCCTGTGCTTGTGGGGTGTTACTCAAGAAAGTTTTGCCCAGTACAATACCCTGAAGAGTTTCTTCAACGTTTGCTTGTAGTAGTTTCATAGTCTGAGGTCTTAGATTTAAGTGTTTAATCTGTTTTTATTAGATTTTTATATATGGCGAGAGAGTGGTTGAGTTTGATTCTTCTGTGTATAGATATCTTGTTTTCCCAGCCCCATTTACTGAAGACACTGTATTTTCCTTAGTATAGGTTTTTGGCACCTTTGTTGAAAATGAGTTCACTGTAGGTGTGTGGATTTCTTTCTGGGTTCTGTATTCTGTTCCATTGGTCTATATTTCTGTTTTTATGCCACTACCGTGCTGTTTTGGTTACTATTTTTTTTTTCATATAATTTGAAGTCAGATAATGTGATTCCTCCAATGTTCTTCTTTTTTGCTTAGGATAGCATTGGATAGTCTGGGTCTTTTGTGGTTCCATGGTTCAAATTTGGTATGCCATATGTGTCTAAGAATGTATTCATGTTCTCTAGATTTTCCAACTTATTGGCATATAGCAGCTCATATTATCCACTAATGGTCCATTAAATTTCAGCTGTATCAGTTGTAATGTCTCTTTTTTCATCTCTGATCTTATTAATTTGTGTCTTCTCTCTGTGTCTTCCTTAATCTGGCTAAAGTGTTGCCAATTTTGTTTAATTTTTTTAAAAATAACTTTTTGTTTTGTTGATCTTTTGTATTTTTTATTTTAATTTTATTTTTCACTGTTCTGATCTTTATTATTTTTTACTAATTTTTGGTTTTGTTTGCTCTTGCTTTTTCTATTCCTTTAAGATGTAATATTAGCTTATTTATTTGACATTTTTCTTCTTTTTGATGTAGACACGTATAATAACAAAATTCCCTCTTAGTACTGCTTTTACTGCATCCCATAGGTTTTGGCATGTTGAGTTTCTATTATCATTTGGTTCAATAATGTTTTTCAATTTCCCTTTTAATTTCTTCATTGACCCACTGGTCATTCAGGAGCATGTTGTTTAATTTCCATGTGTTTGTATAGTTTTCAAACTTCCTATTGTTATTGATTTGTAGTTTTATTTTATCGTGGTCAGAGAAGACACTTGTTATTTAAATGTTTTTGAATGTTTCAAGACTTGTTTTGTGACCTAATGTATCTTTGAGAATGATCTATCTCCCAAGGAAAAGAATATGTATTCTGCAACCATTGTATGAAATTTTCTGTAAATATCTGTTGGGCCCATTTGTTCTGTAGTGGAGATTAAGTGCAATGTTTCTTTGTTGACTTTCTGTCTTGGAGATCGTCCAATGCTGAAAGTGGGGTTTCGAAGTTTTCACCTATTATTGTATTGATGTCTATGTCTCTTTTTAGCTCTAATAATATTTGCTTTATATATATATGAGTGCTCCTGCTTTGGGTGCATATATATTTAAACTTTCTATGTCCTCTTGCTGAATTGACCCCTTTATCATTATATAGTGACTGTCTTTGTCTCTTCTTACAATTTTTGTCATGAAATCTATTTTGTCTGATATGAGTATAGCTACTCCTGCTTTTTTGGTTTCTATTATCATGGAATATCTTTTTCCATCCCTTCACTTTCAATTTGTATCTTTACAGGTGAAGTGTGTTTCTTATAGATAACAGATCACTGGGTCTTAGTTTTTCATCTAATCAGCCACCCAATGTCTTTTGATTACATAGTTTAGTCCATTTACATTCCATGTTATTATTGGTAAGTGGGGACTTACTACCTGCCATTTTGTTATTTGTTTCCTGATCTGTTATCTTATCTTCCTTTTTTTCTTCCTTCTTGTCTTTCTTTCAGTGAAGGTGGTTTTCTTTGGTGGTATTTTTTAATTGCTATTTATTGTTGTGTATACATTGTATCTTTTTAATTTGAGGTTACCACGAGGCTTGCAAATACTACCTTATAACCCATTGTTTTAAACTCATGACAACTTAACATAGATTGCATAAACAAACAAGAAATACACAAAAAGAAAACTAGTAAAAACTGTATACTTTATCTTATTCCCTCTGCTTTTTAACTTTTTGTTATTTATCATAAAGATCTTATTGTACTGCCTATGTCTTCAAAAGTTGTTGTAGCTATTATTTATTGTTGGTTCAACATTGAGTCTTTCTGCTTAAGATAAGAGTAGTTTACACACCACAGTTACAGTGTTTTAATATTCTGTGTTT
The DNA here is from genome assembly GCF_000001405.40 of Homo sapiens. Classification (NCBI taxonomy): domain Eukaryota; kingdom Metazoa; phylum Chordata; class Mammalia; order Primates; family Hominidae; genus Homo; species Homo sapiens. Next base: position 116,498,357 of record NC_000023.11, read on the forward strand.
TTCTGTGGGTTTACTATTACCAGTGAGTGGTGTACCTTCAGATTTCTTCCTGCTCATTAACGTTCTTTTGCTCCAGATTTGAAGAACTCCCTTTAGCATTTCTTGTAGGACATTTCTGGTGTTGATGAAATTTGTCAGCTTTTGTTTGTCTGGAAAAGTCCTTATTTTTCCTTTATGTTTGAAGGATATGTCCCCAGTTTGAGGCAGTATCTTTATAGCAGCATGAAAGCAGGCTAATACAACAGCCTAGGCTTGTTTTTAACCTGTCATTCTTGAGAAGCCTTTTCAGATATTTGAAGAAACAGGTTCTCAAAACCCAATAATCCTGTTGGTTTTTGCAGTCTCATAGAGGTTTCTTTTTGGTAGTTTTTGATAAGATCTGGAAGAATTCCCTGGATTACGAGGCACTGAATCTTGTTATTTTTCCTTACTTTCCCCCCAACAAATGAGGTCTCTCTCTCTCTCTCTCTCTCTCTCTCTCTCTTTGGTGGTCTGCCTGAAACTTGGGGTGTGGTGATGTAAGCCCCCCTATGGACACCACTGTTGGGACTGCACTGCGTCAGACCTGAAGCCAGCACAGCACTGGGTCTCACCCAAGACCCACTGTAACCATTACCTGGCTACCACCTATGCTCTCTCATGGCCCAAGGGCTCTCCTATCAGTAGGTGCTGAAGCCTGCCATCTATGTGTCCTTCCCTACAGGATGGCACATTACCCTAGGCTTTGAGCAGGTGCAGAGATGCTGTCTGGGAGCCAGGAATTGGAGTAAAAAACCTTAGAATTTTACCTGATGTTCCATTCTACTGCAGCTAAGCTGGCACTTAAACCACAATAGAATGTCTTTCTTGCTCTTGCTCTTCCCTCTCCTTTCTCCCTGTGGCTACCACCACCACTGGCCCATGAAAGGTTCTGCCAGGCTACTGCAGATATTCACTTAAAGCCCATGGGTTCTTCAGTCAGCTTGTGGTGAATTCTGCCAGGCCTGGGACTCATCTTTTAGGGCAGTGAGTTCCCCTTTGACTTAGGGGAAGGTCCAGAAGTGCTATCTGAGAGCCTAGGCATGGACTTGGAGACCCGAAGAGACTGCTTGTTGTTCTATGCCACTGTGTCTGAGTTGGTACCTAAGATGCAAGGAAAAGTTCCCTTTACTTTTCCCTCTGCTTTTCTCAAACAGAAGGAATCTTTCTCCATAGCCAACATAGCTTGCAAAGTTCTGGGTCACACCTGAAGTAGCACATTTGGAGCCCAAGGTCCATGGTATACTACCTGGGTATTGCTGCTTGTTATTCAGGGCCCAAAGGCTCTTTAGTCAGCAGGTGATGAATCTTGCCATATCTGGGTCTTTCCCTTCAAGGCAACAGGTTCCTTTTTGGACTGGCATGTGTCTAGATATGTTGTATATATGGTAGAGTATAGAATGGGTACCTTGCAACTCTGTTTTGTGCCCTATTCTATTGTGGATTTGCTGGCATCCAAGATGCAAGAAAAAGTACTCTTTACTCTTCACTCTCCTCTACTTATTCAGAAGGAAGGAATCTCTTTTGTTGCTGGGAGGTGCACTGCCTGGTGTTGGGGAAGGATTGGTGCAAGCACTTTCTTAGCTGCCTCAGCTGGTTTCTTCCTAGATCATGAGTCACCATAATCCTATGGCTCTGAGCCCAGATCAGCACTAGTTGTTGCCTTATAATTGCAGTCCTTACACCTTAGACTGCCTTTCTGAGGTCTGCCTAGAACCCCAGAGCACTTTAGCCTGTAGTGGTGAGGCTTGCCAAGAAACTCAAGTTCAGAGGGCTGGGATAAGCAATTTCCCTCTTTCTAGGTCTGGTTCAAGTACTTCTTCCATGCAGGGGCGCTGGCTCAGTCCAGTAAGTCTTTACTCTCCTCTCCACTGTGACAGGGCAGCTGTGAACTCAATGTACAGTCCCCCAGTTGCAGTGCTCTCTCTTCTCCATGTGCACAGACTCTCTGTGCTGCATGGCTGGGGGATGGAGGAGGAGTGATGTTGGTGATTAAAACTGTCTTTCTGATCCTTTTGAATGCCTCTTTCAGTGATATTAAGTGAAAACAGGCACTTTTATTGCTCGCCTGACTTTTGGTTCTGTGACTGTGCTTTTCTGTGTGCATATAGTTGTTAAAATTTGGTGTTTCTGTGGGGGGCAAGGATGAACAGTGTAGGCTTCTATTTTGTCACCTTGCTTCACCCTCCAACAACATGTTTTTATAAACCATTTGCAGTATATTACAGTGTTGTGTGATGTTAAATATTTACTTACTTTCAATAATTATATATATTCTTTTGTAATTTGCTTTTATCATTCATAATGTTTTGATATGTACCCATACTAACGCTGTTCATTTATTTTACTGTTGAATAGAATATAATTCCATTGTGTGACTAAACTATAATTTATTATTACCTATATTATGAACCCTTAAGGTGTTTCCAAGTTTATATTAAAATTCTGCAACAAATATGCACACACATACCTCCTTGGGGCACATATCAATTTTTCTGTAGATCATAGGCTGAGAATTGGAATTGTTGGGTTGTTGGATGGGCAAATTTTCAGCTCTAAAAGAAATTTGCTAAATTGCTTTCAAAATTGTTTACCAACTACACCCCAAGGCCAAATATTTGAGAGAAACTGTTTCTCCACATCTTTATCTTTATCTTTATTCACTCTTGAATACTTATCTGGATATAAAATCCTAAGTGAGAAGTTATTTCTTCTTTAGTTATTTGATGGCCAGTGTATTCTATTTTGTATTGTTGTTAATATAAAATCTCAGTATGATTGTCATTTTGGGAGGTAACATATCTTTTCTCAGATTATTTTTAATATTTTTCTTTTATTTGATATTTCACAGTTTTTTTTACTTTATTTCCATGTATTCCATAAATGTCACATTTATGTCACCAGATGTAAATTATTGACAATCTGTTGGGTGTGAAATACATTATATTTAAATTTGTATTTTTCTGACTAAGTTTGATCATCTTTTCATATGTTTATTGATCATTCATATTCCTTCTCTGTGAATTGCTTGTCCACATCCCTTCCCTGCTTTTTGAGTTGGTTTTTAAAAAATGAATATGTGAGTTATTTATGTTTTCTTCATCACCAATTTGTTTTTGGCTCATAGGTGTTGTAAATATCTTCTCCCAGTTGTATCTTCGAATTTAAAATTTTTTATCATGCCGATACTTTAAATTATTACATACTCAATTTTGAACTTTTTCTTTATTACCTTAACTTTGGGTTCTTGTCTTAGAAAGCTATTGACATGCTCCAGTCATAAAGATATTCTCCTATGTTTTTGTCTAAATGTTTTATTTTTTGTTCACATTTAGGTATTTAAATACATTTGAAATTGATTTTTTGTTATTGCATGATTTTGTTATTGCAGGGATCAACTTAATTTTTCTTCATATATACACTCAATTGATCCAACTCTATTTAATGGAAAACTTGTACTCTCTTCAATAATTTTAATGTCATTTTTGCTATATGCTAAATTTTAAAACATGCATACTGCATTTCTAGGCTGCATTGTTTCATTAGTCTAATTGCTCAATTTTGCCAGTATCACACTGTTTTAATTATTATGGCTTATAATTAGTTTTCATATGTAGTATTTTTGTAGTTATTTGATTACAAATATATGACCATTTCATTTATGATTTCTTCTTTGAGTCATGAATTTAAAAAATTAAGTTATAGTTGCTCTTATATTTTAAAAAATTTGCTTTGCAATAGTATACTATGCTTTTATTATGGTTTTCATTTATTTTTGTAATTTCTATAATCATTTTTGATACTTATGGTTATCTTTCATATTGTTTTATTTCTGCATTTTAATCAGAGATATGATCTAAATGAAATCAGTCTTTTAGCTTATGAAATTTTCTTTATGGCCTAGGAATTTTTTAAATAAACTTTTTATTTTAGAATAGATATACATTAACAGAAAAATTGCAAAGGTAGTACAGAGTTTTCTATATCTCACACCCAGTTTCTCCTATTACTAATATCTTACTTTAACATGATAAGTCTGTCCCAATTAGTATATTCACAGGAGGAAATTTTAGCACAGTACTTACAAGTAAATTTTAAAAAAATTCATTTAACTACATGATGTGGTTTATCTATCAGTTTTAATGTTTTCAATTTAAAATATTTTATAAGCATTTGAAGAGAATTTAAATACTATAGTTACTGAGTTCAGTGTTCATGTTTATCCATTACATCAGGATGGTGAATTATGTTATATTGTGTATCTTTCTATTTTTAAAGCTTACATGAAAGTAGTGTGCCAACCCTTTCTGTGGCTATGGATTTATTGCTTTTTCTTCTGATTCTACAAGTTTATATTTATGTATTCTGAGACTATGTTGTTAGGTACATAGTAACTTAATATTATTATATATTTTTGGTTAACTGAAAATTTAAAATATATTTTATGTCTCTTAAGCTTGGTTTCATAGAAGCAGAGCCTTATTTGAAGATTTTTTTAAAATAAATTTTTGACAGTGAGAGCTATCAGAGTAATGTGAATGAGAGAAAAAGGATAGGGCAGAGGGAAACAGATAAGGGAGGGTATAATTTCAGACAGTTTGGCTTCAGCTTTATGGCACAGTGAGGCTCTGGAGCATGATTAAAACCCACAGAGTTTGTTCTACCTTGAAGCAAGGGCTTTAGATTTTGTGCCTGTGCCAATCACCGGATGTGATATGCCACTAAGGGGAATTGATGTATATTCTTCTGATTGCAAGGTTCAGATGAAGGCAATTCTTTTGAGTAGGGAGACGCCATGAGCTGTTAGCAGACAATACTTAGAGCAGCTAAAGAATGGCTACACAGTCCCAGTAAAGGAGATCTTGTCTGTGTATTCTTAGCATCCGTAACAATCCCAATAATGCCCATTACATTAAGGTCAATTTTTTGTATAATACTGCTTCATCAGCTTTGTATTAGTATTTCCCCAAAATATCTTTAAGTCATTTGCTTTTAACCTTCCTGCATTCATTTTTTGAAGTGGCATAGAGCTCCATTTTGATTTTTTACTAATCTGAAATCTGTCCTAACAGGCAAATTAATCTGTTTACATTCATTATGAGTAGCAACATACTTTGACTTATTTCCACAGTACTTTGAGTTTACTGTGCTTTTCGAACTTTTTATTCATTTAGTGCTTACTATTAAAATTAAAACATGAAAGCCTGACATAAAATCTAAAATTAATACCTCTATCCTCCTAAAGAAGGATCATTGACTCTCGTTTTCTGGCCTTGTATTTTAGTTCCAGTATTGCTTGCTTTCATTGAAATTTTAATTGAAATTATATTGATAATATTGTATATTTACATGCAGTTCTAAAGAATAAAAAGGTTAAGTTTACTTTCTACTCAGTTTCCCTCATGGCAATATCCTGGAAAACTATTGTACAGTATCACAACTGTACTATATATACTGTGTCAATATCACAAGAATAGTGACACTGGTACAGTCAAGATATAAAACATTTCTATCATCACAGGATCTCTCTGTCATCCCTTTATAAGCCACCCTAAACTCTTCACCTCATTCCTAGCCCTTGACAACCTCTAACCTGTTCTGTATTTATATAGTTTTGTTATTTCAAGAATGTTACATGAGGGAACCTTTTAGCATTATATAATATCCTCTGTCATTGTTAACTTTCTTTACTCTGAAGTCTATTTGATATTAAGGTAGTTACTGCTTTCCTTTGATAAATGCTTGTATAATATGATTTTTCCATCCTTTTAATTTCAAGTTGCTAATATTGATATAGTTGAAGTAAATGTCTTATAGAGAGCATATTATTTGGTCATTTAAAAATACTCTTTGCTAATTTGTCTTTCATTTGTCATATTTAGAAAACATATTTAATGTAATTATTGATATGTTAGAACTTGCCTTTCATAATTTTTTTTTGTATTTTCTGTTTGTTCTGTATTTTTAAAATTTATCTGTGTTTATTCTTCCTGGGGATTATTTGAACGCTTTTTTGCGATTTTATTTTTATTTATCTTTAGTGTTTTTGAGTGCATCTCTTTGTATAGCTTTTTGGTGTTTGCTAATACACATGTATCTTATTATAGTATTATAGTCTATTGGTGTCCTTATTTCATCATTCTGAGGAAAGTGTAGAAACCTTACCTCCCTTTAAACCCTTTTACCCTTCCCCTTTTATAACAGTGTTACCTTAAATATTTCTTCTACCTACATTTAGAACCATATCAGATAGTGTTGTAACTCTTGATTCAACTATAAAACATAATTAGAAAACTCAGGAGAAGAAAAGCCTATTGTATTCACCCATATTCTAGCTTGCTGAGTTTTTTCTTTTTTCTTGATGTTCCAAGGTTGTTTCATCATTTCCTTATTGTTTACAGAATTTCCTTTAGCCATTCTTTCAAATTATGCTTGCTGGTAACAAATTCTGAAAATTTGGTTTTATCTGAGAATGTCTTGATTTTCTTTTTTTTTCTGAAGGACATTTTTTTGCTGGGTATACATTTATGGGGTTGGTGATTATTTCAGCACTTGAAAAATATTTTGGCACTTCTTTCTTTTCTCCATGGTTTCTGGTGAGAAGACTTCTGTCATTCTAAGTTTGTCCTTCCTGTAGGTAAGTGTTGTTTCACTCTTGCTGCCTTCAATATATTTTTTGTCTTCAGTTTTCAAAATTTTAATTATGATGTATCTTGGTGTGTATTTTTTTTTAGTTTATCATGTTTTTGGTTAACTCAGTTTCTTGACTGTGTAAACTTATTTTCTTTGGGAAGTTTTGAAAAGTTTGCAACCATTATCTCTTTGAGTAGTCTTCTAGTCCCAACGTTTTTCTCCTTGGAGCCCAGTGACACAAAGTTTACATCTTTTTTTTTTAATAACCCACAGTCTCTGAGTCTCAGGTTTTTTTTAAATTTTTTTTCAGTCTAGTTTCTCTGTTATTCAGATTGGGTCATTTCTATTGTTCTGTCTTTTAGTTTACCGATTCTTTTATCTGTCATCTTCATTCTACTGTTGAGCTCATCCACTGAGCTTTTTATTTTAATCACTATGTTTCTGAATTCTACAATTGCCATTTGGTTCTTCTATATATGTTCTATTTGTTTGCTGAGACATTCTACTTCTTTGATGAGGCTTTCTAGCTTTCATTTGTGTTAAATGTATTTGTAATTGCTCAATTTTAGTATAATGCTTTAAAATCTTTCTCAGATAATTCTAACCTCTCTGTCATCTTGGCATTGACATCTACTGTCTTTTTTCATTCAGTTTGAGATCTTCCTGGTTCTTAGTGTAATTAGTGATTTTTTTTTCTATTGACTTCTCGACATTTTTATTATTATGTTATGAGACTCTGGGTATTATTTACACCTTCAATTTTTGGCTTTTTATTTCCTCCGACATTATTGTGGTAGAAGAAGAGAGAATGCCGTCTCATTACTGCCAGATGGAGTAGAAGTCAGGGTTCTGCACTTGACTTCCATTGACACCTGAGTATTTGGGGAGTTTCACTCATTCCTGCTGGGTAAGAGTGAACTTTCAGCTCCCCATGTGGTCTTTATTGACCATGATGGGTGTTACCTCATTAACTCTAGGTGATAGTAAACTCCTGACTCTCCACTAGGCCTTCTCTGACAAAACCCCAGTAGAGAGGGGATGCAGCACCTAATTAATGGTGGGTGGGGAGTAAGCCCAGACTCCTCTTGTAATATCCACTGACATTATGGAGGTGGAGTTTGTTACCAGGGACTTTTGTCCCTCCTCTCTACTTAGTTTTCTCTGAAATTATCCAACTGGGAGTATTTTAGAGCCTTGCTATACCTTTGTGAAGGGGTAGATGTGTAGGCTCCTCACTTGAGCTTTGACATTATAGGTTGAGGTAAGGCTACAATTTCTTTTTGTGATGTATGAGTGGAATAGAGTGGTTATTGTCTAAAAGTTTTCTGTCTTATTAAATGCCCCTTTTCTGGTCCTTTGGGTTGAGAGAGCAAACTTTTGTTGAAGTTTATTATTTGTTTTCTTTCTATGCACCAGTTGCCACCTCCTTTAGCTCCAAGTCTGAGATGGGTATATATATCAGCAGGGAACTGACTAATATATAATTTCTTGGCTCCAGTGGTCCATAGTTGGTCTGATTTCTTCTCCACATTCTAGAGCTTTTTTTGTGTTTGTCATATATAATATCCAGTATTTTCAGTTGTGTTTAGCAGGACTGATAGAGAAAATACATCTACTTTATCTCCCTGGAAGTTGAAGTCCCATTTGTTTATAAACTCCCTCAAAGTATTTTACAAGCAATGCCAAATAAGCTTTCCTCACATACTTACTTCTTTCTCACCATTGGCTTTTGTATTTCTACTACTTGCAAATTTCAGCCTATTTCTCACTGTAGTTTCATCTGTAGTCATGCTTTCGGTGAACATTTGTGATTGGTAAACTCCCTCAGTGTTATTCTGAAATGTCTTGTCACATTCACTCTTCAGTACTTATCTGGATATAAAATCCTAAGTGAGCGGTTATTTCTTCTTCAGTTATTTGATGATAGATGGCCAGTGTATTCTATTTTGTATTGTTGTTAATGTAAAATCTCAGTATGATTGTCATTTTTGGAGGTAACATATCTTTTCTCAGATTACTTTTAATATTTTTCTTTTATTTGATATTTCACAGGTTTTTTTTTTTTACTTTATTTCCATGTATCAATTGAATTTGATTTATCTTAATTGAATCTTCACTTTTTCAATTTGAGTGCTCTTCTACGAGTTCTGGAAAATCATCCCTGATTTTTACCGTTGCTTCTCTGTATTATCTAGATTTTTCTTTTGGAATGCTTGCTAGATATGTGTTATACCTTCTCATTCACATTTTATGTATTTTAATCTCTGCTTATAATTTCCATCTCAATTCTGCATCAACTCAGTTTTTAATATCAGTGACATTATTTTTGTCTCTAGAACTTCTGCTTGATCCTTGCAATTATTATTATTTTATTTTTTCCCTATAGTTTCCACTCCTTTGAATATCTTCAATCAGTTTAGTATATTTATTTTTAGCTGTGTAAGTATTGTTCTTCTATCTCGTGATCACTGTTTATTGCATTTGCAGAACTAAGTGTAGATTATATATGTGTGGTTTATATTGTGTGTTTATTGTATGAGAGTGTGTATACACTCATTCATGTTCATTATTGAGGCAGTTTTGTCTTTTATTTTTCCTGTGGAAGTCACTGGAACCCTGTTTTGTGAAGATTTCCCTAGAAAGTATTTTTTTTTTGCATTTGCATATACTTGAGGCACCAGCAGTTTCACTAACATGAAGCAGTTTTCAACGTTAACTTTACCTCACATTGCTGTATCGAGTGTGTAGAGGGGCAAATTATCATAAACTTAAGGTTTTCATTTCTAATAATATACCTTTTTGTTCATTTTCCATGTGGAAAACAGGGCAGAGACATGCTTCCTGAAAGCTTCCTTGAGCCATCAAGCAGAGGTGTTCTTTTCCTAGTTTTCTATTTCCAGAGTGCAGCTTATAGTTCTGGCTCTATGCAGGGCTGTCAGTTCCTATCTACCTTACACAAGTACAAGGTCATGATTCCTTTCCCTTGGTAGCTGTGGGTTAGGATGTAATTATTATTATTAAAATAGTTATATTGTATTCAGCATTTCTATATCCTTAGAGTAGAGTTTGGTGTTAGGTCACTTTGCCATATTGATGGAATGAACATATAAATTTCTGAATTGTTTAAAAGGCCTTTGTTCTCATGTATTTCAGGTAACATCAATTCCATGCAGCAGTCTGAAAGTGTGTTTTAAAGGCTTTTCTACTTGGTTTTAGGGGTCATTACATGTGAAGATGTATTACTTTTACCATTTTCAAAGGAAAATAGAGCTCTTTATGACTGAGTCTCAAGCATACAAGCATACAGGTATATGATCAACTACAAAATGTATAAACTGTCTGGTTTTAGGAAATAAATATTGCTAGTACAGGACATGTTTGACTATGGTGTTTATATTTTTCTACAATGAAAAAATGTCACACAGCATGTGTATTTTTGTTTGCTGAAATAACTTATGATTTGCTTTGAATTCTTTCCTAAATGTTTATAATTTATTTTCCCTCTGTAGACTTAATTCAGTTAAAATTATACCTGTTAATTTCTGCATTTGTTTGCTTCCACTTAGTGGCCTGGAGATCTAAAATTATAGGAGTGACATGCTAACCAAAGGGAAAAGTTAGGGAAATCCGAGAAGTGAGCAAATACAATGAGAAATCAGGTAGAATGACCGGGATAGGTCACAAGCAGAAGAGAAAAGAGACCCATTATGGATAATTAGCTCATCAAAAGATTAGAAATTCCAGCTGAGACAGAACAGAAGCTGCCCCACGCATTTTTAAAAAATTTTTTACGCTTTAATTTTTGTGGGTACAAAGTAATAGAATATGCTTATGGGGAATATGGGATATTTTGATACAAGCATACAATGTATACATGCAGTGTATAATTACATCAGATAAATGAAATATCCATAACTTCAAGCACTTATCCTTTGTGTTACAAACCATCCAAATATACTTTTTCAGTTGTTTTACAATACTCAATTAAATTAGTATTGAATGTAGTCACCCTGTTCTATCAAAACTAGATTGTATTTATTTTTTCTATTTTTTGTACCCATTAACCATCCCCCTCTATCCACTCCACACCCAATCTCACTACTCTTGCAAGCCTCTGACAACAATCATTCTACACTCTCTCCATTAGTTTAACTGCTTTAATATTTGGTTCCCACAAATAAGTGAGAACATGTGAAGCTTGTCTTTCTGTGCCTGCCTTATTTCACTTAACATAATGACCTCCAGTTCCATCCATGCTGTTGCAAATGACGGTATCTCATTTTCTTTTACAGAAGAATAGTATTCCGTTGTGTATATGTACTGCATTTTCTCTGTTTTGGAATTTTTGTCAAATTTATTTATTTATTTATATAAAAACTTTTATTTTAGGTTCAGGGGTACATGTGCACATTATATAGGTAAATTGCATGTCATGGGGCTTTTGTATATAGTTTATTTCATCACCCAAGTATTGAACATAATAACCAATAGGTAGTTTTTTTTTTTTAATCTTCACCCTCCTCCCACCCACACCCTCCCATAGGCCCTTGTATCTTTTGTTTCCTTCTTTGTGTCCATGTGCACTCAATGTTTACCTCCCACTTCTGAGAACATGTTATATTTGGCTTTCGGTTCCTGTGTTAGCTTGCTTAAATAATGACCTCTGTCTCCATCCATGTTGCTTAAAAGGACATGATCTTGTTCATCTTTATGTCTGTGTAGTAGTCCATGGTGTATACGTATCACATTTTCTTTATCCAGTCCACCATTGATGGGCATCTACATTGATTACCTGTCTTTGCTATTGTAAATACTGCTACAATGAACATACACGAGCATGTGTCTTTATGGTAGAAAGATTTATATTCCTTTAGGTATGTAACAAATAATAGGATTGCTGGCTTGAATGGTATTTCTGTTTAAAGTTCTTCGAGAAATCGCTAAACTATTTTCCACAAAGGCTGAACTAATTTATATTCCCATTAGATGTGTATAAGTGTTCCCTTTTCTCCATAACTTTGCCAGCATCTGTTTTTTTTTAATTTTTTAAAAACAGCTATTTTGACTGGTGTGAGATGGTCTCATTGTGGTTTTGATTTGCATTTCTCTAATGATTAGAAATGGTAAACATTTTTTTTCGTAAGCTTGTTGGCTGCCAGTGTATCTTCTTTTTAAAACTGTCTGTTCCTGTCCTTTGCCCAGTTTCTAATGGGATTGTTTTTTGCTTGCTAATTTATTTAAGTTCCTTATAGATTGTGGATATTAGGCATTTGTTGGATGCGCAGTTTGCAAATATTTTCTCCCATCTGTAAGTTGTCTGTTTATTCTGTTGGTATTTTCTTTTGCTGTGTAGAAGCTCTTTAGGTTAATTAGGTCCCATTTGCCAATTTTTTTGTTGTTGTTGCAATTGCTTTTGTCATCTTTGTCATGAAATACTTGCCAAGGCCTAGGTCTAGAATTTTTTTTTTATAGTTTTAGGTTTTATTTTATTTTACATTTATTTATTTATTTTTTTATTGAGACAGACTTTCACTCTTGTCGCCCAAGCTGGAGTGCAATGCCATGATTACAGCTCACTGCAACCTCCAGTTCCTGGGTTCAAGTGATTCTTCTACTGCAGCCTCCCAAGTAGCTGGGATTACAGGCACCCACCACCACGGCCAGCTAATTTTTGTATTCTTTTAGTAGAGACAGGGTTTTACCATGTTGACCAGGCTGGTCTCAAACTCCTGACCTCAGGTGAGCCACCTGCCTCAGCCTCCCAATGTGCTGGGATTACAAGCATGAGTTACCGCGCCTGGGCCAGTTTTAGGTTTTAAATTTAAATCTTTACTCCATCTTGAGTTGATTGTTGTAGATGGTGTAAAGAAGGTATCTAGTTTCATTCTTCTGCATATGACTAACCTGTCACCCCACTACCATTTATTGAATAGAGAGTCTTTTTTCCATTGCTTGTTTTTGCCAACTTTGTCAAAGATCAGGTGGTTGTCTGTGTACGGCTTTATTTCTGGGAGCTCCATTGGTCAATGTGTATCTTTTTGTACCAGTACCATGCTGTTTGGGTTATTATAGCCTTTTGGTATAGTTTGAAGTGAGGTAATGTGATGCATCCAGCTTTGATTTATTTATTTATTTATTTATTTTTGCTTAGGATTGCTTTGGCTATTCAGGCTTTTGTTTGGCTCCTTATGAATTTTAAAATAGTATTTTCTAATTTGGTGAGGAATGTCATTAGTACTTTCATAGAAATAGCATTGAATGTGTAACTTGCTTTGAGCAGTATGGCTATTATAACAATAATGATTCTTCCTATCAATGAGCATGAAATACTTTTCTATTTGTTTATGTCATCTCTGATTTCTTTCAGCAGTGTTTTATAATTTTTGTCATAGAGATTTTTCACCTCTCTTGTGAGGTGTACTCCTGGGTATTTTATTATTTTTGTGACTATTGTGAATGAAATTGTATACTTGATTTGGCCTTCAACTTCAGCATTGTTGGTGTATAGAAATGCTCCTGATTTTTGTACATTGATTTTGTATCCTGAAACGTTGCTGAAGTTGCCTATCAAATCCTGGAGCTTTTTTGGCAAATATTAATACTATTTCTAGGTATAGAATCATATCATCTGTGAAAAGAGATAGTCGGACTTCCTGTCTTCCTATTTGGATGCTTTTTTATTTCTTTTTCTTGCCTGATTGCTCTGGCTAGAACTTCTAGCACTGTGTGGAATATGAGTGGTAAAAGTGAGCATCTGGTCTCATTCCACTTCTCAAGGGGAATGCTTCCAGGTTTACCATGTAGTATGATCTTGGCTGCGGATTTGGCATAGATGGCTCTTATTATTTTGATGTATGTTCCTTTAGTGCCTAGTTTATTGAAAGTCTTTAACATGAAAATATGTTAAATTTTATTTAAAGCATATCATGAATCTATTGAGAGGCTCATGTGGTTTTCATTTTTGGTTCCATTTATGTAATGAATATTATTTATTGATGTGCATGTGTTGAACCACCCTCACATCCCAGGGATAAAGCCTACTTGATCGTGGGGAATTAGCTTTTAGATGTGCTGCTGGGTTTGGTTTGCTGGTATTTTGTTGCAGATTTTGCATCTATTTATATCAGGGATATTGGCCTGAAATTTTCTTTGGTGCATGTGTGTCTCTTCCAGGTTTTGGTATCAGAATGATAGTAGCCTCAGAGAATGAGTGAGGGAGGAGGGCCTATATTAAAATATCTCATGTACCTTATAAGTACATATAGGTACTATGTACCCACAAATATTAAAAATAAATAAGTAAATAAATCAAAAGCAGTGACAAAGTGGGCATTACCACAAACTCAACAGAAATACAAAAAACCCTCAGAAGTTATTAAGAATGCCTCTGCACACAAACTAGAAAGCCGAGAAGAAATTTCTGGAAATGCATACCTTGCACGATTGATCCAGGAAGATACTGGAACTCTGAAAAGACCAATAATGAGTTTCAAAATTTCATCTGTAATAAAAAGCCTACCAACCAGAAAAAAGCAAAGTGAGCATCCTTTTCATGTTCCCAATCTTAGAGGAAAGGCTTTCAGTTTTTTTTTTTCCATTCTGTAGGATAAAAGCTATGGGTCTCTCATATATGTCTTTTATTGTGTTGAGATATTTTCCTTCTATACCCAGTTTTGTTTTAAGCGTTTTTATTATGAATGGATGTGGAATTTTAGGAATTTTTTTATCATCAATTGAAATGATCATATAATATTGTCCTTCAAATTGTTTATTTGATGTAACACATTGATTAATTTGTGTATGTTGAATCATTCTTGCATCCCTGGGATAAATTCCACTTGGTCATGATAAATGGCTATTTTAACGTGTTTTTGAATTCAGTTTGCTAGTATTTTGTTTAACATTTTTCTATCAATATTCATTGGAGATATTGACCTATATGTTTCTTTAATGCGTTTTTATGATTTTGGAATCAGGGTAATACTGGCCTTTATTTTTTCAGAATAATTTGAGTAGAATTGATATTAGTTCTTTTCAAAGTTTTTGATAGAATTCAGCAGTGAAACCATTGGGTTCTAGGCTTTCTTTACTGAGAGACTTTTAATTATGGCTTCTGTCCATTACTTGTTATATTTCCAATCCAAACTCTGTTCAGGTTTTGGATTTCTTTATGTTTCAATCTTGGTAGATTGCATGTGTCTAGGAATTTATCAATTCCCTTTAAATTTTCCAATTTGTTGCCATATAGTTGCCCATAGTAGTGACTAATGATCCTTTGAATTTCTGTTGTATGTTTCTTTTTCATCTCTGATTTTGTTTATTTTGGTCTTCTCTTTTTTTTTTTTTAATTTATCCTTGCTAAATGTTTGTCAATTTTGTTTATCTCTTCAAAAAACAACTTTTAAATTATTTCAATTTTATTTTATTTTTTTTTGACTTTCCTTTTTTAAATTTATTTTTTATTTCAATAGGGCAATAGGTTTTTTTGTTTGTTTGTTTGTTTTTTGAGATGGAATTTTGCTCTTGTTGCCCAGGCTGGAGTGCAATGGCACGATCTCGGCTCACTGCAACCTCTGCCTCCCGGGTTCAAGCAATTCTCCTGCCTCAGCCTCCAGAGTAGCTGGGATTACAGGCATGCACCACCACGCTCAGCTAATTTTGTATTTTTAGTAGAGATGGGGTTTCTCCATGTTGGTCAGGCTGGTCTCGAACTCCGGACCTCAAGTGATCTGCCCTCGACCTCCCAAAGTGCTGGGATTACAGGTGTGAGCCACCGCACCCAGCCTATTTCAATAGGTTTTTTAGGGAGCAAGTAGTGTTTGGTTCCATACGTAAATTCTTTAGTGGTGATTTCTGAGATTTTGGTGTACCCATCAGCTGAGCAGTGTACACTGTATCCAATGTGTAGTCTTTTATCCCTCACCCCCCTCCCACCTTTTCCCCAGAGTCCTCAAAGTCCAATGTATCACTTCTTATGCCTTCTCATCCTCATAGCTTAACTCCCACTTATGAGTGAGAACCTATGATGTTTGGTTTTCCATTTCTGAGTTATTTCACTTAGCATAATAGTTTCTAATTCCATTCAGGTTGCTGTGAATGCAATTAATTTGTTCCTTTTTATGGCTGAGTAGTATTTCATAGTATGTATATATACGACATTTTCTTTTTTTTTTTTTTTTTTTGGTTTGTTTTTTTGAGACAGAGTTTTGCTCTTGTTGCCAAGGCTGGAGTACAATGGCACAATCTCAGCCCACTGCAACCTCTGCCTCCCCGGTTCAAGCAATTCTGCCTTAGCTTCCCGAGTAACTGGGATTACAGGTACCCACCACCATGCTCAGCTAATTTTTGTATTTTTAGTAGAGATGGGGTTTCGCCATGTTGGCCAGCCTGGTCTCGAGCTCCTGACCTCAGGTGATCTACCTGCCTCGGCCTCCCAAAGTGCTGAGATTACAGATGTGGGCCACCACGCCCAGCTATACCACATTTTCTTTATCCACTCATTGATTGATGGGCATTTGGGCTAGTTCCATATTTTTGCAATTGTAAATTGTGCTGCTATAAACATGTGTGTGCAAGTATCTTTTTTGTATATGACTTCTTTTTTTTTTTCTTATTATACTTTAAGTTTTAGGGTACATGTGCACGACGTGCAGGTTAGTTACATATGTATACATGTGCCACCCTGGTGCGCTGCACCCACTAACTCATCATCTAGCATTAAGTATATCTCCCAATGTTATCACTTCCCCCTCCCCCCACCCCACAACAGTCCCCAGTGTGTGATGTTCCCCTTCCTAAGTCCATGTGATCTCATTGTTCAATTCCCATCTATGAGTGAGAATATGTGGTGTTTGGTTTTTTGTTCTTGCGATAGTTTACTGAGAATGATGATTTCCAATTTCATCCATGTCCCTACAAAGGACATGAACTCATCATTTTTTATGGCTGCATAGTATTCCATGGTGTATATGTGCCACATTTTCTTAATCCAGTCTATCATTGTTGGACATTTGGGTTGGTTCCAAGTCTTTGCTATTGTGAATAGTGCCGCAATAAACATACGTGTGCATGTGTCTCTATAGCAGCATGATTTATAAACCTTTGGGTATATACCCAGTAATGGGATGGCTGGGTCAAATGGTATTTCTAGTTCTAGATCCCTGAGGAATCGCCACACTGACTTCCACAATGGTTGAACTAGTTTACAGTCCCACCAACAGTGTAAAAGTGTTCCTATTTCTCCACATCCTCTCCAGCACCTGTGGTTTCCTGACTTTTTAATGATTGCCATTCTAACTGGTGTGAGATGGTATCTCATTGTGGTTTTGATTTGCATTTCTCTGATGGCCAGTGATGATCAGCATTTTTTCATGTGTTTTTTGGCTGCATAAATGTCTTCTTTTGAGAAGTGTCTGTTCATGTCCTTTGCCCACTTTTTGATGGGGTTGTTTGTTTTTTTCTTGTAAATTTGTTTGAGTTCATTATAGATTCTGAATATTAGCTCTCTGTCAGATGAGTAGGTTGCAAAAATTTTCTCCCATTTTGTAGGTTGCCTGTTCACTCTGATGGTAGTTTCTTTTGCTGTACAGAAGCTCTTTAGTTTAATGAGATCCCATTTGTCAATTTTGGCTTTCGTTGCCATTGCTTTTGGTGTTTTAGACATGAAGTCCTTGCCCATGCCTATGTCCTGAATGGTATTGCCTAGGTTTTCTTCTAGGGTTTTTATGGTTTTAGGTCTAACCTTTAAGTCTTTAATCCATCTTGAATTGATTTTTGTATAAGGTGTAAGGAAGGGATCCAGTTTCAGCTTTCTACATATGGCTAGCCAGTTTTCCCAGCACCATTATTAAATAGGGAATCCTTTCCCCATTGCTTGTTTTTCTCAGGTTTGTCAAAGATCAGATAGTTGTAGATATGCGGCGTTATTTCTGAGGGATCTGTTCTGTTCCATTGATCTATATCTCTGTTTTGGTACCAGCACCATGCTGTTTTGGTTACTGTAGCCTTGTACTATAGTTTGAAGTCAGGTAGCCTGATGCCTCCAGCTTTGTTCTTTTGGCTTAGGATTGACTTGGCTATGCAGGCTCTTTTTTGGTTCCATATGAACTTTAAAGTAGTTTTTTCCAATTCTGTGAAGAAAGTCATTGGTAGCTTGATGGGGATGGCATTGAATCTATAAATTACCTTGGGCAGTATGGCCATTTTCACGATATTGATTCTTCCTACCCATGAGCATGGAATGTTCTTCCATTTGTTTGTATCCTCTTTTATTTCCTTGAGGAGTGGTTTGTAGTTCTCCTTGAAGAGGTCCTTCACATCCCTTGTAAGTTGGATTCCTAGGTATTTTATTCTCTTTGAAGCAATTGTGAATGGGAGTTCACTCATGATTTGGCTCTCTGTTTGTCTGTTGTTGGTGTATAAGAATGCTTGTGATTTTTGTACATTGATTTTGTATCCTGAGACTTTGCTGAAGTTGCTTATCAGCTTAAGGAGATTTTGGGCTGAGACAATGGGGTTTTCTAGATATACAATCATGTCGTCTGCAAACAGGGACAATTTTACTTTCTCTTTTCCTAATTGAATACCCTTTATTTCCTTCTCCTGCCTAATTGCCCTGGCCAGAACTTCCGACACTGTGTTGAATAGGAGTGGTGAGAGAGGGCATCCCTGTCTTGTGCCAGTTTTCAAAGGGAATGCTTCCAGTTTTGCCCATTCAGTATGATATTGGCTGTGGGTTTGTCATAGATAGCTCTTATTATTTTGAAATATGTCCCATCAATACCTAGTTTATTGAGAGTTTTTAGCATGAAGGGTTGTTGAATTTTGTCAAAGGCCTTTTCTGCATCTATTGAGATAATCATGTGGTTTTTGTCTTTGGCTCTGTTTATATGCTGGATTACATTTATTGATTTGCGTATATTGAACCAGCCTTGCATCCCAGGGATGAAGCCCACTTGATCATGGTGGATAAGCTTTTTGATGTGCTGCTGGATTCGGTTTGCCAGTATTTTATTGAGGATTTTTGCATCAATGTTCATCAAGGATATTGGCCTAAAATTCTCTTTTTTGGTTCTGTCTCTGCCAGGCTTTGGTATCAGAATGATGCTGGCCTCATCAAATGAGTTAGGGAAGATTCCCTCTTTTTCTATAGATTGGAATAGTTTCAGAAGGAATGGTACCAGTTCGTCCTTGTACCTCTGGTAGAATTCGGCTGTGAATCCATCTGGTCCTGGACTCTTTTTGGTTGGTAAGCTATTGATTATTGCCACAATTTCAGATCTTGTTATTGGTCTATTCAGAGATTCAACTTCTTCCTGGTTTAGTCTTGGGAGAGTGTATGTGTCGAGGAATTTATCCATTTCTTCTAGATTTTCTAGTTTATTTGTGTAGAGGTGTTTGTAGTATTCTCTGATGGTAGTTTGTATTTCTGTGGGATCGGTGGTGATATCCCCTTTATCATTTTTTATTGTGTCTATTTGATTCTTCTCTCTTTTTTTCTTTATTAGTCTTGCTAGTGGTCTATCAATTTTGTTGATCCTTTCAAAAACCAGCTCCTGGATTCATTAATTTTTTGAAGGGTTTTTTGTGTCTCTATTTCCTTCAGTTCTGCTCCGATTTTAGTTATTTCTGGCCTTCTGCTAGCTTTTGAATGTGTTTGCTCTTGCTTTTCTAGTTCTTCTAATTGTGATGTTAGGGTGTCAATTTTGGATCTTTCCTGCTTTCTCTTGTGGGCATTTAGTGCTATAAATTTCCCTCTACACACTGCTTTAAATGCGTCCCAGAGATTCTGGTATGTTGTGTCTTTGTTCTCCTTGGTTTCAAAGAACATCTTTATTTCTGCCTTCGTTTCGTTATGTACCCAGCAGTCATTCAGGAGCAGGTTGTTCAGTTTCCATGTAGTTGAGCGGTTTTGAGTGAGATTCTTAATCCTGAGTTCTAGTTTGATTGCACTGTGGTTTGAGAGATAGTTTGTTATAATTTCTGTTCTTTTACATTTGCTGAGGAGAACTTTACTTCCAAGTATGTGGTCAATTTTGGAATAGGTGTGGTGTGGTGCTGAAAAGAATGTATATTCTGTTGATTTGGGGTGGAGAGTTCTGTAGATGTCTATTAGGTCCGCTTGGTGCAGAGCTGAGTTCAATTCCTGGGTATCCTTGTTGACTTTCTGTCTTGTTGATCTGTCTAATGTTGACAGTGGGGTGTTAAAGTCTCCCATTATTAATGTGTGGGAGTCTAAGTCTCTTTGTAGGTCACTCAGGACTTGCTTTATGAATCTGGGTGCTCCTGTATTGGGTGCATATATATTTAGGATAGTTAGCTCTTCTTGTTGAATTGATCCCTTTACCATTATGTAATGGCCTTCTTTGTCTCTTTTGATCTTTATTGCTTTAAAGTCTGTTTTATCAGAGACTGGGATTGCAACCCCTGCTTTTTTTTGTTTTCCATTTGCTTGGTAGATCTTCCTCCATCCTTTTATTTTGAGCCTATGTGTGTCTCTGCATGTGAGATGGATTTCCTGAATACAGCACACTGATGGGTCTTAACTCTTTATCCAATTTGCCAGTCTGTGTCTTTTAATTGGAGCACTTAGTCCATTTACATTTAAAGTTAATATTGTTATGTGTGAATTTGATCCTGTCATTATGATGTTAGCTGGTTATTTTGCTCGTTAGTTGATGCAGTTTCTTCCTAGCCTTGATGGTCTTTACATTTTGGCATGATTTTGCAGCGGCTGGTACTGGTTGTTCCTTTCCATGTTTAGTGCTTCCTCCAGGAGCTCTTTTAGGGCAGGCCTGGTGGTGACAAAATCTCTCAGCATTTGCTTGTTTGTAAAGTATTTTATTTCTCCTTCACTTATGAAGCTTAGTTTGGCTGGATATGAAATTCTGGATTGAAAATTCTTTTCTTTAAGAATGTTGAATATTGGCCCCCACTCTCTTCTGGCTTGTAGGGTTTCTGCCGAGAGATCCGCTGTTAGTCTGATGGGCTTCCCTTTGAGGGTAACCCGACCTTTCTCTCTGGCTGCCCTTAACATTTTTTCCTTCATTTCAACTTTGGTGAATCTGACAATTATGTGTCTTGGAGTTGCTCTTCTCAAGGAGTATCTTTGTGGTGTTCTCTGTATTTCCTGAATCTGAACGTTGGCCTGCCTTGCTAGACTGGGGAAGTTCTCCTGGATAATATCCTGCAGAGTGTTTTCCAACTTGGTTCCATTCTCCCCATCACTTTCAGGTACACCAATCAGACCTAGATTTGGTCTTTTCACATAGTCCCATATTTCTTGGAGGCTTTGCTCATTTCTTTTTATTCTTTTTTCTCTAAACTTCCCTTCTCGCTTCATTTCATTCATTTCATCTTCCATCGCTGATACCCTTTCTTTCAGTTGATCGCATCAGCTCCTGAGGCTTCTGAATTCTTCACGTAGTTCTCAAGCCTTGGTTTTCAGCTCCATCAGCTCCTTTAAGCACTTCTCTGTATTGGTTATTCTAGTTATACATTCTTCTAAATTTTTTTCAAAGTTTTCAACTTCTTTGCCTTTGGTTTGAATGTCCTCCCATAGCTCAGAGTAATTTGATTGTCTGAAGCCTTCTTCTCTCAGCTCGTCAAAGTTGTTCTCCGTCCAGCTTTGTTCCATTGCTGGTGAGGAACTGTGTTCCTTTGGAGGAGGAGAGGCGCTCTGCTTTTTAGAGTTTCCAGTTTTTCTGTTCTGTTTTTTTCCCCATCTTTGTGGTTTTATCTACTTTTGGTCTTTGATGATGGTGATGTACAGATGGGTCTGTGGTGTGGATGTCCTTTCTGTTTGTTAGTTTTCCTTCTAACAGACAGGATCCTCAGCTGCAGGTCTGTTGGAGTACCTGGCCCTGTGAGGTGTCAGGCTGCCCCTGCTCGAGGGTGCCTCCCAGTTAGGCTGCTTGGGGGTCAGGGGTCAGGGACCCACTTGAGGAGGCAGTCTGCCCGTTCTCAGATCTCCAGCTGTGTGCTGGGAGAACCACTGCTCTCTTCAAAGCTGTCAGACAGGGACATTTAAGTCTGCAGAGGTTACTGCTGTCTTTTTGTTTGTCTGTGCCCTGCCCCCAGAGGTGGAGCCTGCAGAGGCAGGCAGGCCTCCTTGAGCTGTGGTGGGCTCCACCCAGTTCGAGCTTCCAGGCTGCTTTGTTTACCTAAGCAAGCCTGGGCAATGGCGGGCGCCCCTCCTCCAGCCTCGCTGCCGCCTTGCAGTTTGATCTCAGACTGCTGTGCTAGCAATCAGCGAGACTCCGTGGGCATAGGGCCCTCTGAGCCTGGTGCAGAATATAATCTCGTGGTGCGCCGTTTTTTAAGCCCGTCGGAAAAGCGCAGTATTCGGGTGGGAGTGACCCGATTTTCCAGGTGCCGTCCATCACCCCTTTCTTTGACTAGGAAAGGGAACTCCCTGACCCCTTGCACTTCCCGAGTGAGGCAATGCTTCACTGTGCTTCGGCTCGTGCGCGAGCCACTGTCCTGCACCCACTGTCTGGCACTCCCTAGTGAGATGAACCAGGTACCTCAGATGGAAATGCAGAAATCACCCGTCTTCTGCATTGCTCACGCTGGGAGATGTAGACCGGAGCTGTTCCTATTCGGCCATCTTGGCTCCTCCCCCTCAATTTTATTTATTTATGCTCTTTTCTTTTTTATTTTATTTTCTTCTACTAAATTTGGTTTTGGTTTACTCTTTCTTTGCTAGTTTTCTAAGACACATTGGATATTTATTTGAAGTTTTTCTTGTTTTATATGTAAGAGCTTATAGCTATAAACTTTCCTTTAGTTCTGCTTTTGCTGTATCTCATAAGCTTTGGTATGCTGTATTTCCATTATCTTATGTTTTCAGAAATTTAAAAATGTTCTTTTTTAATTACTTCCTTGACCCATTGGACATTCAGGGGCATATTATTTAAAAACCCTATGTTCATATCGTTTTCAAAATTCTCCTTGTTATTGATTTCAAGTTTTATTTCCATGGTGGTCAGAGAAAGTACTTTATACTATTTCAATTCTTTGAATATTCTAAGAATTGTTTTGTGACCTAAACTTTACTCTACTTTGAAGAGTGATCATTGTGCTGACAAAAAGAATGTGTATTCTGCAATTGTTGCACAATCTTTTCTTTAAATATCTATTAGGTGCATTTGGTCTATATTGCAGATTAAGTCCATTTTTTTTGGTTAATTTTATGGCTAGATGATCTGTCCAATATTGACAATGTGGTGTTGAAGTCTTCAGCTCTAATTGTATTTGAATCTATCTCTTTGTCTATAATAATATTTGCTTTATATATCTGGGTGCTCCAGTGTTGTGTTGAGTGCTTATATATTTACATTGTTCCTTTTAGTGAAAGTGATTTTCTCTCCTGGCATATTGTAATTTCCTGCTTTTATTTTTTTGTACCTGTTGTAATGCTTTTAGATTTGAGGTTGCCATGAAGCTTGCCCATACTATCTTACAACTCGTTATTTTAAACAGATTAAAACTTAACCCTAATTGCATCAAAATAGATTAAAACTTAACCCTAATTGCATCAACAAAGTAACTAACAAAAAGTAAACTAATCTCAACCTTTTAACTTTGTCTCCCCACTTTTAAACTTGTTATTGTTTCTATTTATATTGTACTATATACATCTCAAAATGTTCTTGTAGTTATTATTTTTGATTGGTACATCTTTTAGTCCTTCTACTTAAGATAAGTGTAGTTTACACACTACAATTACAGTGCTGTAATATTCTGTTTTTCTGTGTACTTACTATTATGAGCGAGTTTTATACCATCAGATGATTTCTCACTGCTCATTAACATCCTTTCCTTTCAGATTGTGGAACTCCCTTTAGCATTTTTTTGTAGGACAGGTCTGGTATTGATGAAATTCTTCAGCTTTTGTTTTTCTGGGGATGTCTTTACTTCTACTTTATATTTGAAGACTATATAATATATATATTAACCTGATATACTATTCCAGGGTAACTTTTTCCTTTCAGTACTTTAAATATGTTTTGCTACTCTCTCCTGGCCTGTAACGTTTCCACTGAATAGTCTGCCGCCAGACATATTGGACCTCCATTGTATGTTATTTTTCTTTTCTCTTGCTGCTTTTGGGATCCTTCCTTTATTCTTGACCTGTGGAAATTTGATTATTAAATGCTTCGAGGTAGTCTTCCTTGGGTTAACTCTGCTTGGTGTTCCATAACCTTCTTGTATTTGAATGCTAATTTATTTCTTTAGGTTTGGAAACTTTTCTGAAATTATTATCCTATTGAATAACTTTTTATCTCTATATCTCGTTCTAACTCCTCCTTAAGATCATTAACTCTTAGGTTTGCCATTTTGAGGCTATTTTCCAGAACTTGTAGACATGCTACATTTTTAAAATTTTTTGTCTCTTTTGACTGTGTATTTTAAAATAGACTGTCTTCAAACTTAGTAATTTTTTCTTCTGCGAGATCAATTCTTTATTAAAAATTTTTAATTTAATTCATAAAACTCTTTAAAATTTTTGTGGGTACATAGTAGGTGTATATATTTAAGAGACATGCATTCTTAAGCATGTCAGTTGCTTTTTGACAAATGCATGTCAGTGCATTTTACAAGTCTAGAATTTTGGCTTGAATCTTGTTAGTTATTTTAATTTATTTGTTAAATTTATCTAATAGAAGTCTGAACTCCTTTTCTATGTTATTTTCAATTTATTTGACTTGCCTCAAAACAGTTATTTATATTTTTCTGTCTAAATGGTCACACATCTCTGTTTCTTCAGGATTGTCCCCTGGTGCCTTATTTAGCTCATTTGAAAAAATCATGTTTTCTAGATGCTCTTGATGTTAATGAATGTTTGTCACTGCCTGGACATTGAAAAGTTATGTATTTATTTTAGTCTTTGCAAGCTGGGCTTGTTTGTACCCATCCTTCTTGGGCAGGCTTTCCAAGTATTGGAAGGCACGTGGGTTTTGTATTCTATGTTTTTTGTCACTGCAGCCATATCTATATTAGGGGCTGCCATAAGCCCAGTAAAGTTTTATTTATTTATTTATTTATTGTAGACTTGTAGAGGCACCACTTTTGTAGTCTTGAATAAGATCCTGAAGATTTATTTGGGTCACTAGGCAGAAACTCCTGTTTTTTTCCTTACATTATCCCAAATATACAGTGTCTGCCATTGCTGAGATGTCTGGAGCTCGGGGAGGAGTGATACAAGTAACCCTATGGCCACGAACACTGGAACTGCACTAGGTCAGACCTGAAGAAAGCACAGCACTGGGTCTTGCCAAAGGGCAACATTAACCACTACCTGGCTATTGCCCATGTTCACTAAAGGCCCTAGGGCTCTACATTCAGCAGGTGGCATAGCCAGCCAGGCTCAAGTCTTTCCCTTTAGGGTGGTGAGTTCCCCCAGTCCCTGCATGAGTCCAGAGAAGCTGCCCAGAAGCCAGGGCCTAGAGTTGGAAAACTCAGGAATCTATCTATTGCTGTGTTCTATCAGCAGCTGAGCTGGCACCCAAGCCACAAGACAAAGTGTTTCTCATTCTTGCTGCCCCTTTCCACAAGCAGAGGATTTTCCCCCTATGTCCATCACCACCACAGGCCCATTAGGAGTATTGCCAGGGTACCAACAATGTTCATTTATGGCCTGAAGACTCTTCAGTCAGCTTGTGATGAATGCTGCCAGTGCTAGGCTCCGCTCTCACCTAGGGTAGGACCAGAGATGTTATCCAAGAGCCAAGGCCTGGAATTGGGGACCCCAAAAGCCTGTTTGGTGTTCTTCCCCTCTGTGGATGAGCTGATACCTAAGCTCAGGACAATGTCATCTTTACTCTTCCCTCTGTTTTTCTCAAGCAAAAAGGGCCACTCCTCATAGACACCACAGCTGTGATTATGCTGGGTCAGCCTGAGGCTAGCATGTCTCAGAGTCTCACTCAAGGCTCATGGTGTGTTCTACCTGGTTGTCACTGCTGATTTTTCAGGGACTAAGACCTCCCTAGCTAGCAGGTAATGAATCTTGCCAGCGCTTGGTCTTTTCCGTCAATGCAGTGGGTTCACTTCTGGCCCAGTGTATGTTGGAAATGCCATCTGGGAGCTAGGGCCAGGAATGGGGGCCTAATGACTCTGCCCAGTGCTCTATCTTACTATGATTGAGCTGGTATCTAAGTTGCAAGACAAAGTTCTTTTTACTCTTCCCTCTCCTCTCCTCGACAAGAAGGAAGAATGTCTTTCAGAGCTTTGAACTACGCTTTCTGGGGTTCGGGGAAAGGTGACAAATGTACTTCCTTAGCCATCCTGGCTGGTGTCTTACTGTGTCATATGCCACCCACCTTCCCAGTCCACTGGCTGTCAGCCCAGCATAGCTCTAGGACTTGCCTGGAAGTTGCAGTTCTTTTGGCCTATGAAAGCCTTTCAAGTTTATTTAGGATCTCAGAGCTCTTTAGCACACAACAGTGAGGCTTGCTTAAACTCAAGTTCCAACTACTGGCAATGGGCAATTGTCCTCTGGCAATGATTGATCTAAATGCTCCCTCTGTGGGCACCATCTGAGTTCTCCCTGGTGTTGGCAGCACTGTGTTCCAATGCAAAGTCCTCCAATCATTGTGCTCTCCCTCCCCAACATGCATAGATTCTTCGTTTGCACCTGCAGCCACTGCCAGAGGATGTAGGAGGGGTGGTATTGGCAATTCAAGACTGTCTTTTCTACCTTCTTCAGTGCCTCTTTCAGTAATGTGAAGTAAAAACCAAAAGTAGTGACAAAATTATTTTAATATGTTATTTAATTAAATTCACCTAAAATTTTGAATACTCATTTAATACTCATTGCTATCTTCTTTGAATCAACTTTTTCCAATGTAAAATTTAGAGATTTATCTGAGTATAATATTTTAATTTTCCATTAGTAGTATTATGTGCATGTGTGTGTATTATTACAACAATAATGAACAAATGCTGTTTTTCCTATCTGCTAGAATCTAATTGCATCTATTTTATAGTTACATTTAAAAAATCTTAAAGCCCCTAAAGGATTTTTCAATCTATCTATAACTCTGATATATTTTCCTAGTTATCAGGAAGGCAAAGTGACATTGGAGAGAAAGTATAGATTTTTGTAGTCAGAAAATCAGTGTTTAAATGCTCTTTGTTTGAGTTACAATCTTTGTAACCTCAGTTATTTAATATCACTAAAACTAGGTTTCTTCACCCATAAGGTGTGGAAATTAATATCTAACTCCTGCATTCTCTAATTGTTGGATTGGCCATTCTAATAAACAAAGCATTTGTCCACTTTGCCACATGATTTGTGGATTCAATGATAATTAGCCTTCAAATATTTCTTCCATCGTGTATTAGTCAGGTTTCTCTAGAGGGACAGGACTAATAGGATAGATGTATATATGAAAGGGAGTTTGTTAAGAAGTATTGACTCACACAATCACAAGGTGAAGTCCCACAATAGGTCATCTGCCAGCTGAAGAGCAAGAGAGACAGTCTGAGTCCCAAAACCTCAAAAGTAGGGAAGCCAACAATGCAGCCTTCAGTCTGTGGACTAAGGCCTGAGAGCCCCTGTCAAACCACTGGTGTAGGTCCAAGAGTCCAAAAGCTGAAGAACTTGGATTCTGATGTTTGAGGCAGGAAGCATCCAGCACGGGAGAAAGATGGAGGCCAGAAGATTCAGCAAGTCTGCTCTTTCCATTCCTGCTTTTATGCTGGCAGCTTATTAGATGGTGCCCACCCAGATTGAGAGTGGGTCTGTCTCTCTCAGTCCACTAACTCAAATGTTAATCTTTTTTTGGCAACACTCTCACAGTCACACCCAGAAGCAATACTTTGCATCCTTCAATCCAATCAAGTTAACACTCAATATTAACCATCACACATAGCTATCACCGTAGTGCTTAAAATTTCTATATTTACATATGAATTATTGATGATAAAACTTTTGAAGCTATCATCAGATAACAAATGTTTAGTTGAAATATTTTTGTCCTGTAAAACCTTACTACTCAAACTGCTCCCAAATTAGCAGGCATGGACATCCCCATGGGGTTGTTATAAATGTAGAATTGCAGGCTCCAACCCAGCGCTACTCAATGAAAATATGCATTTTAGCAAGATACCAAGTGAGTCATATGCACATTAAAGTTTGAGAAGCACTTATCTAAATGACTCCTGAAAAAATGGAATACTTTTGACATATGAAAGTGGTTCAAGTCTGGGCAAGAGAGAAGAGGATTACCATAGTAGAACACCTTGAACATTCAGCTGACAGCAGAAAAACAAAGACACCAAGGAGAGGAGACAGAAGGAGGGATCCAGAAGGGATATAAAACCTATTTCACAATTCCGCGGAAATATATATCTTTCATGACAAAAGAGAGTTAGTAATGTGATGAAAAATACACACACACACAGAAAGCATAGCTTCTATGCTATGGGAACTATATTTCATTTTTATTTAAATCTTTATTGTTTCAAAAGAACAATCTCTCATAAGCTTGTAAAACTTCCTGAGGCCCTAGGACTATGATCAAATTTACATGTTCACACTCATCCAGCAAAGCATAAAATTCCTTATTACTTCTAGTATATAAATCTAGGACATATTCTACCTTAAAAGACTTATTTTTGATAACTCATTGACATTAAGCTACACTTATTAAAAGAAAATTGATATCATCTAATCAATGAAACATTTATTTTTGTATAAATCAAAACCTTTTTGAAGTTTTAATAATCATTCTATTTTATAGCAGAGCTCTTTCTTTCTCTTTCTTTCTTTTTCTTTCTTTCTTTCTTTTTCTTTCTTCTTTCTTTTCTTTCTTCTTCTTTTTTTTTTTTACTTTAGTCCATGATGTGAATTAGTTCACTAGATGAGAACAAGTAAAAAATAATCAAACTTTGGAAGTGACCTTCAGAAGGTATACTTGAAGAAGTGCCAAGAAGCTTTCTGTTTTAATGATGATGTCTCAGTGATTCACAGCACGATATCATAAGCATTACTTCTGGAGAAGGCATATCATCTTCTTTACTATTGTAAAATGGATAGAGTGTAAGAGTGTGAAGCAAGATAGAGCAAATAAGAAAACATAGTATAGATCCTCTATTAATGACAACAGAATATATAGAAGCCATATGAGTTCATACAATTGTATTTCTATATATCTATGTATTTATAGAAACCATAGATTTCCAGTGTATACTTTAATAAGTTTTGTAGTTCCAAAGGAGTTATCCTGATAGCAGTACATTCACAGGCAATTTTATTATTTGCAGATTAGTGAAAGTAGTTACATCTTTTCAACAAATATATCATATATCACCTACTATGCTCAAGTAACTGAGCTAAGCATTGTGGAGTGTACAAATTCTCTAAGAAAAAGCCTTTATGCGACGAGGGTCTAATAGGGGTGATGCATTTCATTCTAACACAAGGTATAAGTGCTTTAAAAGAAATGTTTCAGGAGTTCTCAGAGTGAGAAATCAGTTCTAGCTTGGGAGAAGTCCAAGAGCACAATGGAAGAAGTGGACTTGGAATAAAACCTTTAAAATAAAGATTGTAATTGGCAGACATATCAGGAGATGACATTCTAAGCTGAAATAATAGTATGTACAGAGAAACAGGAAAGGTAGATAATATTTCAGGAACAGCTATAGCCCTGTTTATGTGTAGGGTATAAGGGTGAGAAAGGGCTGGAAAAGTGTATTGAGACAATAGTTTTTAAACCAATTTACACATCAAAATCTTCTGGGGTACTTTTAATAATATTAAAATTCTGGGTCCCATTTCCAGAGTTTTCGATTCAGGATGTCTGGAATGGGGACCCCGGAAATGTTTTTTTGTTGCAAATGCTCTCCCAGGTGATCTGAGGCCCAGTGTTTTGAATCCACTGAGTTAGGGACAGAATGCAAAGGTGGATAGACACTGAAGCAATTTAAGAAAGACTACTCTGGCCTTCATGATCAGAAAGTTTTGGAGAGCAAAAATGGTATAAGCACAAATATTAAAATTGCCCAACTGTAAGACAACAGCCCATAATTGTGAGTAGCAACAATGGAAATGTAAAGGAACATCATGATGTGTGAGGCATTGCTCAAAAGAAGGATAAAATGTAGTAACTGATTGGAGGTAAGAGAAGTCTTGGGAGAAGACAAGATCAATGATGATTATGAAATTCAAGTTTAGGTGGCTGAATGAACAGAAACACCATTAATCTAACTTAGAACATAAAAATTCTCTTCTTTATTAAGAGAAAATCTAATATAAGCCTTTCCAGACACCTCTGGATTTAGGTTAAATTTCCCTATTATACAGTGTTATAGAACCATATACCTTTCCTTGCAGTGCATCTAATAATGTAACTTTATATTAAATTGTATGGCAATTGTATTAATATCTATGTGACTTCCTATACTATGAAGTCTATAACAACAGGGAACCACAATATCTGGTGCATCTTAGACACTGAATATGCATTTTGTTGATTCAACTTTTTCATCTAAGTGGATAAGTAGACAAATAGATGACTTTTTATTTATTATTATTATACTTTAAGTTTTCGGATACATGTGCACGACGTGCAGGTTTGTTACATATGTATACACGTGCCATGTTGGTGTGCTGCACCCATTAACTCGTCATTTAGCATTAGGTATATCTCCTAATGCTATCCCTCCTCCCTCCCCCCACCCCACAACAGTCCCCAGTGTGTGATGTTCAGGTGTCCACGTGTTCTCATTGTTCAGTTCCCACCTATGAGTGAGAACATGCGGTGTTTGGCTTTTTGTCCTTGCAATAGTTTGCTGAGAATGATGGTTTCCAGCTTCATCCATGTCCCTACAAAGGACATGAATTCATCCTTTTTTATGGCTGCATAGTATTCCATGGTGTATATGTGCCACATTTTCTTAATCCAATCTATCATTGTTGGACATATGGGTTGGTTCCAAGTCTTTGCTATTGTGAATAGTGCCGCAATAAACATACGTGTGCATGTGTCTTTATAGCAGCATGATTTATAACCCTTTGGGTATATACCCAGTAATGGGATGGCTGAGTCAAATAGTATTTCTAGTTCTAGATCCTTGAGTAATCGCCACACTGTCTTCCACAGTGGTTGAACTAGTTTACAGTCCCACCAACAGTGTAAAAGTGTTCCTATTTCTCCACATCCTCTCCAGCACCTGTTGTTTCCTGACTTATTAATGATCACCATTCTAACTGGTGTGAGATGGTATCTCATTGTGGTTTTGAGTTGCATTTCTCTGACGACCAGTGATGATGAGCATTTTTTCATGTGTTTTTTGGGGGCATAAATGTCTTCTTTTGAAAAGTGACTGTTCATGTCCTTTGCCCACTTTTTGATGGGGTTGTTTGATTTTTTTCTTGTAAATTTGTTTAAGTTTTTTGTGGATTCTGGATATTAGCCCTTTGTCAGATGAGGAGATTGCAAAATTTTTTTCCCATTCTGTAGGTTGCCTGTTCACTTTGATGATAGTTTCTTTTGCTGTGCAGAAGCTCTTTAGTTTAATTAGATCCCATTTGTCAATTTTGTCTTTTGTTGCCATTGCTTTTGGTGTTTTAGACATGAAGTCCTTGCCCATGCCTATGTCCTGAATGGTACTGCCTAGGTTTTCTTCTAGGGTTTTTATGGTTTTAGGTCTAACATTTAAGTCTTTAATCCATCTTGAATTGATTTTTGTATAAGGTGTAAGGAAGGGATCCAGTTTCACCGTTCTACATATGGCTAGCCAGTTTTCCCAGCACCATTTATTAGATAGGGAATCCTTTCCCCATTTCTTGTTTTTGTCAGGTTTGTCAAAGATCAGATGGTTGTAGATGTGTGGCATTATTTCTGAGGGCTCTGTTCTGTTCCATTGATCTATATCTCTGTTTTGGTACCAGTACCGTGCTGTTTTGATTACTGTAGCCTTGTAGTATAGTTTGAAGTCAGGTAGCGTGATGCCTCCAGCTTTGTTCTTTTGGCTTAGGATTGTCTTGGCAATGCAGGCTCTTTTTTGGTTTCATATGAACTTTAAAGTAGTTTTTTCCAATTCTGTGAAGAAAGTCATTGGTAGCTTGATGGGGATGGCATTGAATCTATAAATTACGTTGGGCATTATGGCCATTTTCACAATATTGATTCTTCCTACCCATGAGCATGGAATGTTCTTCCATTTGTTTGTGTCCTCTTTTATTTCCTTGAGCAGTGGTTTGTAGTTCTCCTTGAAGAGGTCCTTCACATTCCTTGTAATTTGGATTCCGAGGTATTTTATTCTCTTTGTAGCAATTGTGAGTGGGAGTTCACTCATGATTTGGCTCTCTGTTTGTCTGTTATTGGTGTATAAGAATGCTTGTGATTTTTGCACAATGGTTTTATATCCTGAGACTTTGCTGAAGTTGCTTATCAGCTTAAGGAGATTTTGGGCTGAGATGATGGGGTTTTCTAAATATACAATCATGTCATCTGCAAACAGGGACAATTTGACTTCCTCTTTTCCTAATTGAATACCCTTTATT
The DNA here is from genome assembly GCF_000001405.40 of Homo sapiens. Taxonomy (NCBI): domain Eukaryota; kingdom Metazoa; phylum Chordata; class Mammalia; order Primates; family Hominidae; genus Homo; species Homo sapiens. The sequence continues at coordinate 116,530,521 of NC_000023.11, forward strand.
TCTTTCTCCTGCCTGATTGCCCTGGCCAGAACTTCCAACATTATGTTGAATAGGAGTAGTGAGAGAGGGCATCCCTGTCTTGTGCCAGTTTTCAAAGGGAATGCTTCCAGTTTTTGCCCATTCAGTATGATATTGGCTGTGGGTTTGTCATAAATAGCTCTTATTATTTTGAGATGCATTCCATCAATACCAAGTTTATTGAGAGTTTTTGGCACGAAGGGTTGTTGAATTTTGTCAAAGGCCTTTCCTGCATCTATTGAGATAATCATGTGTTTTTTGTCTTTGATTCTGTTTATGTGATGGATTACGTTTATTGATTTGCGTATGTTGAACCAGCCTTGCATCCCAGGGATGAAGCCAAGTTGATCTTTGTGGATAAACTTTTTGATGTGCTGCTGGATTCGGTTTGCCAGTATTTTATTCAGGATTTTCGCATCAATGTTCATCAGGGATATTGGTCTATAATTCTCTTTTTTTGTGTGTGTCTTTGACAGGCCCAACCAAAAAAAGTCCAGGACCAGATGGATTCACAGCCGAATTCTACCAGAGGTACAAAGAGGAGCTGGTATCATTCCTTTTGAAACTATTCCAATCAATAGAAAAAGAGGGAATCCTCCCTAACTCATTTTATGAGGCCAGCATCATCCTGATAAGGAATAATTTTCAACCCAACATGTGCTGTGCCTTTATGTTTCTTTTCTATTCTTCTTGTAACTTAACAATTTTTTCTTTAGCTCACCTTTTGTTTTCCCATACTGTTGGGTCTGAATATTTTTTCCTTCCAAAATTTATATGTTTAAAGTTTTTCTCCAAGATATTAGAAGATGGGGCATTTGGGAGGTGATTAGTGTAGGAGGGCTCTGCCTTTGTGAATGGAATGAATGCCCTTATGAAAAACAGCCTCAGAGAGCTGCTCTCCTTTCCACCATGTGAGGACACATAAAAGGAACAAGCTATGAGAAACAGGCATTCACCAGACACCGAATCTTTTGGCACCTTGATCGTGGACCTCCCACTCTTCAGAACTGTAAGCAGTAAAGTTCAATTATTTATAAATTACCCAGTCTAAGTAAGGCATTTTTGTATAGAAGCCTGAATAGACTAAGACATTTACCTTGCCATAGATAGCTAAAAAAAGACAACTAGCATGTTTAATATTGTATCTAGAAATGCCATTAGCCAGAGCCATGAGTTAGTTTATTTATGCATATATCCTATTATTCAAGTTTACTGAAGTAATATTTTGCTAATGGTTCTGTTACCATATAACACGGATTACTCTTTGTTCCAGATTTAAATAATAGTTCTTCACTGTTTTTCCAGTTTTCACTATCTGATTAGCACTCCTCAAGTCTTTGCTAGCAGATTCCACTGTTTTTCTAGACTTCGCCTGCAGCCTGGTCCTATAAATAATTTCTTATGTTTTAGAGTTTTATTACAACATCACCATGTTTTTACATACAAATTTCTATATGTTATCTATTGTTAAGTAATAATCACCTTGAAAGTTACTGGCTTAAAACATAAATATATACAAACTAACATTTCTATTATCACAAAAGACAACTTTGTATACTTTTTTGCTCATACATCCTCTGAAATCTAGGTGGAGGTTCCCTAACCTCAATTCTTGACTTCTACACACTCGCATGACCCACATCACGTGGAAGCTGCCAAGGGTTGGGGCTTGAACCCTCTGAAGCAATGGCCTGAGTTGTACCTTGGCTCCTTTTAGCCACTGCTGGAGCTGAAGCAGCTAGGATGCAGGACATCTTATCCCAAGGCTCCACAGAGAAGGAGGGTCCTGGGCCTGGCTCGGAAACCATTTTTCCCTCCTGGCCTCCAGGTCTGCGATGGGAGGGGCTGCTGTGAAGGTCTCTGACATGTGCTGGAGACATTTTCCCCATTCTCTTTGCAATTAGCATTTGGCACCTCATTACTTTTATTATTTATTTATTTATTTTGAGACACAGTCTCACTTTGTCACCCAGGCTGGAGAGCAGTGGTGCATTCTTGGCTCACTGCAACATCCACCTCCTGGGTTCAAGTGATTCTCCTGCCTCAGCCTCCTGAGTAGCTGGGACTGCAGGTGCATGTCACTATGCCTAGCTAATATTTGTATTTTTAATAGAGATGGTTTTTCACCATGTTGGCCAGGCTGTCTTGAACTCCTGACCTCAAGTTATCTGCCTGCCTTTGGCTATTAGGGTGCTGGGATTACAGGCATGAGCCACCATGCCCATTCTGTTCTTCATTACTTCTGCAAATTTCCCCCCAGAAAATGAGTTTCTCTTTTCTATTGCATCATCAGGCTGCAAATTCTCCAAACTTTTATATTCTGCTTCCCTTTTAAACATAAGTTCCAATTCCAAATCATATCTTTGTGAACACATAAAACTGAATGCTTTTAAGAGCACCAAAGCCACCTCTTGGTTGCTTTGCCATTTAGAAATATTTTCCACCATATACTCTAAATCATCTTCCTCAAGTTCAAAGTTCCACAGATCTCTAGGGGAGGGGCAATATGCCACCAGTCTGTTTGCTAAAACACAGCAAGAGTCACCTTTAATGCAGTTCCCAACAAGTTCCTCATCTCCATCTGAGACCACCTGATCCTGGACTTCATTGTCCATATCACTATCAGCATTTTAGTCAAAGCCATTCACCAAGTCCCTGGAAGTTCCAAACTTTCCCACATCTTTCTCTCTTCTGATTCCCTCCAAGTCTCTATGATGTTCCAAACTTTCCCATATTTTTCTGTCTTCTTCTGAGCCCTCCAAACTGTTTCAACTTCTGCCTGTTTCCCAGTTCCAAAGTTGCTTCCACATTTTTGGGTATCCTTACAGCAGCACCCCACTCTCTGCAGTACCAATTTACTGTGTTAGTCGGTTCTCATGCTGCTATAATAAACTGTCTGAGACTGCGTAATTTATACAATTAACAATGAGAAGACGTATAACCTGTGAAACAATGTGCAAAATGTATTTTAATAGACATTTCTTCACATATATTCAAAAGACCAATAAGCACTATTAAAAGATGCTTAACATCTTAGTTATTAAAATGCAAATCAAAACCAAAATGAAATATTACTTTGTATCTACTAGGATGGCTATGATTTAAAAAAGAAACAATAACAAGTTTGTTCAGAGTGTTGAGAGTTTGGAGCCTTCATACATTGGTGGTGAGAATGTGAAATGGTGCAGCCATTTTGGCAAACAATTTTTCAGTTATTCAAAAGTAAACATAGTTACCATATGTCTCATAAATTCCATATGTGTGTGTGTGTGTGTGTGTTATATGTACACACACATACAGTTTTCCTTCTATAGCTGTGAGTTCTGCATTCATGGATTCAACAAAACACAGACTGAAAATATTATTGGAAAAATGGATGACCGCATCTGCATTAAACATGTGTAGATTTTTCTTTTCATAATTCCCTAAAGAATACAGTATAAAAAGTATTTATATAACTTTTACATTCTATTGGCTATTAGAAGTAATCTAGAGATTATTTAGAGTATACTGGAGGATATGCATAGATTATATATAAATATCACATGATCTTATGTAAGGAACTTGAGCATTGATAAATTATGGTAATTTCAGTGGGTTCTAGAACTAATCTTCCAAGGATACTGTATGTATGTATATGTGTGTATATATATATATATATACACACACACACACACACACACATATATGCCCATACACACACATACATGCACACATACACATAATCTTGTCTCTCTGTCTATATATAACATATATATAAATTTAAAAATGTATTAACATAAAAATTCACACACAAATGTTCACAACAGCATAATTTCCAATAGTCTAAAAATGAAAACAAGCCAAGTGTCCAGTTGATCAATGTATAAACAAAATATGGTATATCCATACAATGGAATGTTGTTTGGTCATAAAAAATAAAAATGAAATACTGATACATGTTATAACATGCATGAACCTAGAAAACATTGTGGCAATTTCAAGAAGCCAAGCTTCCAAAACCCACATATTGTTTGATCCTATTTATATTTAATGTCCAGGATTGGAAAATTCATCAAGATCAAAAGTAGATTGGTGTTTATAAGAGATTGAAGAAATAGAGAGTGAAGAGTGGCTCTTAGTGAGCATGAATTTTGGTTTGGGGGAAATTAACATATTCTGAAACTAGATAGTAGTGATAAATGAACAACTCTGTGAGTATAATAAAAACACCATTTGCAGATTTTAAAAACGGTACATTTATAGTACGTCACTAACATATTTATAAAAATAATTAAAAATCAATTTCACATAAAACAGAAATGTATAGTCTTAAATGTAGAATTTAAAAAAGGAGAAATGCTAAAATCCAAGAAGTTATGCATGCATTTTATAAAAATTAAAAATAAAACTACAAGTTAAACCCAAAATATAAAGAAAATAACATTAGGAATTGTAATTAATGACATAGAAAACAAACATAAAATAGAGGATCAGTAATCTAAAAGTTTTTTTCTTTTTGAGGATTAATACAATTATTGAATGTTGATTATATCTATAGAGGAGAAATGAAGGCCTACGTAAGAAAGATGAATTTTACAGATTTCAAATACTAATATATCAAAAAGATTCTAACTGGTTACTAAGAACATCTTTATTCAAATAAACTTGAGAATTTTAGATGAAATAACCAAGATTTTTGAAAAATACTACCAAAAAACAGCACACTCTTGAAGAAGGTAAAGATGGGCTAACTTTTTGTACTAGATATTTACAGCTATAACATTTAAGGTATGTTGACTTAAAAGTCAGAATGAAGGTTACTTTTTGGGAAAAAGGAGGAAATAGTGATTGGAAAGAGGCTTGAAGGAGTCTTCCGGAATGCTGATAATTTTCAGTTTTTTTACTTGATTAGTGGTTACAAAGTGTTTATTTGTGACAATTTATTTTGTTGTTCATTTACATTTTGGCCATGTGTACTATAGTTTCATTAAAATAATTTTTAAAAAATTCTATTACAACATGGTTACTATAGTTAATGTATTGTGTGCTTGAAATTTGCTAAAAGAGTATATCTCAAGTATTCTCACTACTAAATAAAAAGAGTATATGTGAGGTTACAAATACATTAATTAGCTTGATTGTGGTAATCATTTCACAATATATATGTATATCAAATCATCACATTGTACACCTTAAATATGTACAATTTTTATTTGTCAATCTTAATAAATGTAAAAGAAATCTACAGAGAACTTTAGAAAATAACGAAATCACTCACTGTAAAGTCATTTGAAATTATTCTTGTGTAAGAGTGATCTAGTCAATAAATTATTACGGAGTCAGACTCATTTATTTCAGTATATTTTTCATTTTTAGTTATTTTTTACCTTTCTTTTCACTAAATTGTATCTCAAATATATAAAGCATTTGTATATTTCCAAATTGAAGTCATGCATTAATTTGCATATTCCAAAATTAAAATTATATATGAAGAAATATTTCCTCACTCATTTTGTGTAAAATTTCCTCACTCATTTTGTGTAAAATTTCTTATACAAATTTTAGCAAATTATGTATATTGATTTACACATTTGTTTTCTGTTTTCCATTTTATTATGAGGATCGTTTAAAATTAGTTAATAGAGATTTTGCTCTTTAGTTTACACAGGTGCATAGTACTCCCTTGTGTTCTGTTACATATAATGTTTTAAAGCAAATTAACCAGTCTTCTATCAAAGGATATTTGTTTTTTTCCAATATTTTGCCATTATAAATTATTTCACTTTGAGGGTTCTTGTGAATAAGTGATTGTGAATATTTGTCAGTGTATCTTTGGGATAAATTCTTAGAATTGGGACTGGTGTGTCATTTATAATTCTAAATACTGCTAAATCATTCTTTAGATGCAATGGCATAATTATGTTTTTCCATCAACTACGCATGTGTGTGCCTATTTTCCTATATTCCTACCAATCTTTCTAAATATGCTGCCAAATACTAGGCTTTTGCTAATATATGTGAGAAATAGTATTTCAATATAGTTATAATTTGCATTTACCTTATTATGTATAAAATTGAGCATGATTTTATGTGTTTCAGGGCGATTTTTTTCTCCTTATGGGAACTACCTGTTCATAGTTTTGACTTATTTTTCTATTATGTTGTTGGTCTGTCCTTATTAGGATTTATTTATTAGGGATATATTACACACTTTGTGATATAATGTGTATTTTTATATTTTTATTTGTATTGTTGTTTTGTTTATGGCACTTTTCATTGCTGATAATAAGTTTTTTCTTATTCCCAGGTTATATTGGAATACATCTATATTTACTTTTGTACTTGTATGGTTACACTATTTTCACATTTAAATTTCTGACCAATTTGGAATTGGATTAAGTAATATATTGATCCGATTTTTTTTGACGAAGTACTTACACAGTCATCCAAATATTTACTTTTAAAGTCCATCTTTCTCCCATTGACTTGATATGCCCCATTCTCTCTTAAGTTGGCCTCTCAGTATCTTTCTCTCTTTCTATCAATATATCCATATATGTCATATATACATGAACACACACTGCTAGTCTGCTTTTGGACTCTATATGCTCCATTTTCTGCCTATTAATACCAATATAGTATACTGCCTTAATTATAGAGTATTCATATGTTTTATTACCTGGTAGGGTTAACAACTCTCCAACACTCCTTTCCCTCTGCACCTACATTGTACTTCTGTATTTTTTTTATATCCTTGCTTATTTATTCTCATACGTATTTTATAATGAACACTTCTAGCTCTTTAATATTTTAGTATTTTTATTAGGCTCTCATCACATTTATAAATTAAATTGAAAATTTTTATTAAAGTAAAAAACACATAATGTAAAACTTACCATCTTAATCAGATTTAGGTGTACAGTATTAGAATGTTAACTATATGCAGACTGATGTGTTACAGATCTCTAGAACTTTTTCATTTTGCAAAACTGAATGTTTATATCCATTGAGCAACAACTCCCCTTTCCCTGTTCTCCAAGTCCCTGGCAACCACTATTTTACTTTCTGTTTCTAAGGGTTTGGCTACTTTAGATACCTCATATAAGTGGAATAATGCAATATTTGTCTGAATTTAAAATTTTGTGATGTTAAGACTACCTGACCAACCATATGGTAAGTCTTTTCATTTGTTCATCCACTTCTTTTCCATCTTTCATGTGTGTTTTATGGTTTCCTCATGATAGTTTTGAACATAACTCTCAATTTTTCAAAAGATATTTCATTTTGTTGCTAGTATAAAGAAGTTACCTTCTATTACTAGTATTCTGAGTGTCTTATCATAAAATAATGCTGCATTTTGTCAAATGCATTTTTATGCATCAATTGAGGTTATTATTTTTCCTTTATTCTATAAGTGCAGTGTAATACATTGATTATAATATGTTGAAGTTCCCTTGCATTCCTGGGTAAATTTCATTTGTTCATGATGAATACTCATCTTAATATACTTTTGGATTGCATTTGCTGGTATTTTGTTGACTTTTGCATCTGCGTTAACTGGAGATGACCGGGCTGTTGTTTTCATGAGGAGTCTTTGTCTGGCTTTGTTATAAAGGTAATTCTATCCTTACATAATAAGTTAGGATGTGTTCTTTACTCATACTTTTTGTGAGAGTTTGAGATGACTTGGTCCTGGGCTTTCCTTTGTTGGAAAATTTTTGATTATTAAACGATTTATGGTACTTGGTACAGATTTCTTCAGATTATTCTAGGATGCATTCATTGATACAAGGAGTTTACAAATACGCATGTTAAAAAGACTACTCTTAGGCCTGGCGCGGTGGCTCACGCCTGTAATCCCAGCACTTTGGGAGGCCCAGGCAGGTGGATCACCTGAGGTAATGAGTTCCAGACCAGCTTGGTCAACATGGTGAAACCCTGTCTCTACTAAAAATACAAAAAATGAGCCAGGCATGGGGGCAGGCACCTGTAATCCCAGCTACTTGGGAGGCTGAGGCAGGAGAATTGCTTGAACCCGGGAGGTTGAGGTTGCAGTGAGCAGAGATAGCGCAAATGCACTCCAGCCTGGGTGACAGAGCGAGACTCTGTCTCAAAAAAACAAAACAAAACAAAACAAAACAAAACAAAAACCAAAACAAAACAAAAAAACAAAAAAAAAACCCACTCCTTTTTCCTTTAGCAGTGATTCTTAACATTTTGGGTGGTTACAAGCTTTTTGAGAATTTATGAAAGCTACAAATCCTTTCTCAGGAAAATGTACATATACATATACTCAAAAGCGTGGAAACTCTTCACAATTTGGCCTCAACCTAACTGTCTAACATTATATCTTTCAAATTATTATCACTGTCCTTAGTTTTTACCACATTTTCTGTAACATATATCTACTGTATCTACTCTCCAGCCACAATTTTTTAAGAACACAGCATGTCACTATAGTAGTGCAGGGTCTTTATCTAGTATGATCTCTCCGTTGTATTCCTATATATCTAGTTTTGAAAATGCAGGTAAGACTTCATTGATGAAGCCATCATTCATTTGCTCACTCAGGTTTCTAGCTGTGAACTCCTATGGCAAATTGTATAAAAACTTTTCCAAAATAAAATGTATTGATTGCATTATGATATTTATATGACTCTCTCTTTACCTTCTGCTATTCCAACTTGGAACTCCTAAAGGCAAGTATTATGTCTTATTTCCCTAAATTCGTATTTTTAAAGTTACTTGAATGCATAAATGAATGCATTAATTAATTGTTTGACCAATGGCAGTAAATAATGACAAAGATTCATAAATTAATCTACCATTGTATCTGACAGGTGTTGTTGGACTATTAAGATGTGCTACAACAATCAGTATGAGTTTATTTTCCTTTTCTTAATTTGGCTGCTATTGTCTCACATTGGATTAAGCAGTCACTTTTAGTAAAAAATGTTTCACTATATTGCAGCAGCATAGTAAGAATTTCCTGTATTTGTGTTGAAATGGTATATGTGTGGGGGGCGGTTCTTAAATGATACAGAGTTATTATCGTAAACAGAAAGATATACTGCTATACTTAAAAATATGTTACTAAAAATATTTTGAAGACATAGATCCACATGATACATTGAGAGATGATAAATGCATGTGGAACACAGTTAATTCAACTGAGAGCAACTTTAAAATAATTAATCTCTTCACTTATATCTCATGAATCTTCTGAGACACATAGTTTCCAGAAATGCATCTTAAAAATGCCTTTTTCTTCCTCTCCTATACACTTTTATCACATCTTAGCTACTCCCACACTTATTATCTCTCAACTCCCCCACTCTATGAAATATCCTCTAGCCTTAAGCTTTAAATACCAGTTATATTTTTCTTTATTCCTGATTCTCAATTTCTAAAGCCTAAAAATCTATTTGGCAAAGCTAGACTTTCCTTTAGGGGTGATAAATGTAAGAAAAAAAAGAGACTTTTTTTTAATAGTTGGAGGAAAAAAGCTGTGAATAATCAAAAAGTAATTTTTTAACTTTCTGTATTATGAATTTATTGTGTGACCTTAAGTAGTCACATAACCTCTCATTTTGTCATGTTCTTACTCAAATTCTACATGTAAATGTAAAATGAAAAAAATCTTGAAAAAATTTAAAGCTTCTGTACAAATCCAAGTTGGTTTTATTTTATACAGAATGATACAGGTTAAAAAAACAAATATTTTAATAACTTTTTATATAAAATAGTTTCAGTCTTTACTGAACAGAAATATTGTCATGGTGAATTTTTCATATAATGTTTGGTTTGGACATTTTCTTCTCCAAAATATTAAAAGTTATCCTTAAAATGTTGATTAATTTATTACTTGTGTAGCATTTCATTCTTATTTGACTTTCAAAAATTTAAAAACTTTAAGCAATTTTCTGTGATTAATTTTATAATACTCTTTAAATTCCCTACTAAGAGTAAGTTTAACAACTTTTTTTTTTTTAGTTTCAACATTTATTTTCATTTTAGGGGTACATGTGCAGGATGTACAGGTTTGTTACATAGGCAAATGTGTGCCATCGTGGCTTGCTGCATGTAACAACCCATCACCCAGATACTGAGCCCCTCATGCATTATTTGTTTATCCTGATGCTTTCCCTCCCCCTGGCCCCTGCCTGACAGGCCCCAGTGTGAGTTGTTCTCCTCCCTGTGTCCATGCGTTCTCATTGTTCAGCTCCTAATTACAAGTGAGATCATGCAGTGTTTGGTTTTCTTTTCCTGTGTTAGTTTGCTGAGAATAATGGCTTCCAGCTCCATCCATGTTTCTGCAAAGGACATGATCTCCTTCCTTTTAATGGCTTCATAGTATTCCATGGTGTTATGTGTACCACCTTTCCTTTGTCCAGTCTATTACTGATGGGCATTGGGGTTGATTCCATGTCTTTGCTATTGTGAATAATGCTGCAATGAACATACAGGTGCATATATTTTTATAATAGAATGATTTATATTCCTTTGGGTAAATACTCAGTAATGGGATTGCTGGGTCAAATGGTAATTCTGCCTCTAGATCTTTGAGGAATTGCCACACTGTCTTGCACAATGGTTGAACTAATTTATGTCCCTCCAACAGTGTAAAAGCGCTCGTTTTTTATTGCAACATCATCAGCATCTGTTGTTATTTGACTTTTTAATAATTGCTATTCTGACAGGCATGAGATGTCATCTTATTGTGGTTTTTATGAGCATTTCTCTAATGATCAATGATTTTGAGCTTTTTCTCATATGTTTCTTGGCTACATGTATTTATTTTTTTTGAGAAGTGTCTGTTAATGTCCTTTGTTTACTTTTTAATGAGGTTGTTCTTGGAAATTTGTTTAAGTTTTTTGTAGACTCTGTATATCAGACCTTCGTCAGACAGATAGATTACAACAATTTTCTTTCATTCTGTAGGTTGTTTGCTCACACTGATGGTAGTTCCTTTTTCTGTGTAGAAGCTCTACAAATTAGAGCTTGACAAATTGACAAATTAGATCCCATTTGTCAAGTTTTGCTTTTGTTGAAATTGCTTTTGGCATTTTCATCATGAAATCTTTGCTTATGCCTATGTCCTATGCCTATGCATGTGTCCTGAAAGGTATTGCCTAGATTTTCTTCTAGGGTTTTTTATAGTTTAGGTTTGTACATATAAGTCTTTAATCCATTTTGAGGTAATTTTTGTATAAGGTGTAAGGAAGTGGTCCAGTTTCAATTTTCTGCATTGGGCTACTCATTTCTCCCACCACCATTTTTTAAATAGGGAATCCTTTCCTTTCCCCATTGCTTGTTTTTGTAAGGTTTGTTGAAGATCAGGTGGTTACAGGTGTGTGGTCTTATTTCTGATATCTCTATTCTGTTTCATCATTCTATGTGTCTGTTCTTGTACCAGTACTATGCTGTTTTGGTTGCTGTAGCCTTGTAGTATAGTTTGAAGTTGGATAGCATGATGCCTCCAGCTTTGTTCTTTTTGCTTAGGATTGTCTTGGCTATTCGGGCTCTTTTTTGGTTCCATATGAAATTTAAAAGAGTTTTTTTTTTCCTAATTCACTGAAGAATGTCAATGGTAGTTTAATGGGAATATCATTGAATCTGTAAATTACTCTAAGCAGTATGGCCATTTTGAAGACATTGATTTTTCCTATCCATGAGTATGGAATGTTTTTACATTTTTTTGTGTCCTTTCTGATTTCTTTGAGTAGTAGTTTGTAGTTCTCCTTAAAGAGGTCCTTCACTTTCCTTGTTAGCTGTATTCCTAGGTATTTTATTTTTTTGCAGCAATTTGGAATGGGAGTTAATTCATGATTTGGCTCTCTGCTTGCTCTTGTTATATAAGAATGCTAGAAATTTTTGCACATTTATTTTGTATCCTGAAACTTTGATGAAGTTTCTTATTATCAGCTTCAGAAACTTTTGGGCTGAGACAATGGGGTTTTCTAGATATAGGATCATGTCAACTACAAATAAAGATAATTTGACTTCTTCTCTTCCTATTTTAATATGCTCTATTTCTTCCTCTTGCCTGATTGCCCTGACCAGCACTTCCAATACTATGCTGAACAGGAGTGGTGAGAGAAGACATCCTTGTCTTGTGCCGGTTCTCAAGTGGAATGCTTGAAGCTTTTGCCTATTCAGTATGTTATTGGCCATGGATTTGTAATATATGGCTCTTATTATTTTGAAGTATGTTCCTTTAATACATAGTTTATTGAGAGATTTCAACATGAAGCAATGTTGAATTTTATTGAAGGCCTTTTCTGTGTTTATTGAGATAATCGTGGTTTTTATCTTTAGTTCTATTTATGTGATGAATCACATTTATAAATTTGTGCAGGTTAAAACAACCTTGCCTCCTGGGAATAAAGCCAACTTGTTCATGGTGGATAAGGTTTTTGATGTGCTGCTGGATTCAGGTCGCCAGTATTTTCTTGAGGATTTTTGCATCGATGTTCATCAAGGATACTGGCCTGAAGTTTTTGTTGTTGCTGTTGTATCTCTGCCAAGTTTTGGTATCAGGATGATGCTGGCCTCATAAAATGAGTTAGGGAGGAGTCCCTCCTTTTCACGTTTTTGGAATAGTTTTAGTAGAAATGGTACCAGCTCTTTTTGTACCTATGGTAAAATTCAGCTGTGAATTTGTCTGGTCCTGGGCATTTTTTGGTCATAGGATATTTTCTGATCCTAGGATATCTGTTACTGCCTCAATTTCAGAACTCGTTATTGGTCTATTCAGGGATTCAATTTTGTCTTGATTTAGTCTTAGGAGACTGTATGTGTTCAAGAACTTACATATTTCTTCCAGATTTTCTAGTTTATGTGCATACAGGTGTTTATAGCATACTCTGATTTGTATTTCTGTAGGGTCAGTGGTAATGTCTCCCTTATCATTTCTCATTGTGTTTATTTGATTCTTCTTTCTTTTCCTCTTTATTAGTCTAGCTAATAATCAATCTATTTTATTAATTTCTTTCAAAACACATCTCCTGGATTTGTTTATTTTATTGAAGGATTTTTTGTGTCTCGGTTTCCTTCAGTTCTGCTCTGGTACTGGTTATTTCTTGTCTTTTGCTAGCTTTGAGGTTGGTTCATTCTTGGTTCTCTAGTTCTTTTAGTTGTGCTGTTAGGATGTTAACTTGAGATCTTTCTAGCTTTTTGATGTGGGTATTTAGTGCCACATATTTCTATTTCAATTCCATTTTAGCTGCCCCCCAAAAATTCTGAAAACATTATCTCTTGGTTTTCATTAGTTTCAAAAACACTTATTGATTTCTGCCTTAATTTCATTATTTACCTAGGAGTCATTCAGGAGTAGGTTGTTCAATTTCCATGTAGTTGTGTGACTTTGAGTGAATTTCTTAATCTTGAGTTCTAATTTGATTGCGTTGTGGTCTGAGAGACTGTTCTTTTGCACTTGCTTAGGAGTGTTTTTACTTCTAACTATTTGATCAATTTTAGAGTAAGTGCCATGTGGCACTGAGATGAATGTATATGCTCTTTTTTGGAGTAGAAAGTACTATAGGTATCTATCACGTTCACTTGATCCAGAGCTGAGTTCAGTTCCTAAATATCTTTGTTAATTTTCTGTCTCGATGACCAGTCTAATATTGTCTGTGGGCTGTAAAAGTCTCCCACTATTATTGTGTGTGAGTCTAGTCTAAGTCTCTTTGTAGTTCTCTAAAAACTTCCTTTATGAATCCAGGTTCTCCTGTATTGGGTGCATATATATTTAAGATAGTTAGCACTTCTTGTTGAATTGAATCCTTCTTTGTCTTTTTTGATATTTTTTGGTTCAAATCTGTTTTGTTAGAAACTAGAATTGCAACCCCTGTTTTTTTTTCTATTTTTCATTTCCTTGGTAAATTTTCCTCCATCCCTTTATTTTGAGCCTATGTGTGCCTTTGCATGTGAGATGGGTCTGTCGAAGACAGCATACAGGTAAGCCTTGGCTCTTTATCCAGTTTGCCACTGTGTGTCTTTTATATTGGGATATTTTAACTTTACGTTTAAAGTTAGTATTGTTATGTGTGAATTTGGTCCAGTCATCATGATGCTAGCTGGTTATTTTGCAAACTTTTTTAATGTGGTTGCTTCACAGTGTCACTGATCTGTATACTTCAGTGTTTTTTGTAGTTGCTGGTAATGGTTTTTCCTTTCCATATTTAGCACATCCTTCAGGAGCTCTTGCAAGGCAGGCCTGGTGGTGACTAATTCCCTCAGCATTTGCTTGTCTGAAAATGACATTATTTCCCCTTCCCTTTTCAAGTTTAGTTTGGCCAGATATGATATCCCTGGTTAGGAATACTTATCTTTAACAATGTTGAATATTGGCCCCCAATTTCTTCTGCCTTGTAGAGTTTCTACTGAGAGGTCTGCTGTACATTTGATGGGATTTCCTTTTTAGGTGACCTGGCCTTTCTCTCTGGCTGCCCTTAACATTTTTCTTTCATTTTGATCTTGTAGAACCTGATGATTATATGTCTTGGAGTTGATCTTCTCAATCTTACTGGGTTCTCTGAATTTCCTGCATTTGAATGTTGGCTTGTCTTGCTAGATTGGGAAAGTTCTTCTGGATAATATCCTGAAGTATGTTTTCCAACTTGGTTTTATTCTCCCTGACTCTTTTAGGTACCCCAGTAATTCATAGGTTCAAACTTCTTATATAACCTCATATTTCTCTGAAGTTTTGTTCACTCATTGTTATTCTTTCTTCTCTATTCTTGTCTTCCTGTCTTATTTTCAGAATCTTCAAACTCTGAGATTCTTTGTTCTGCTTTGTCTATTCTGCTATTAATACTTGTGATTGCATTGTGAAGTTCTCGTGTCTTACAGCTCCATCAGGTCTGTTATGTTCCTCTTTAAGCTGGCTATTCTAGTTATCAACTTCTGTATTGTTTTATCATGATTCTTAGCTTCTTTGCATTGGGTTACAACATGTTCCTTTAGCCCAGCAACGTTTGTTATTACCCACCTTCTGAAGCCTACTTCTGTCAATTCAGCCATCTCATCCTCAGCCTAGTTCTGTGCCCTTGCTAGAGAGGTGTTGCAGACATTTTGAGAAAAAGAGGCACTCTGGCTTTTTGAGTTTTCAGCATTTTTGTGTTGATTTTTTTCTTATCTTTGTGGGTTTATCTACTTTTTATATTTGAGGTTGCTGGCCTTTGGAATTTGGGGGGGGGGTCTTTTTTGTTGATGTTGTTGTTGTTTTCTGTTTTTTTGTTTTTTTTTTTAATAGTCAGGCCACTGACTGTTAGCATCTTTTGGGCTGCTGTGGTTTGCTAGGTGTCTGCTCTAGACCCTAGTTGCCTCAGTTTTTCTCGTACCTGGAGGTATCACCAGTGGAGTCTGTGAAAAAGCAAAAACGGCAGCCTACTTCTTCTTCTGGAAGCTCCATCCCAGGGGGGTACTGACCTGTTGTTGGCCCAAATGCTCCTGTAGGAGGCCTCACCCAGTCAGGAGAAACTGGATCAGGGACACACAGAAGTAGTCTGGCTGCTTTTTGGTAGAGCAGGTTTGCTGCATTGAGGGGTACCCTTTCTTGTCCAGACTGCCCAGACTCTCCAGAGTCAGCAGGCTGGAACAGCCGAATCAAACGTACTGCAGAGACAGCAGCTGCTCCTCCCCTAGGAGCTTCATCTCAGGATGAGTCCCTCACAGGAAGCCTTCACCCAGTGTGGAGGAATGGATCAGGGTCCCTCTTAAAAAGCAGTCTGGGCATGATCTGGCAAAGCAAGTGTACTGTGTTAGGGTGAACCCCCTCATCTGGACCACCTGGACCCTCCAGAGCTGGCAGGCTCTAATGCTGAGTCTACTGAACCACAAACATAGTGGCCTACCCTCCCCCCAACAAACTCCCTCCCATCTCAGTCAGACTCAGCCTGCTGCTGCTGGCTGGCTTGAATTTATGCCAGTGGGTCCCAACTTGTGAGGTGGGACCCACAACCTGATGCTGCTTGGCTCCCTGGATTCAATCCCCTTCCTGAGAGAATGTATGAATAGATATGCCTCCTCACCTGGGATCCCAGGGCCAGAGTATGTAAAACTCCTGGATCTCCATGTGTGCCTGAGTGGCTGCTCTTTTGAGTCTCCACACTACTCTGTGTATCAGACCCAAGGCCCCAGTAGCATGGGCTCATGAGGGGATCTCTGATCAGCAGGTTGCAAAGATCCATGGGATCTTTGGGAGGAGTGTGGTTTCCTAGACACGGTCACACAATCACTCACTGCCTCCCTTGGCTTTGGGTGGGGGTTCCATTGGCTCTGTGCCTCTCCCAGGTGGGCTGTCATCTCACCCTGCTTTTCTTCACTCTCCCTGGGTTGAGCTGATTGCCTAGTCAGTCCCAACGTGATAACCTGGATACTTCAGTTGAAGGTGCTGAATTCACTTGTTGCTCTCATTCCTCTCTGAGTGCTGCAGACCACAGCTGGCTCTAATTGGCCATCTTGGCGCCATCCCTGAAACCTTTTTAAAATTTGTCTTTCAGAGAGTCTGTAATGGTCTATAACTCTTTTTCAACTCATTTACATATTTCTGAGACTTGATGACATCATAAGATTTAAGCATTTTATAATTCAAGATCCTGAAAATGACTCTCAAAGTATTAGTCACCTGAGAATAGTACACTTCAGAGAATATAAATTTGATTACACTTGGGATGAACTAAATAAAATTAAAGATAATTTGAGCCTCTGGAAAAAACCCAGAGTAGTGCATATAGCAGAAACTGTAAATCAGCAAAATCCTTACCTTTGTCTCTTTAACTCTGCAAGAGTTAGCACCTGCCTCATTAAAACAGCCAACAGAAGAAACCTTTGATAATATGGGATCTCCATTTGCTCAGAGAACAGAGGAATCTCTGGAATTTTCAAAATAGTGACATATAGATACTGTGTTTCCCATTTTCAGTACAATATTTTTTAAACTGTACTTCTTAATTACTTAAAGGTGTTTGGTTGAGGATTAACTCTTAAATTGCTTATGAGAAAGATACCGTCTGAAAAGACTTGTGTGGCTGAAAGAAGAGTCATCTAGCTGAATCTTTTTCTGGTGATTTTTCCCAGAAAACAACATGTAAGGGAGGAGGGAAAGAAGAGAAGAGAAGTGATGAAGCGATACTGCCTAAGGAAGTTGAAGAATCTTGGGGATTTTATCAAGCCAAAATTAAAAAGAGGGGAAACATGAAACATGACTTGAGATCCCTGAAATGGTTGTCTGAAAGAGTCTGGCATCTCTCTTGCTCCCTGTCTCACCAATTGACATGCCTGCTCCCCCTTCACATTCTGTCATGAGTAAAAGCTTTCTGAGGTTTCACCAGAAGCTGAGCAGATGCTGGTGCCATGCTTGTACAGCCTTCAGAACCATGAGCCAAATGAACCTCTTTTATTTATCAATTACCCAACTTCCGGTATTTTTTTTTTCAAGATGGAGTCTGGCTCTGTCACCCAGGCTGGAATGCAGCGACACAATCTCAATTCACTGCAACCTCTGCCTCCCCGGTTCAAGCAATTATTTTGTCTCAGCCTCCCGAGTAGCTGAGATTACAGGTGTGTGCTACCACACCTGGCTAATTCTTGTATTTTTAGTGGAGACAGTGTTTCACCATGTTGGCTAGACTGGTCTCAAACTCCTTACCTCAGGTAATCCACCTGCCTTGACCTTCCAAAGTGCTTGGATTACAGGCATGAGCCACCATGCCTGGCCCTGGTATTTCTTCATAGTAATGCAAAACAGACTAATATACTAATGAATATGTTTTCAAAGTTGTGCATGATATAAGAAGGGTTCATGAAAGGAGTTATTTATAAGCTATTATTAGGGAAAGTGATGGTCCCTCAAATCTACCACGAGGCTACCAAAAAGAATCATATCGCACCATTTATTATTTCCTTATGAGGGAGATCAGTGAAATTACAAAGCCATAGACTATTAAGATCAGAGTTTTCACTTCTTTTCTTAGCAATTATTTTGTGGTAATTGTCAAAATTGATTAATGGAAATATTCTCATTCCATACTTCTACAGATTTTTTCCCCTATATGTGACTGCTCTTTGCACCCATTTTGTACAGACTCATTTTCATGTACCTATATACACTATACCCTAAAATGCTGGTATTCTTAAACATTTAATCCTCTAGATGATTTTACTATGTTAGTTGCTTAAATTTCTACCAATTAGCTATTTATTCTCAAAGCTATGTCTGAGTCCAAGACCTCTCTACTTAGATTCACACTAAGAGCTCAAGCTCAACATCTCTAAAATAAACTCAATTCTTTCACTCTACCTTTGCCCTTCTTCTTGGGTTTTCTGTCTCTATGAATTGCATTACCCAGTTTCCAAAGTTATAAATTGATCATCATCATGAACTAGTTGACAGGCTGAATCTAACAAGATAAATTTTTAGCAGGGATAATCATAAAATACTGCTCTAGGTTTCCTAACCCCCTAGAGAAAAAAACCCAGCTATATATGTACACGATGCAGTCAGTGTGACTTATCTCCAATACCCAAAAATCACCTTGGTGCATTTAGATTATTTTTAAATTCAATATGCATCAGTAGTTTGATGTTGCTGAGGAATGAGGGAATACTTCCTTAAGCTGCACCAACAGAGGAAAATCTTAAAGTGAGAGACTGGTAGGTAAAATCTGTTCTTAATTTTACATTTGAATATTATTGTAGATGCTACATTTTGGAAGTTTGTTCCCTTGAAAGGTCATGTTAACATTTAATTGCCATTGTAACAGTATTAACATGTGGGAACATTAAGAGGTGATGATTAGGACTCAAGGGCTCTGCCCTCATGAATGGATTAAGGATATTACATCTAGAATAAGTTTGTTTTCAAGGCAGTAGGTTTGTTATAAAAGGACAAGTTACCCCTTTCTCTGGGCCCACTCCCCATCTTGCTCTCTTTTTGTCCTTCCCCCATGGGGTGATACATCAAGAAGGCCCTGATCAAATGCCAGACCTCAATCTTGGGCTTCACAGCCTCCAAAACTGTAAGTCAGTAAATTTCTGATCAATATAAATTACCCAGTCCGTGATATTTTGTTACAGCATAACAAAACATACCAAGCAGGGAAGCGAGAATTGCTTTGAGAGAGAGCAACCATGCATACTCTTTCTGCAAGAAATGACTGAAAAATTTTGCAGGCCATTAAAGACTAAATAACCCTTCAATAGCCCTTTCAAACTTCATTTTCTATTAATGCATTACACTTTAAATTTAAAATAATAATTTAATTAATTGAAATTTTAATCAATATATATTTTAGGTTTAAAATGTAATTATTGCATTTTGGTTTTTCCCAAAGATATATTTGTGGGGTCCAAATTGCTATTGAAAAGAATTTTTTAGTACATTTGTTTCCTGATTTGGGACCCATGGAAAGACCTCCATATGTACTACTGAAAGAGAGAATATTATATTCATGACTTTCTCTTCTTAACCCAGCTTGCCTGGGTATGCACTATTGAAAGGGAAAATATTATATTCATGACCTTATGCACTACTGAAAGAGAGAATATTGTATTCATGACCTTCTCTTCTTAACCCAGTTTGCCTGGAGAGGAAGATGGGTTGAAGAAAGTATCTAATCAATATTGACCATTTCCATGTTACGTTACTTCATTTAAAGACAGTGCGTACAATTAAGGGTTATTGGGTTGTGAGATGGACCTGATTCACTTGCTTTTTACCTCCTCTCTGAGCCTTAGTTTTCTCATCTGCAAGACAAGGGCTCCAGTGCCTGCCTCAAGGGCCAAGAAGCTTCAATGAGATGGCACAACTGAAAGGGCTTGGCACAAATTTGGCATTTCATAAATTCTGTCTTTGCTTAACAGCCACAACAACATTTAAGGGGTGAGAGGCAATTTCCTGGTAGCATCAGGAAGCCTGGAACCTGTACTAAGACTGGTCAGGGTTTGTCTTTGTTGCTTTCCCTCCTTCCATGCTTTTTCTCCTCACCATTTCCCTCCACTCAACCTCTTTTATAAAGACAGCAATTTTTAAAATAGAAATGCATCATATATAGTCTTATTATATACACCTATACTATCTCTCCTATAAGCAGGACAACAGTTTGTAAGGGAAAGGCTGATTGTGAAATCATAAAAAATAAGATGAGGAAAGTTATGATGGGGTGGGGGTGTGACAGAGCCATAAGAAAAGAAAGCAGAGTAGGGGGGTTGTGGTTTTATTAAATGGATGAGAATAATCTGTTGTAGGTTATTTAGGAAGGCATACATGTAAAGAAAATGACATTGGGCAGAGTTAAATATAAGAATAGCAAACAAGATTAACTGGGGCAGAGGGAGATGCACTAGACTGAGAGACCCAGGAGAAGACTGCTAGAATAAAATAGGCAGGGGGCAATAACAGCCCGATTGAAGTGTGCAGCTTGGGAAATAAAGATTGGGGGACAAGGCAAATAGGAGACTCTCCCACTGAGGGGCAGATGGAAAGATGAAGTGAATTATTATTTCAGACACTTGCTTCTAACACACCTCACAGACTCTGACATGAATGAGGCAGTCTCCTGCAGACATTGTCTGGTCTTTTCTGTTTCCTCTTGCTGCCCTGAATTCTTTCAATGTTATCTTTTGTGCCCCACTTGAAGGCTTCCAGGGAAGGCAAAGGAGGAAGAAGTGACTCCTCCTTCCCCCATTACCGATTTCAATGGGCCACCCCACGTGTCTCCAGTCAGCCTGACCTCGTTATTTCCAGCATACGGAGTGGCAAATAGACCAATCAGCCAATATAGGTCAAATTGTATTATGTCTGGCCTGGGGGCAAAATCACATTGTCCCTGGAACCCAGGAGCTAAGGTCTGATAAATAGCTTCTATATTCAGTGTAGACCCATGGGAATGAAAAGGATTTGAAGGGCAGTAAGTCCACAGTGAATTTTGTATTTGAGATGTAGTACATTTTATTTGTTTTTCATTCCATTTTCATCATAGAATTATTTTTATTTTTATTTCTTTCATTTTGTTGTCATTTTACATAGAGGGGAGATACATATACAGACAGCAAGTGAGCATGATGACACAGTACATAAATAACATAATTGAGAGCCCATCTATTACAAAGCAGCATCAAAGTTGAATTTTAAAAGTTGGATGAAATGTTTTAACTAGTATTTATATTTAAGAATAATTATCTTTCTGTTTCCAAAAGGGATAAACAAGTTATGTTTCACACATAGGCAAATGCTTGATTTTGAGCAGCACTTATCAAATAGGCATTATAGCCAGAGTCAGAAGACATTTTTAATGATGAGGTTCATGAATGAAGTTAAACCCTGACAAAGGCAATTCATTGGAGTGGAGCTTCATTTTTTCTATTTTTGGTATTTTGATTTCATGGGCTCTGTATTTCATGGAGAGAGGACGTGCTGTTTCTTTTCTTCAGGATGCTCCGATGTGGCCATAAAATAGAGTTCTTAGCTTTTGCAAAACAATAATATCAAATAAGTGTATTTAGGCTTTCACTGGACACCGAGAGGGATGAGGATTTATATGCTAAAAAAAGAATTCACAAACTTAATCCTTCACCTCAACATACCAAAAGGGGAAGCAGCCAAAGACCACTGTTAAACACACAACAATATTGTTACATTGTGAAATGCAGGATGATGATATGACTAATCTGAGATCAACTCCTTCAGTTCTACCTTTGAAATATTCTTTGTATGTTATTCTTCATTTTAATTCACATTGTTGCTGTGTTAGTGTAGGCCAAAAATTTTAATTCATTATCCATTTGGATTATTCAGCAAACTGATGATGCAGTGAAGATAGTGTTGGAGAAACAGAATATTGAAGAGGTTTCAAAATTCAAAAAGTGGGTTTTTTGTAAGGTTATTATTTTAAAAGGTTTTTTAATTACAGAAATTAAAACACAAAAGAAAATGTAAAATTACATAAAATTCCACCATTTTTTGAAATGCATAAAATAATAAAGTCATTTATATCTCTCCAATACATCCCCTGTGCCAATACATACATGCCCACACACACACACACACACACACACACACGTGCATTACACAGAATATTGGCTAGTATATTTAGGCATAATCTTCCATATTGTTTTCTATGTGAGGGTGCCTTCAATGGGTTGTATTTACTGCATTTACCCTTCTCCTCCTTTATCCATACTCATCCTAAATGCTTTAATACATGGAGAAACTGAGCCAACAACACACATTTAGGAAGAGATTTATGTTATGGAGGGATTGGGGGAAAAGTAAGAGTCTTGAATGAATGCAAACTATGCTCTGAAGAAGGCAAACAATTATTAGCCATTGAACGCTTAGGAAGATAATACCTCTCCCAATGCTTATGCCCACTTTCTTCAGAATACCAACTGTTGTGGACTGTATAAAAGGGCAACTTGGCCTGCAAATACACAGAACCTTATGTTAAGACAAGATTACATTTTTGACTGGCTTAGACACTTTATTAGAAACTTTAACTGGCTCTTATCAGATAATGGGTTAAAGAAGAAAATAACTTATAGCCTCAATATAAGAGGTGAAAATCAAGGGAATTAGGAGGTGCTTTCCATGGGACAGCTCAACACTGTGGAAAGAGCTGGAATAATACAGACCTGATTTCAAACCCTGCCTCCACAAACTAACACTGAACTTTTAGTAATTTTTTTTCTGGGGTTTGGTTTCATACTCTGTAGAATATAGATACCAATATCTACTGAGCAGATTTGTTATGTAAGTGAGTTAAAGTACAAAAAGAAACCAGTACCTGTCACTTAGTAGGTACTTAGGAATGTATAGCTATTGCTTATATATTGTTTTTATTTGTTACCAATTTATCAGGTATTATTTCATGTTATTATGTTTTAGGTATTGTTACTTTATGTAAAATCTTTGAATAGGTTGATGGCAATACTTAAGGACTTTTTCTTGAAGTCCTAATCTTAGAAAGAATGCCCTTTCTACTATTAGCCACAACGAAGTGACATTTCAAGTCTCCTATGGAATACAGTATCAGAGCTGGGAAGACTTTTAAATATTATCAGGCCCAACCTGCTTATTTATTGCAAAGATGACAGTGAGGTCAAAAAAGGGAAATTGATCTGTTCAAGGATACAAGTGTTAGATTAACTCCTTTTTGAGGTACTCCCTTCTCTAGATTTCCATAACATCATGCTCACCTGGTTCTCCTGCTAGCTGCCTCTCAGTTTCCTTTGCTGGTTCATTTTCTTCTGCGTGTCCTTTAAATGCTGGTGTTTCTCGAGGTTCTGTTCCAGGCTCTTTTCTCTTCTCAGTCTATACAACCTTCTTTGATAATATTTGATATCTTTGATAATCTTCCCTACATTTCTATCACTCTGCTAATTGCATCCAAATCCCTTCTAAGTTCTCAACTTCATCCTGTTGTCCACATTTCTATTCAGTATCTCTATTTCAGCATCACACAGATAACCAAAGATCAACATATCCAATACTCAACTAATCATTTTCCTTTCTGGCCCATTCCCAAGAAGCTGCTAATCTTTCTATATACCTTATTTTAGTATGTGGCACTATCATTAACTCAACTGACAAAGTCAGAAACACGGCAATCATTCTAGATCCCGTCTCCCTTACAATTTCCCAACCCCTCATTCAATTTGTTAGTAAGATATGTGTGGACTAGTCCTGGCCGTTAATCATCTCTTGCCTGTACCGCTGTAATTACCTACAAATTTATCTCCTAGCATACACTATTAGACCCTCCCCCATACAGCCTCCATACTCTAGCCAGAGAGATGTCTTTAAATATATACAAATAATGTCACTTATCTGCTGAAATCATTCAGTAACACCTGCTTCTCTTGAGATAAATTCTCACCTCTTCAAATGGCTTACAGATCTCTACACGATCTGCTCCTACTTACCTTTCCAGCTTCTTATCCCTCTCCATTCCACTCCACGCATTTTATGCTCTATTCAAACTGTATTACTTGTTATTTCCATAGCACAAGACACAGTATCTAGTGCATATTAGGTGCTCAAAAAGTGCTTGTTGATTAAATGAATGAACCAGGTACAATATATAGGTATCCTGATAGTTCAAAGCATTTTTGCTATGTTATTCTGCTAGTTATACAGAGAAGACTTAAGATTTTATATTTCTGGCCGGGCGCGGTGGCTCACGCCTGTAATCCCAGCACTTTGGGAGGCCGAGGCGGGTGGATCACGAGGTCAGGAGATCAAGACCATCCTGGCTAACACGGTGAAACCTTGTCTCTACTCAAAAATACAAAAAAAATTAGCCGGGCGTGGTGGCGGGTGCCTGTAGTCCCAGCTACTCGGGAGGCTGAGGCAGGAGAATGGCGTGAACCCAGGAGGCAGAGCTTGCAGTGAGCCAAGATTGCACCACAGCACTCCAGCCTGGGCGACAGAGCGCGACTCCGTCTCAAAAAAAAAAAAAATTTATATTTCTTCCCTTCCTGCTCTTTGCCATGATCATGTTGCTGCTTCCTACTTAGCATGCTTCATGCTTCTCTATCTTTGAGTCTTCTGTTCAATGGTCATTAGTCTGCACTTATCAGCTCTAATTACACAATAGTGAATAGTGAGCCTAGATTCAAGTAATAAAACAAGCTCTTCTCTTTGATCAAATCATATCATTCTGCATTACTTTCTATGTCTTGTGATTTAGCATTACTTGAAATTTATACTATGGAGTAGAAATAAGATCACTCTAATATGAGCAAGTCCATGACTCAAATTGCCCCAGACCATTTGTGATCCTGGGAGAATTTTGGTGAGAACTGTCTTCAGAACTTGAGATCAGAGATTTCTGTACCTAGTAACAAGCTTCTGTTACATTTTCTTTTAAAACTCGTCATTAAGAACTTATCTGAGAATGAATAACTTCTTTCCTTCTCTTGTAGGAGTTTAATGATCTTGCAAATTAATGACTGATTGAATATTATTAAGCTTTTTAAAGGTTGAAAATGTAAAATGAAAATGACTTTTCAGAGGCATTTCTTTTTTCTTGGCTTCACAGCCCATGACTATGACTAGTAATCATAAATTAATGTAACAATACAGGCTGCTCACTGGACTGCATTTAGCTCCGCCTCCCTCCCTTCTCCTTTGACTTTCTTCTCCTCCCTCCCTCTAATTTTATATAGCACGTTTACCCACTCCAACGCAAACACACAATCATTTCCTGCTGCCTTGCTTTTTCTTCTTGCTGCTGCTTCTCAATACAACGAATGGTGTGGGTATAGCATTGTGTGTTTGTGTGTTAGCATATGTTTGTGTCTCAGAGGAAGTAGAAAAGCAGTGAGAATAGCAATGCCTTTGATCTAAAGAAATTTGCAAGCTAAGACAAAGTATGTTTGCTTCCTCATTCTTGCACACACACACACACACACAACACAAAATCCAGGATTATCAGAACTGTAAGAAAGCTTAGAGAACATTTGGATTTTCACGTGGGGCAACTGAGACTCAGAAATATGAAGTGACTTGCAGACACTAGAGCTCAAGCCCATCACAGTTTTATGTACAGAAGGCATAGCAGATGTGGTAAGTTAATGTGGTGAATATATATTTTTAGTTCAAGGGGTTTTCTGAGAAAGAATGTGAGGTAAGTACACAATTAAAGTGTGTGTATATAGTTATGAGAGCTCTATTTCAAAGTTTGTGTTGAGGGAGGGATGTGCAGTAAAATGTTTCCAATGTTTGTGCTTTTGTTAAAATGTCCATAGTTACCTTATACTTGCTTTGATACTGTCATCAACTATTTTACATGTGGAAATCATTAATCTTGGAACTTTCCAGAGAGAGTTTCGAGCTTTATAGAATATGCTGCATACATCCAAACAATGAAGGAATATATATTATATATAATGAATATATATTATATATAATATATATACATTATATATAATATATATTATATATTTTATATACATAATATATAATATATATATTATATATTAATATATATGATATATTATCTATACATTATATGTAATATATATTATATATATTACATACATAATATATATAATGTATTATAAATACATAATATATTACATATACATAATATATATATTATATATACATAATATCTTATATACATAATATATATATTATACGCATAATATATATAATATATTATACGCATAATATATATAATATATTATACGCATAATGTATATAATATATTATACACACATAATGTATATAATATATTATACACACATAATGTATATAATATATTACATACACATAATGTATATAATATATTACATACACATAATGTATATAATATATTACATACACATAATGTATATAATATATTACATACACATAATGTATATAATATATTACATACACATAATGTATATAATATATTACATACACATAATGTATATAATATATTACATACACATAATATATATAATATATTACATACACATAATATATAATATATTACATACACATAATATATATAATATATTACATACACATAATATATATAATATATTACATACACATAATATATATAATATATTATATACACATAATATATATAATATATTATATACACATAATATATATAATATATACACATAATATATATAGTATATACACATAATATATATAATATATACACATAATATATTATATACATAATATACACAATACATTATATACATAATATATATAATATATTATATACATAATATATATAATATATTATATACATAATATATATAATATATTATATACATAATATATACAATATATTATGTACCTAATATATATAATATATTATATACATTATATATATAATATATTATATATATAATATATATAATGTATTATGTATACATAATACATTATATATACATAATATCTATATTATATATACATAATATATTATATATACATAATGTATATGATATATAACATACATAATATATAATATATATAATATATTATATATACATAATATATACGATATGTATAATATAGTATATATACATAATATATATGATATATATAATATATAGTATATATACATAATATATATGATATGTATAATATAGTATATATACATAATACATATGATATGTATCATACAGAGTATACATGCATAATACATATGATATGTATCATACCGAGTATAAATGCATAATACATATGATATGTATCATACCGAGTACACATGCATAATACATATGATATGTATCATACCGAGTACAC